>NT_167251.2:1324639-1624639 GCF_000001405.40 Homo sapiens | reverse complement strand
TAACATGGTGAAACCCCATCTCTACTAAAAGTACAAAATTAGTCGGGTGTGGTGGCGCATGCCTGTTATCCCAGTTACTCGGGAGGCAGAGGCAGGAAAATCACTTGAACCCAGAAAGCGGAGGTTGCAGTGAGCTGAGATGGTGCCGCTGCACTCCAGCCTGGATGACAGGGTAACACACCATCTCAAAAAATAAATGAATAAATAAATAAAATTTTAAAAAATAAAAAAATAAAATTCCTCATTTGTATATGTGGAGTTACATAAGGTAATCTCTTGAGGTTCATTCCAATTCTAGTACTCTTTTTAAAATAATGTACTATATCCTTTTCCTATCTAGCAGGAATTCAGTTTTTTAAGATTCTCAAATAAGCCCATAACCAAAATAAGAACTTTTTTTTTTTTTTTGAGACAATCTCGATCTGTCACCCAGGCTGGAGTGCCGTGGCACAATCATGGCTCACTGCAGCCTCAACCTCCCAGGCTCAAGCCGTCCTCCCACCTCAGCCTCTTGAGTAGTTGAGACCACTACACGCAGCTACTTTTAAAAAAATTTTTGTAGAGACAGGGTCTCACTTTGTTGCCCAAGCTGATCTTGAGCTCCTGGGCTCAAACGATCCTCCCAACTCAGTCTCCCAAAGTGTTGGGATTACAGGCATGAGCCACCATGTCTGGCCAAGAGCTACATTTTCTACAGAACTATATTAGTGAAAGAGACAGACATTCCAGAGGCAAAACAAATGTCCTATGATATAAAAAGGAATTTCAGATATATATGTCCACAGGGTTCCCAAATTTGCTGAGGGAAAAGCTGCTATAATTATACATGACATTTTAATCTAAAAGCTACTTTAGAATTTTTCTGAACAGACTCCTTGAAGTTCAGTAAATACATCTCCCTCACTTTTATCACTCACCTTGGATATACGAGTTGATACGCAAAGCCCCTCTCACTTTTTAAAAGGTGGAATTAATTTTGGAAAACTGCAGAAATTAGAATACCTATAAAGTTAAAGGAATGAAAGAAAATTAAAAACTACCTGTTGTCCCACTGAGAAGGCCTGGTTGTTGAATTGCTGAATAAATTCTGCTGCCATCTTGTCGGTGTCATAAGGGTTGGAGTCAATGCTTTTTTTCTGCAGGAAATCAATCTCGATGGTCATTGTGCCAATACACTGTTTGGCTTTGTCAAATGTATATAAGGAGACTAGGGGAAAAAAAGAAGCATTTTTTTAAAAATCACAGGAGTACAAAATACCTGTAGTGTTTCTAGTAACTAAAAGTTTCACATAAATGAATCATAAACTACTTCACCAAAAATGGGGTTTAAATGGCCTTCACTGGAGGGACACACAGGTACAGGTTTAAAAAATAATAGTCACTAGAGATTTTCTTCCCCATCTGAATTAATTAGAAATACTGAATGGCAGGCCGGGCGCGGTGGCTCACTCCTGTAATCCCAGCACGCTGGGAGGCCGAGGCGGGCGGATCACGAGGTCAGGAGATTGAGACCATCCTGGCTAACACAGTGAAACCCCGTCTCTACTAAAAATACAAAAAATTAGCCGGGCGTGGTGGCGGGCGCCTGTAGTCCCAGCTTCTTGGGAGGCTGAGGCAGGAGAATGGCGTGAACCTGGCAGGCGGAGCTTGCAGTGAGCCAAGATCACGCCACTGCACTCCAGCCTAGGGCAACAGAGCCAGACTCCGTCTCAAAAAAAAAGAAAGAAAGAAATATTGAACGGCAGTCTCTCTGTTGTTATCCCTCATCCCACTCTTATCAGGATCACAATCCTCCCCACATGGCCTCTGCATCTTTCTCCTCATTTAATGCAATACAGTATGGGATGCCCCAACACAGTTGGCGTAACATGCTATTTCCAAATAAGATTTTTGTTTGACACAAAAAAACAGCTAAGGTGGGATGTGGATGAATTATTTTGGCCTAAGAAAGTAGGACGCAAGGCAAAAAAAAGAAGCTTGAAAAACAATGTTTACTAGCGGAATTTGCTCCAGAGCAAGTTAGAGTTTGACATTTCTTTTTTACTACTACAAAAATGTTTCCTGAGCACCTGCTACATCTAGGGAACTACAGTAAGTTCTACATGTACACATGTAGATAAGGGCAAGGACGAGGTTTTTAACTCCTCTTCCTATTAACAGCATCTAACAGTTTCTTTCAGGTGCTTAATATATTCATGAACTGTTTAAATGAAACAACAATAACAGAAAACCCATGGTCTCCATGCTAATAACAAAGGAGGCAATAAAGCATACATACAAAGCTTTGGATAAGAAAATTCCTGTTCAAGCCACATAAAAAGTTTTAAAATGAATTTTAGGTTACAATGTAATTAATATTAAAGTGTTACACATGATTTTACATCATGTAATAACTGTTCGACCAAAAACCTTTAATTGTACAACTACAACACAGTTTACATATCATATTTTTAGAAAAATATATGTTAAAACAAATTTTGCTAGTGACAGATAATTACAAAGAAGCATTTCCCTAGAAAAAAAAACTTGATTCTTAAATCAGCTCAAAAAGTATACTTATAAATGCCAGTTTATAAACAAACTTTTAAAGCAAAAAATTTTACAGTGCTGTATACTGTAGTGGTACTATTAGGAAAGAGTAGAGTAGGCTACCCAGAAAAGTTCAAGAGGATTTTTGCATTTGAGTTTCCCCAGGAGGGCAACTTGATTACGCCTAGTAAGAAAGAGTCTATTGCTACTCTTCAATAAGGCTTCACACACGCGCGCGCGCACACACACACACACACACACACAAACACACACACACACACACACAATTTATTTTCCCTTTAGGTTCCCTGAAGATACTTGTCCTAAAATTTACCAATGGCCCCTTAAGGATACAGTAGCAGCTCTCTTAAGCAACCTCCACTGAGCTGAGTCATCAGAAAGCTGACCAACTTTTATCCCTCCAACATATACCCATCAGCCTATGGTTTGCCTAACGCTCAGAGCTTGTAGACAGGAGTTGCTACACATCATGGGTCAACCAAGTTCATTCTGGTATCTGTCTGTGCTAGTTACACTCGTTACAGTTAATTATGAAATATAATTAAATAGTATAAAAACTTCTGAAGGCCTGGTTGTTGAACTGTTATTACAATGACTTTGACATTCTAGAATAGATATTATAAGTTGAAAGCTTTGGGAAAATTTTTTAAATGAAGTGTTTCTTCTAGAAAAAAAAAATACTGCTAACTAGGTATAAGCATTAAAATTAGAAAAGGTTGGGAGTGAACTCTACAAAAATCCAAGAGGTTTTGGCACTCTCAGATGCTCTACAAAGTCTAAGTTCTCCAGCCATTTCAAAGAAATCCACCTGGAAATTACGGGTAAAGTGTATGCACAAAAGATAATACAGAACTCCAATCCATGGACCACACCTCCAAGAAAAAGCCTTTAACCAACTTTTCAGTTAATTACCAGTCCAAGTCACATTGGGTAAGTGAGCTTCTACAGTTCTCACCACAAAAGCAGGTTATAAACAAAGACTGTTTTTTCACACTTGCTTTGAACAACAGGCATGGCATTTCTGTGAGTTACTGAGGTCAAATAGCAAGAGGTAAACAAAAGAAGTCACTGTGCAGTATTAAATGTCTGTTGCAAAGATTCTAGTGGTTTACAAACAAAGCTGTTTTCTTCAAAGGGACTTTGAGTATGTGTGTTTCAACAGATTCTGCTAGCAATCAGAAGAATCCAAGTAAATAATTTAAGTTGTCTGTGCCTTGATTTGTCACATCTATAAATCAAGACTGAACTAGATAAGTCTTTATGGTCGTTTCACACTCTAAATTCTGTTCTAAACTTATTTCTTAAATTCTAGACCCTTGAGTTATGTACAAGGATTTTCTGTAAACTCTTATTTTATATTTGAGACAGAGTCTTGCTCTGTCACCCAGGCTGGAGTGCAGTGGCACGATCTCAACTCACCGCAACCTCCACCTCCCGGGTTCAAGTGATTCTCGTGCCTCAGATTCTCAAGTAGCTGGGATTACGAACGCACACCACCATGCCCAGCGAATTTTTGCATTTTTAGTAGAGACAGGATTTCACTATGTTGGCCAGGCTGGTCTCGAACTCCTGACCTCAAGTGATCTGCCTGCCTTGGCCTCCCAAAGTGCTGGGATTACAGGCGTGAGCCACCACGAACGGCCGATTTTCTGTAAACTCTTTAAATGAAATTGTTTGTATAATCAGATTTCTGTATTTAAAGGGGGACATATACCTATTTTAACTACTTCAAAAGCAAAATAACAAAGCCTGAGGAAGGAACATAAAACTCACTGAAGATCAAATAATAAGTTCAAATTTTGGCTAAAAGTTTCAGAATACTCTCCTGTCTCCAATTCTGGATGGCTTGCTCCTTCTTAACATTTCCTAGAATGGCCAGGCACGGTGGCTCATGCCTGTAATCCCAGCACTTTGGGAGGCTGAGTTGGGCGGATCACCTGAGGTCGGGAGTTCGAGACCAGCCTGACAAACGTGGAGAAACCCCGTCTCTACTAAAAACTACAAAATTAGCCGGGCGCAGTGGTGCATGCCTGTAATCCCAGCTACTCAGGAGGCTGAGGCAGGAGAATCGCTTGAACCTGGGAGGCGAGGCTGCAGTGAGCCAAGATCGCACCATTGCACTCCAGCCTGGGCAACAAGAGTGAAACTCTGTCTCAAAAAAAAAAAAAAAAAAAAAATCCTAGAAAGTACAGGTTATATGCTGAGTAACTTTGATAGGCAAAAGAGCTTAGTTGTTTCCCTCATGTAGTTTGAAAACATTTATAGGTTGAAATATTAATGTAAAAATGAATATGATGATTCAGCAATTCCATTTCTAGATGTCTGTCCCAGAAAGATGCTAGAACATTTGTCTAACAACACATCTACAGGGAGGTTCATTGCAGCATTATTTATAGTACTTAAACATTGAAAAATGTTTATCAGTAGGAGAACAATGAATAAAATGTAGTATATTCATAATGTAGAATACTTTACAGCAATTTTTATTGAAATTAAAACTTGGCCAGGCACGGTGGCTCACACCTGCAATCCCAGCACTTTGGGAGGCTAAGGAGGGAAGATCACTTAAGTCCAAGATTTAGAGACCAGACTGGGCAACACAGTGAAACCCTATCTCTACACAAAATTAAAAAATTAGCCAGGTACTGAGGCTGCAGTGAGCCACGACTGCACCACTGCACTCCAGCCAAGTGAGACCCTGTCAAAAAAACAAAAAAAAAACAAAAAAACAAAAACCAACTTTATGTATATTTATTAAAGATGGACGGCCTGGCCAGGCGTGGTGGCTCACACCTGTAATCCCAGTACTTTGGGAGGCTGAGGTGGGTGGATCACCAGAGGTCAGGAGTTCAAGACCAGCCTGGTCAACATGGTGAAACCCCATCTCTAATAAAAATAGAAAATATTAGCCAGCGTGGGGGTGAGTGCTTGTAATCCCAGCTACTCAGATGGCTGAGGCAGGAGAATTGCTTGAACCTGGGAGGAGAGGTTGTAGTGAGCCAAGATCACACCACTGTACTCCAGCCTGGGCAACAAGAGCAAAACTCCATCTCAAAAAAAGGTGGATGGCCCTTGAAAACATAATATTGAGTGACAAAAGTCTACTGCAGAAAGGTTTGTACAGTATAATACCATTTTGTGCATTAAAGACACCAAAACAATATCATAATGTCATAATGCATATATATGTGTGTATATACATATATTCATGTCATCTTCATACTGAGAAATTTGAATAAGTATATTTAAAATATTGGCCAGGCGTGGTGGCTCATGCCTGTAATCCCAGCATTTTGGAAGGCTGAGGTAGGTGGATCATTTGAGGTCAGGAGTTCGATACCAGCCTGGCCAACATGGCAAAACCCCTTCTCTACTAAAAATACAAAAATTAGCCAGATGTGGTGGCACATGCCTCTAATCCCAGCTACTCAGTAGGCTGAGGCAGCAGAATTGCTTGAACTGGGGAGGAGGAGGTTGCAGGGAGCTGAGATCATGCCACTGCACCCCAGCCTCAGCGACAGAGCGAGATTCCATCTCAAAAATAAATAAATAAAAATATAATTACTACTGACTGTAGTAATGCACTGACTGTAGTTTTCAAATGCATTTTAATTTAAGGCCAATGTTCCTAAATAGAAAAGACCAAACTGTTACAATTTCAAGTGCTATGGGCAGCACCATGGACAGTATCCCAGGCAGCACCACAGTCAGCACCATGGTCAGTCCCAAAGGGACAAGAGTCCTGAAGATTTCATCCTGGATCAAAGAAGATTGAGAATGTTTTCTTATTTTACGGCTAATAGTAATTTAATATAAAAGACTAATAAGAAAGATTTTATAAGCAAAAAATAAGTGTATCCAGTTCTTTGAATAAACTTGGACTTTACAATAATAGGTGTATATATAGTGGTCAAAACATTAGCCTGTAACACTTAAAATATGGCATTGCCAGATGGAAAGAAGACCGACTAAATGATTCCTCCAGAAGATTCCCTCAGACTAAAATCACTGATTTGACTAAAATGTTTCACCTTACGGAACTCCCATTCCAGAATACTTGAGCACTCCTTCAAACCACACCTCCTATCCTATCTTGGTCTACATCACTACTTAAACCAAACCAGTTTTCTATCTTTATGGCTACATCATCCACATCACTTGGGCCCCAAAACCCTACCTTCCCTCAAGCTTACTCCACTTTAGTCCCACCTATCACTGGGTTTTACAATTTTGCTTATTAAGTCTGTTTGAGCCACTTCTTTAAAGATCTGACTTTACAATCCAGATAAGCATTTCTGTTAGCAGAAGAATGCTTTTATAACTTAAACCGCAAAACACATTTCTCAACTCATCAAAATTTATAATCTTGAATTTCTGTATCTTGTCACAATAGAAAATATCTAGATTCAAAGTTTTAAGTACTCTTAGCCTCATATTTAGAAAAATTAATTTATGAAAATTAGAAACCTAAGCTACATACTACCCCACTTTCTCATTAAATTTAACAAGTGTTCATACTTCCACAAAGAAAAAGCTAACTAAAAATAACACCAATGTTGGCTGGGCGTGGTGGCTCACATCTGTAATCCCACCACTCTGGGAGGTCAAGGCAGGTGGATCACGAGGTCAACAGATCGAGACCAGCCTGGCCAACATGGTGAAACCCCATCTCTACTAAAAATACAAAAATTAGCCGGGTGTGGTGGCAAGTGCTTGTAGTCCCAGTTACTTGCAAGGCTGAGGCAGGAGAATCGCTTGAACCCTGGAGGCAGAGGTTGCAGTGAGCCGAGATTGCGCCACTGCACTCCAGCCTGGCAACAGAGCGAGACTCCATCTCAAAAATAAAATAAAATAAAATAACCCCAATGTTTAAATTCCATCTAACTCAGAAAAAATTACAAGTTGTCAGGTTCCTAAATGAGGAGTAGGATAAAAGATGTGTGTGTGTGTGTGTGTGTGTGTGTGTGTGTGTGTGTGTGTGTGTGTGTGTGTGTACAGAGAGAGACAGAGACCCAGAGAGGAAGACAGGGAGCCAGAATGATAAAGAAAATATGACAATTGGTAAAGCTGGGTAAAGGTAGTATACAGAAATTCTTCGTATTATTTTTGCAACCTTTCTATAAATACAATTTTTTTTTAAGTTTTAAAGACAAGCAGAAGAAAAGCTGGTTTAATTACACTTGCATTTTCTTTCCTTCCCCTACTGTATCCATGAAGTTGACATAAAATCATCTGACTAAAGACGACTCATACTCCATTTCCTAACTTTGCCACATTGCCTGAGACAATGCCACTTTTTGCTTATTAGTTCTTTGGCTTATTATCTATTAGCAGCTTAGTCTTTCCACCCCGCCACGCCCCCAACTGGAAGTCATAAATTGCTTTCCTTGCCTTGAACTATGACGACCTTATCACACACTTCATAAAAGATATAGGAACAGAGGTACCATAACTATTTCCTTCCCATTCTCATAGATGTAACCAGTCTTCTGATACAATGAATGTTTAAGATCTGACCACTAGTAATAGAAAATTGTACAGATCTCAATAACTGTGAGAAAATCACATAGAAAATCTTTATCAGGTGGCTAAAAAATATACCTACCTTCTATTTCTTGCCCAATAGAAAGCCCAGCCCATTTTCTCTGTAAAGGAGAAAAAAAGATACTTAAAACCAAAGCCATCAAAATTAGACAAGAGAAAAAGAGGAATTTTAATGAATTTTAGGAATACACTCAAAGATCAAAACATGGTATGCTATTATGGTTGAACTGTGCTCTCCCCCTCCAAAGTATGTTGAAGTCTTAGCCCCCAACACCTGTGGATGTGACTTTATTTAGAAATACAATCTCTGCAAATGTATCAAGTTAACATGAGGTCATAATGAATTAGGGTGAACCCTAAGCCGATATGACTGGTGTCCTTCTAAGAAAGAGACATAGACACACAGACAGAATGCCATCATGTGATAGCAGAGGCAGAAATTGAAATGATGCAGCTACAGCCAAGGAACACCAAAGGATTGCCGGCAACACCAGAAGCTAAGCACAGAACAGGTTCTTCCCTAGAGCCTTCAGAGAGGGAATAGCTCTACTGACAGCTTGATTTCAGACTTCCGGCCTCCACAACGGTGACAGAATAAATCTCTGTTGTTTTAAGCTACCCAGTAATGGTTCTTTGTTACTTACCCTAGGAAAGTAAAGCATGTGCTACAGTTTACATCTGAACATCTGTTTCAAAACGTGCAAAGCTTGCCTTTTGCAGTAAAGCTGGCACCACTGAGGAGGATGTTCCTTTGCACAATATGATGCTACAGAAGGTCTTCACTGTATCAGATCACACTTCAGTGTTCTAAATGTACTGCTGCAGTTAGTTTTACTGTTTGTTACAGTATCTCAAAAAGGAAGACATTCAATTCATGAAGACTAAATTAAAACTGGTCAGAAAATCTATTTTGAAACCCAGTCAGGGACTGAAATCATTAGATGGTCATGGCTACTCTTTGTATACTAGCCAGAAGATTTTTAGACATTTACAGCTAGATTTCAGGCTTTCCCAAATCCCTACTGTTTACAATGGCAAGAAGTATGAAGGCAGGCCAGATTGTGTTTAGGCAGGAATCTGGGGTTTGCTTGGTATAGATTCAAAATTAGTAATTACTGATAACACTCCAAAGAACAATGAGAAAAACAATTTTTGGTTGAAAATCAGTAGTTCACCTGCCCATCCAAACACTGCAGACTTTGTGGCGGGTAATTTAGAAGACACTGAACTGTGAATATGTGCAACAAGTGCTCTCCCTTGTGGCTTTCTTACCACATCCTGTTTCCCTCCACTCTGCCCTTCACCTCCCCCAGAAGACCTCTTCTGTAAAACCCCATCCCACTTCTGGCCAACCTGAAATTTAGCACCATGCTCGTTAAGCTTAGACTTTAAGTCACAAGGAAGCCACATTTAGGTTCTGTACTTCAATCCCAAAGACAGCTGATATGGTTTGGCTTTGCCCCCACCCAAATCTCATCTTAAATTGTAGTTTCCATAATCCCTATGTGTTATGGGAGAGACCCAGTGGGAGGTAACTGAATCATGGGTGTGGGTTTTCCCATGCTGTTTTCATGATAGTGAGTAAGTCTCAGAAGATCTGATGGTTTTATAAAGGGCAGTTCCCCTGCACACGCTCTCTTGTCTGCCGCCATGTAAGACATGACTTTGCTCCTCCTTCGCCTTCCACCATGATTGTGAGGCCTCTGCAGCCATGTGGAACTGTGAGTCCATGAAATCTCATTTTTCCTTATAAATTATCCAGTCTCCAGAATTTCTTCATAGCAGTATGAAAATGGACTAATACAACAGTCCTTAGGGATAACAACAGTAGCTATTGTATAAGGTTGTTTGGAGAATTAAATGAGCTAACACATGCCAAAGTACCTAGAATAGAGGCTGGCCTACAGTGAATGTCGGGGAAATTTTTTTTTTTTTTTTTACAAAACAGAGACAAGGAGAAACTGTCACACCTCAAGCTATTGCTAACAATCAGAATCCCAAATGGAACTCTGTAAAAGCTGGAGAACCCTGGAATATCCCAAACTTTTAATCTATAGAAACAAACGTGAAAGTGGTCTGGATAATGAAGAGGCATCAAACAGACAGGTGGAATAGTAAGTGAAAATTTCCTGTAATTTTTGAGGGCTTCAAGAGATCTTCAATAGTTCCTTTTTTTTCCCTTTTTTTTAAGAGACAGAATCTCACTCTGGAGCAAAGGCTGGAGCATGGTGGCACAATCATAGCTCACTACAGCCTCGACTTCCTAGGCTCAAGTGATCCTCCCAACCTCAGCCTCCCAGGTAGCCTGGACTACAGGCATGTGCCACCATGCCCAGCTAATTAAAAAAAATTTTTTTTTTGTAGAGACTAGTGCGGGGGACAAGGGTCTCGCTATGCTGATCTGGAATTCTTGGTCTCAAGCGATCCTCCTCCACCTCCCAAAGCACTAGGATTACAAGCGTGAGATACCTGGCCCATCTAATAGTTTTTGTTTTTGTTTTTTAGTTTTTTAAACAGGGTCTCACTTTGTCACCTAGGCTAGAGTACAGTGGCACTATCTCGCCTCACTGCAGCCTCAACTTCCCGGGCTCAAGTGATCCTCCTGCCTCAGCCCCTCAAGAAGTTAGGACTACAGGCATGCACCACCACACTCAGCTAATTTTTATATTTTTAGTAGAGGTGGGGTTTCGCCACGTTGCCCACTGGTCTTGAACTCCTGGACTCAAGTGATCCACCAGCTTTGGCCTCCCAAAGTGCTGGGATTACCAGCATGAGTCATTGCACCCAGCCTAATAGTTCTTAAATGAGTGTTTGAGCTCTTTCTCTAAACCTTCAGGGAAGTCAACCAATGCTCATTAGCATACTAGGAGGAGGTAGGAATTCCATTTACATTACTTAGGACTGGGGACAGTCAGCAGCCTGAGTAAAATGATAAGGGAGAAGAGGATACAGACTAGTATTCTTGGTGCTTTATATTATGTATGATGTGCCTGGGACAGCACTAAGCAATCTAATTCTCTGGATTCCACAGAATCCATCAACAGTTGTAACTGTAATCACAACCCATCCAGTTGTTATGGGAGCCTAGCAAATTATGTTGTAATTTGAGACTCTTTCCAAATTCTTTAGTATAACGCCATCACATTATAAAATCACCATTCTTAGATATCAACTTCACAAATAAAATGTTTTCTACTTTTCTATTACCCTGGCAGTTAACATTAAAATAACTTGACGCTTTATGTGATAGCTGACTGATTTTACTGCAAAATCTTTAAAAATTAGGGAAAAAAAATCAAGCCAAAAGAAGGCAGCCATAGCAAAAACTGGCAATTAAGAATCTGTCTTTAGGTTGGGCATGATGATTCACACCCTATAATCCCAGCACTTTGAGAGGCCAAGGTGGGAGGATTACTTGAGCCCAAGAGTTAAAGACCAGCTTGGGCAACACAGTTAAGACACCATCTCTACAAAAAATTTTAAAATTAGTCAGGCACAGTGGTACAAGACTGTAGTCTCAGCTACTCGGGAGACTGAGGTATGAGAATTGCTTGAGACCAGGAGCCATGATCGTGCCACTGCACTCCAGCCTGGGTCTCAGAACGAGACCCTGTCTTAAAAAAAAAAAAGAAAAAAAAAAAAAGAAGACTGTATCTTTAAATTCCTTATATAATACTTAGATATTTTTCTTCAATATGAATCAATACAGTCACAGGGTGATGCTTGCTTAAAATGAACAGATTATTCATATTCTATGACTTTCAAAAACAGAAGAGAACAAATTAACATCTGAGTTACCTGAGGTAAACTGAATGCAATGCTCCCTGGAACCACCGATGGATGTGTCTTCAGTGTAAATGTGTACCTGTGATTGGGAGAGGTCCTCACAATCACATGCCTAAAGGACAGAAACACAGTTAGTACTCCACATTGAAGGAAATGAAGAACATAATTTCAAAATGTATTTCTTGTCAAACTGATATTTAATGAGTATCAGGTGGAAACGACACTATCTGTGTCTTGAAGAAATAGAACCACAAATTTAGTTTCCCAAACTATCAGCAATCCCAAATGTTTTCCAGATATAAGGAGCACCTTGGGTCAAACACTCATCAAGTAGAATCCAGCCAAAATACCATCCAAAATACCAACTTCCTTACATTTCCAGTTTACATAAAACTGAAGCCAGTGATTTAGAGTCCTTGATATCAAGTAAAAACTAGATGCATTTCCTCTCCTGAGAATTACTTCACATCCTAATAAGGAGAAGAGAGCCAAAGATAAAAGAGCTAGGATATAGCAATCAAAAAAAAGTTAGTTTTTAGACTACTCATTAAATTTATTTGCAGACTCTCTCAACAGGCTAAAACAAAAACAACCTACAAAATAAAAAAAAAAAAGATTTAAAAAATTCCTAAAATACATCAGCTTTCATGTAGATATCAATATTTACTGTTTTAAAAAATTTTGTGCTAATTCCCTGTTCAGAAATTACCTGTAAATAAAAAAAAAAACAGTCCTCTCATGATAATCTCCTATACCAGGTAACTAAAAAGTACTATGTGTAAGATAGAAGCTTCAAATCCTGTTATGCAGCAGCAGTATCTTTTTTTTTTTTTTTTTTTTTTTTTTTTAATACATGTGGTCTTGCTATGTTGACCAGGCTGGCCTCAAACTCCTGGGCTCAAGAGATTCTCCTGCTTCAGTCTCTAAAGTAGTTGGGACTACAGGCATGCCCTAACATGCCTAGCTCACTATCTTTTTAAACATTATCTTTTCAGAATGCTGTAATTTTTCACATCAATGGCTAATGTTTCTATACGTATTTTTTTTGCTACTAGAACACATGTTCCTTATATCAACTACATTTTGAGTAACCCCACCATGAGTACAGTGAACATTTAACATATGTAAAAGAATTCCACAAATTCTCACGTTGATTATCTATACTTCAGTTTATCTGTTGAAAATCCTGTGCTCAATTTAGCATCACAGAATGTTTAGCACTGGAAACAATGTTAATATCACCATATAGTACAGCCTCTTACTCTGAAGCTGGAAACCAAAGATGATTAGCATTTCTAACTCTGTGAAACTCAGGTATTTCACAGATAACATTTTAAGAAAAATGCTCAGTTAAAACCCTACCACCTTGCCTCTTATTTCCCTACAGCCCCTTCATCTCCTTATCTGTACCAATCTCAGAAGCATATGGATGGCACTGAACTTGCAGCAGGGTCTTTAGAAGTCCTGGCAGTGCGGTGATATGGATCAGTTAAAATAAATTACAGTGCAAAATGCCTTTAAGGATTCTACATTTGCTTTGCAGCTTCCAATTTTCTTTTTCCTTTACTTTTTTTTGAGACAGAGTCTCGCTGTGTCACCCAGGATGGAGTGCAGTGGCGCGATCTCGGCTCACTACAGTCTCTGCCTCCTGGGTTCAAGTGATTCTCATGCCTCAGTCTCCTGAGAAACTGGGACTACAGGCGCACACCACCATGCCTGGCTAATTTTTATTTTTAGTAGAGATGGGGTTTCACCATGTTGGCCAGGTTGGTCCCAAATTCCTGAGCTTAGGCAATCAGCCTGCCTTGGCATCCCAAAGTACTAGGATTACAGGCGTCAGCCTCCATACCCAGCCCATCTTCCAATGTTCATGTCTCTTGGATTATCATGGTAATAATAATCATAACAGCTAATATTTACTAAGGGATTGTTAACATGTTGGGAACTGTTCTAAGTGCTTTATTTATGTAACTCAATCTTCATAGCTACCTTGAGGAAGAGATCATCTCCATTTTACAGATCAGGACATAGAGGTACAGAAATGGTCACACAGTTTGTAATTGGTAGAGCCAGGAAAACTCAAACAATCTGAGTTTGCCAGAACCAAACACCTAACAACTCTGCCATATATGATTCATACAACCAGTATGTTTAGCTCTACTAAGAAAACTGATGAAAACTAGAGTTTTATACATAAAACATTTTTAAAACATTATACAGTATTTATCAAAGTTTGACACAGTAATGATTCAAATACATAACTTTTTCTCATCTTCTCCATTTTCCAACTCAGCAAGAATTTTTTAAAAATATTTTCCAACGTTTCCTAAAAATGACTCTCTGGAAGTTTCCCGAATGCCACTTAGCAGGTTAAAAGAAAACAAAGTCAGATACTCACTGGCCAGACTGGAAATCCTTTTCATTCACAACTGCACAATTGGTTAAAGATAATTCATCTGTAGGACATCTTGCCGCTTGCATGCTCTGTAAGAATCAATGATTAGGAAAATCAAATTAAGTCATGTTCTATTCCCTTAAAGAATATTTTATGCCTTTCTGTCCTCTCTTCATCACTCATTGCTATAATGAACATCTATTATTTTTGACTCCCAGCATCCCTTCCTCTGCATTAAGAGCAAACCCTTCCTTTGGGAAACTGTTCCTTTCCCATTCCATGTGGTTTAGTGAGACTGCCAGTCAGCACACATGCAACCACATCTACTCTATCCCACCCACAGGATTTTATATATGCTGGCGCTAGACCAAAGGCATTCTTCTGCAAGCCAGAGCACCACAAGGAGGAAGATTTTCCACTCTAAAAGGGTAAAACTATCACAGAGACACAGACAAGCTAATAGATAACCTGGAAACACAGATCTGGCAACCAAGTTCTTGAGACCAGTCCTGAACATTAGTTACGAGCCAACAAATTTTTTTTGCTCAAGCTTTTTTGAATTAGCTTTCCATATCTTCCAAAGAATCTTGACTAATAAAAATGCACTGAAGTAAATTCAATAAATTTGGTAAACTTATGTATCAAATTTTATGTATATTATCAAAAGTATATTATGAAATGTTATGCATATTATAAAGAGTATACTATGAAAAAGTATCTTTTTATAAGAGATCCCAGGTGGCTACGAACTGTATCTCCTATAGATTGAGAAAAACCATCTTCCAAATATCTTTCAACAAAAATAATTACAGACTATATTTAAAAAAAAAAAAACAGCCTTTTTGGTCAATAGCAACTAGCAAAATGTTCCTTTATATAATATATTTAACCAATAACCCTTCCATGATTCCCTAGGGTTTCCTAGTGAGCTATGACAGGTAGTCATAGTCTATGACTGAAGGGTTCATTCTTCAAACCTCAAGCCAAAGCTGATTTTTTTTTTTTTTTTTTTTTGAGATGGAGTCTCACTCTGTCACCCAGGCTGGAGTGCAGTGGCGTGATCTCGGCTCACTGCAAGCTCCGCCTCCCGGGTTCATGTCATTCTCCTGCCTCAGCCTCCTGAGTAGCTGGGACTACAGGTGCCCGCCACCATACCCAGCTAATTTTTTGTATTTTTAGTAGAGTCAGGGTTTCACCGTGTTAGCCAGGATGGTCTTGATCTCCTGACCTCACGATCCGCCCACCTTGGCCTCCCAAAGTGCTGGGATTACAGGCATGAACCACTGCACCTGGCCAGGACGATTATTCTTAAATGTGTCTCCCAAATATAAATTTATAGAGGAAAGTGAATTATTTTTGGCTTTGCTTTTATTTTAACTAAAAGGCCAGTTTCAATATCATTATCCCTGTTGTTTAGGGCATTAGTCTCCAAAGTGGGATATGTGTACTTGAAGGGTGTTTGTATTATACGATAATCCTTTGGGGTATAAAAATAAAATATTAGTACTGGTATTTATATTGACTTTACACAATTTCTTATTTATGTGTTGTTTTGTTTTTTGACACAGTCTCTCTCTGTTGCCCAGGCTGGAGTGCAATGGTGGATCTCAGCTCACTGCAATCTCTGCCTCCCTGGTTCAAGCGATTCTCATGCCTCAGCATCCCAAGTAGCTGGGTTACAGGCATGCTCCAGCTAATTTTTGAATTTTTGGTAGAGTCGGGGGTTTCATCACGTTGCCCAGGCTGGTCTCGAACTCCTGAGCTCCGGCAATCCGCCCGCCTCGGCCTCCCAAAGTGCTAGGATTACAGGCGTGAGCCACTGCGTCCAGCCACACCATTTATTTATTTATTTATTTATTTATTTTAATTTGTTTGAGACAGAGTCTCACTCTGTCACCCAGGCTGGACTGCCCTGGTGCGATATCGGCTTACTGCAAGCTCCGCCTCCCGGGTTCACGCCATTCTCCTGCCTCAGCCTCCCAAGTAGCTGGGACTACAGGTACCCACCACCACGCCCGGCTAATTTTTTTGTATTTTCATCAGAGACAGGGTTTCACCGTGTTAGCCAGGATGGTCTCGATCTCCTGACCTTGTGATCCACCCACCTCGGTCTCCCAAAGTGCTGAGATTACAGGTGTGAGCCACTGCACCCAGCCCATTTTTTATTAAAGATGAACCTCACTCTACATGTCTACTCTACCTTAAGATATAATCTGATGGCACGAACAAAGTCCTCATAATCCACCAGGCTTTTAAGTGTTCACTGCAAGAGTTAAACGTCTATAATTTTTCCACCTATGTCTAAAGTCACAGGCTATTTAATGTGACACTTCACAAAATTGTACGAAAGTTAGTGTCGAAACTGCTAAGGTTTCCCTAAAAAAAGCCAAGGACCATAGCTGAAATTATACACAGAAATAAAAGTGGTGACAAACTAAATGTATTCTTTTATTGGTAAGTATAGTCAAAAGCTCTTAGAAAACCCTAAAGACTTGAAGATATCAGGACAAATACAGTGTGTGGGGTTTGCTATACAATTGGATAAAAATACAGATGATTCTTTCATCTTAGGGTATTTGCTGGGTAATTATGAAATATACAGGAAATACAACTTTGTAAGATACCAAGGAACAATGTATTAAAAGGGAGGTATTCTTAACTGTAAATGAAACAAGGTGCTTTATGGGAAAACTGTAACCACTGATGAAATGACTGCTTTGACTGGAATTTTAAAAAAGAATTCTGGCCAGCTGCGGTGGCTCACACCTGTAATCCCAGCACTTTGGGAGGCCGAGGTGGGTGGATCATGAGGTCAGGAGATCGAGACCATGCTGGCTAACACGGTGAAGCCCCGTCTCTACTAAAAAATAACAAAAAATTAGCCAGGCGTTGTGGCGGGCACCTGTAGTCCCAGCTACTCGGGAGGCTGAGGCAGGAGAAAGGCGTGAGCCTGGGAGGCGGAGCTTGCAGTGAGCTGAGATCGTGTCACTGTACTCCAGTCTGGGCAACAGAGCGAGACCCTATCTCAAAAAAAAAAAAAATTCCAGAACAAAGTTACAGTGATAGCATCTGATACAAAAGCCTTTAACGGCTTCATTCACAGGTAAACTATTGCTGCAATTAAGTCAGAACAAGGTACCTCAGATGTCACTGAGGTTAACTGTATGAATATAGAATCTTCCTATACTCTGGGAGATAGAGAGTAGCCACTGAATTTTTTTTTTTTTTTTTTTTTGAGAGATAGTCTTGCTCTGTCGCCCAGAATTGAATGCAGTGGCGCATTCTCAGCTCAGAGTAGCTGGGACTACAGTTGTGTACCACCACTTCTGACTAATTTTTGTATTTTTAGTAGAGATGGGGTTTCACCATGTTGGCCAGGCTGGTCTCAAACTCCTGGCCTCAAGTGATCCACCTGCCTTGGCCTCATAATCTTTTTTTTGTTTTTAAATCCACACAGATTCACTAGTTACCACAAGAAATGTATTTAAAAGATTTGTTAAATGTAGATGAGTTACACAATTTTTTAAAAATAAAAAGACTAGAGTTCCAAACTTGCTAAATATTTCTGAGGAGGTTATAAGTAGTATGCTACCAAGAAGATATTAAAAAAACAAAAAAACTCACTCTGCCCCTACAAAATAAAAATGTTTAGCAACATGTCAGAATTATTTTCAGCTTTTCCAGAAAAAAGAAAAAGAGAAAAAAATCGGCCGGGTGCAGTGGCTCACGCCTGTAATCCCAGCACTCTGGGAGAATGAGGCAGGCGGATCACCTAAGGTCAGGAGTTTGAGACTAGCCTGGCCAACATGGTGAAACCCCATCTCTACTTAAAATACAAAAATTAGCCGGGCGTGGTGGTGGGCACCTGTAATCCCAGCTACTCGGGAGGCTGAGGCAGGAGAATCGCTTGAACCCAGTAGGCGGAGGTTACAGTGAGCCAAGATGGCACCATTGTACTCCAGCCTTGGGGACAAGAGAGAGGCTTCATCTTTAAAAAAAAAAAAAAAAAAAAAAAAAGAGAGCGAGAGAAAAAAAAATCTTTCCTAATAGAGCATTTCAAAATTGGATAATTGGAAACATTTCCATTGCTAAGTTATTCTGCTGTTGAAACAATATATACAAAATCTAAAAAATAAAGACACCAAAAACTCGTATCTTCATGCTTTATAAAGTCAGAAACAGAATATTCTAAAACTTTTTAAAATATCTTCCAAATGAAGACTTAACAGTGATTTTTGGAACCCATTTATTAACACAATAAAAGTATAATATATTTTTATTAATCTGCAAGAAAAACTAATAGATGGATATTTACCAGCCACATTTCAATAAAGCATTTCCATAAATAGTGAATAAGTTTGGAGAAAGAAAGAATATGATTTAGAAAGTGCAGCCAAATTCTTCCATTTTGATCCAGGCTTTGACTGCCATTAAAGTATCAAAATAAACTGAATTTAGAAACAGCCCTCTGAGCAGCTGTATCACATAATATTAAACGAAGATTTTAAATAATGATGTACCACTTTACTTTCTGGGTTTTTTTTTTTTTTTTTTTTTAGATGGAGTCTTGCTCTGTCGCCCAGGATGGAGTACAGTGGCATGATCTCGGCTCATTGTAACCTCCGCCTCCCGGGTTCAAGCAATTCTCCTGCCTTACCCTCCCGAGTAGCTGGGATTACGGGCGTGTGCCACCATGCCCAGCTAATTTTTGTATTTTTTAGTAGAGATGGGATTTCGCTATATTGGTCAGGCTTGTCTCAAACTCCTGACCTCAAGTGATCTGCCTCCCTCAGCCTCCCAAAGTGCTGGGATTACAGGCGTGAGCCACTGCACCCAGCCTACTTTCCGTATTTTCAGTAAAATTAACACTGTGAGAATATTGTACATGCCATCTTTAGCTCATCCTTTTAATTTTTTTTGTTTTCTATACATGTTCTACTGCGTATATAACTTTTAGTACTACATATCATCTATAAACAAATATTGGCATATAATCAATATATGAGGATACATAATCAAAACATTTTTTACTTATGAGATTCATGATCAAATGTTTGGAAATCACTAATTTAGCACAAGATGAATAAAGTCTAGGTCACAAGTCTCCTTTGTGAATGAGACAGCATTTATGTGTTCAACAAATGCTGACAGCATTTTGCCCAGTCACAGCTTGATCAGCCATATGACAGAAATGTACTGAACTTTTTCAGTTTCCCACTTTCCCAGGGTCATTTTCACCTGCAAGCTTCTTTCTTTTATATAATCTCCGCCACTAACCCCTGTTCCATCCCTGGACAACTCCCACTCATTCTACAATTCTCCACTTAGACACTACTTTTTCTGGAAGGCATTCCTAGACACCTACCCCTCCCCACTAAACTGATGAAATAAACTTCAAATGGAAGCACTCAACTATAATTTTATTCTGTCTACATGTTTGCACTGCATATAAGACACTAAACTTCTCAAAGACTGAGACTATATCTTGCTCACATATGTAGTTCCCAGTGTTAGTACAGGGCCTAGTACACAGTGAATACTCATTAAATGTTTGTTGAACACAAAAATTTATAGATCAATAAAAATCTGTCTCAACTGCAGAATAAACAATCCAAAGAACATGTAACAAAGGACTGATCGTCTCAAGGTTATTTAGGAAGTGATAAAATTGAGCTAAAATGATCTGATAGTTCAAAATATACAGAACGATATAGCTAAAGTAATAAAATAAATTTACAAAATGCTGTTAACTCTTTCATTTATAAACTTGTTTATTTGTCAAGTGTCCTTCAAAAGGAGTGAAAAAATCCACAGAAGTCATCTGGCTGGCCAACCAAAACAGATGCTGTGAACAAAAGGCCTCCCTACTGGAATCCAGAAACATCTGTGTTTTTATGGTAAGCCAAGCATGGTATCTCATTTTTTCAACGAAGTATAAGTCTCTATAAATAGTAGCTGTCTACTCACCACAGCAATGCCAAGGGAAAATTCCACAATTTTTCTAACATTGACCTTGCCCCTAGGAAACAATAATGAAAGCCAACCACTACAGTCATGCAGTTATTAAGAAATGAAAGTACAGGCTAGGTGCGGTGGCTCACGCCTATAATCTCAGCACTTTGGGAGGCCAAGGTGGGAGGACTGCCTGAGCTCAGGAGTTCAAGACCAGCATGGGCAACATGGTGAAACCCCATCTCTACTAAAATACAAAAAATTAGCCGGGTGTGGCGGTGTGTGCCTGTAGTCCCAGCTACTCGGGAGGCTAAGGCAGAATTGCTTGAACCCAGGAGGCGGAGGTTGCAGTGAGCT
This sequence comes from Homo sapiens, assembly GCF_000001405.40. Classification (NCBI taxonomy): domain Eukaryota; kingdom Metazoa; phylum Chordata; class Mammalia; order Primates; family Hominidae; genus Homo; species Homo sapiens. Next base: position 1,604,055 of record NT_167251.2, on the reverse strand, counting down.
GAGATTGTAGATGACCAGCTGGAACAGCCACCCTTGTTGGACACTGTTTGATTCAGCTTTTTATTAATATGCAGTTCTGAGATGGCATCCTTATGCACACGCCCACATATTTCCTTAGGTCAGGTCTATAGATGTGGAAGCCAGGTCCCACGCGTTGGGTATGGCTGTCACCCTGAAGATACCGCAGATCGCCAACATCACATTCCCCAGTCCCCATCTAGTGGCCTCCAGTGGCCCATCTACTGGGCCAGCAGGGGCCAGGAAAGGAGAAGAGGGAGACCAGTGGGGCTGAAGGCACTGGTGCGTCTGTGCAAGAGGAGGAAGCCCTGTGAGAGGGCAGCAGCCTCCGGACTGGTACAAGCGATTCTCCTGCCTCAGCCTTCCGAGTAGCTGGGATTACAGCAAAAAATAAAATTATTTGCTTATCTTCATCAAAGAAACTGGGGTGATTTAATCAGGACTCTTCTGGACAACACTGCACAGTTTTGGAATTTAAATCACATACTTTCATCCAAACATCCACTTTAAAAACTGGATTAAAGTACGCTTTACTATTTACTAAATAATTTAATAGGGCAAAATAAACAGAAAGAAAAATAGTGTGGCATCTGACCAAAAGAGCTCATTACCAAACAGCTTCCCCTACCTGAACTGTCACCCTTATGAATCCACTGGTTCTTCTTCTGTGGTGCTCTAGGCTTTGGTTTCATTTCTCCCACAGGAAAGGGAAGGACTGAAAACACAAACCTGCCCCAGGGCCAGCTCAGCTAACAGGTCTCACTCAACTACTTCTTGCTAGAGGATCTTTCCTGAAAAATAACATTTCAGAACTACACTGTTCGGTAATCACTAGACATATTTCACTATTCAAATTAATTTAAAGTTAAATTCAATTCTTCAGTTGAACTAGCCCTACGTTTCAAAAGCCACCTGTGGCTAGTGGTTATCACTGCAGAAAGTTTCATCGGATAGCACCAGCCTAGAATAATGTAAGAAAGGCCATCAGTACTAATCTTCAGGCCTATGGAATCCCTCTGTGCTACATATTCCTATAATAATAATTTCTGTTAAAATTCTGAAGTCACATGTGACTAGAAGTGATGGGGTAGATGTCCTATAGTTATCTCTTGAAAAGCCTTTAGGGATATCCTTGACATTATCTATCTCAAACTAATAACTGTTCACATAGATGAACCTCCTGCCTGGCATCCCTTAGAACTTTAAAATTCCTTTACAAGTTTATAATGAAAAGAAAAACAATTCCCATTTTGGTCTTTTGGGGGGAAAAGCATGCACAGAAAAATATAAAAGGCTGACAACTTTCAATATCGGCAAAGATGCAATGCAGTTTCTACAAAGTTAATGTGACCCAACAAGTGCACCCCTAGGTTTTTAGTCAAAAGAAATGAAAATATATCCACACAAAGACTCGCACACAAATGATCACAACAGCTGTACTCATAATAGCCTAAAAATGGAAACAACACGAATGTCTACCAAAAGATGAATGAATGAAGAAATTATAGGAGAGCCATACAATTGACTACTACTCAGAAATTAAAAAGAAACTAGTCCAGGTGCAGTGGCTCATGCCTGTAATCCCAACACTTTGGGAGGCCGAGGCAGGGGGATCGCCTGAGCCCAGGAGTTCCAGACCAGCCTGGGCAACATGGTGAAACCCTGTCTCTACAAAAGATACAGAAATTAGCCAGGCGTGGTGGTACATGCCGGTAGTCCCAACTACTTGGGAGGCTGAGGTGGGAGGACTGCTTGAGCCCAGGAGTATGAGGCTGCAGTGAGCTATGATCACACCACTGCACCCCAGCCTGGGCAACAAAGCAAGACCCTGTCTCTACAAAAAAATAAAAACTAAACTTAAAAAAAAGATACACACTAAACTGTTAACAGTGGTTACCACCAAGGAGAAAGACAAGAAAATGTCTTTACAATTCTGAACTCTTTACAATTCTGTAAAACTCTTTACAATTCTGAACTGCTGGAACTGTTTTTACAATAAATAAACTTTGTCTCACAAAAATCATTTTAAATATAGAAAACTTTTATGTGTAATTTTTTCCCTACAGCATTATTTTAACAGTGATGAATTAGGAGTAACCTAAAGGTCTTGTTTCAAAGTAATGGTTCTGTAAACTACAACGTACCCGCACTTGATTATATATATCATATCATATAAGGATCAAAATCCTCATAACACACTAAGGTAGGGTTCATATCACAGAATTGTATACAGAACTTTTACTTTACAGCATTTTTTTTTTTTTTGTGAGGCAAGGTCTGGCTTTATCACCCAGGCTGGAGTGCAGTGGCGCCATCTCAGCACACTGCAACCTTTGCTTCCCTGGCTCAAGCCATCTTCCCACCTCAGTCTCCCAAGTAGCTGAGGCTACAGGCAAGCACCACCACACCAGGCTAATTTTTGTATTTTTTGTAGAGATGGGGTTTCATCAGATTGGCCAGGCTGGTCTCGAACTCCTGACCTCAAGTGATCTGCCTGCTTCAGACTACAAGTGTGAGCCACCACGCTCAGCCTTAAAGCATTATTTTTAAAAAAGTATGGCAAACCAACTAAATGGAAACACACCAAAATGTGAAAAACAACTGACTGGATAACGAAACTATGGGTGATTTCCAGCTTTCCACACTGATTTTAAACCTCATATATGAAGTTTTCAGGTGTATCTGGTTCTATTTCTGGGTTGGTTGTTCTACTTCATTAACTATTTGTCTGCTTTCTATACTAATACCACATTGTTTTAATTACCATATATGGCATATTTTGATGTCTAGTTTTGTCAGATTCGTATCAAAAAATTAATATTCTTAACTTCACAGAAGCATCTCAGGACATGCATCTCAAATGTTTAAAGAGGCAGAAGGCTCCCTACCGTCGTTTTTTTTTGTTTTTTGTTTTCTCTTTTTTGAGATGGAGTCTCACTCTGTCACCCATGCTGGAGTTAGTGCAGTGGCTCGATCTTGGCTCACTGCAACCTCCACCTCCCAGGTTCAAACAATTCTCCTGCCTCAGCCTCCCAAATAGCTGGGATTACAGGCAACCACCACCACACCCGGCTAATTTTTGTATTTTTTGTAGAGACAGGTTTCACCATGTTGGCCAGGCTGATCTCGAATTCCTGACCTCAAGTGATCCACCCACCTCAGCCTCCCAAAGTGCTGGGATTACAGGCATGAGCCACTGCACCCGGCTATCCCATCACTTAATCCCACCCTGCCAATCTTTGCTCTCTTGAATCTTGGCACACTGCCAGTAAGCCTCTCATGGGTCACTTAAAAAGCAAAAATCCCATAATTCTACTTTATTTTAATTCTACTCTGTAGTTCTTTTAACTCATTTCAAACTAGCACCCTTTTCTCTCTTCTCTTTATTACCAAATCTCTCAAGTCTCCCTTCCTTGCCTTCCATGTTCTCATCCTATGGCTATCTTCTTCAACCATTCTTTGAAATCCTTTCCAGCAGCCACTTTACTGTAACTGCTGTCTTCAAAATCACCAATGACTAAATGCCAAATTCAGTGGTACCTCCTTCTCCTCAGTATTCACTTTTTCATTTGTTTGTCTTGCTATGTTCCTCATCTGTTAATACCATCATTATCCTTTCAAGTCATTAAATTCAAGATTTCAGGGTCATTCTTCCCTTCACTGCCTATCCCTGGAATGCACACATAAACAGTCAAGAGTCTACTAAGTCTACTGCACTGTCACTTGGATGTGCCTCCCTTCCAGCCTCACAACCATAACCTAGTTCAGCCATATCACCTCTCCTAAAAAACTACAATGGTAATAATTGTTGTCCCTGGTTCTAGCTTTTGTTCTCCTCCAATTCAGCCTTCCCTCTGCCACCAGACATGACCTGAAACCAAAAATATGATTCATAAGTAATAAAGCCCAAACTCCTTAGCATGCTACTCACAGCCACCTATGCAAGATCTATCTTTAACTTATTTTTCTGCGTCATCTACCTCAATACCCCACCCCAACCCCATGTACCCCACATTCCAAACTCCATTCCTTCACTCACACTATTCCTTTTGACTGAATTCCCTATTTCAAACCCCTTCCACCTGTGAAAATCTTTCCCACCTTGCAAAGCCAAGTTTGTGAAACTCCCTGGTTCCTAGTAAGATAGAATATCTCCTTTATTTGTGCTTCTTCAGCAGTCTTAGTACTACTTATTACAAGCTGCCTTACACTAGACTTATTTAAGTACCATGCCTTCCTCACAAGATTCTAAGCTCTGATTCTCCTGCACCACTCAGGGAATATACAGTATGATAAATATTAATTGAGTTCTCATTGCCGTTTTTGAGATTTTTTTTTTTTTTTTTTAAAGACAGAGTCTCGTTCTGTCGCCCAGGCTGGAGTGCAGTGGCATGATCTCGGCTTGCTTTAACCTCTGCCTCCCGGGTTCAAGCAATTCTCCTGCCTCAGCCTCCTGAGTAGTTGGGACTACAGGCATGTGCCACCATGCCTGGCTAATTTTTTGTATTTTTAGTAGAGACGGGGTTTCACCATGTTAGCCAGGATGGTCTCCATCTCCTGACCTCGTGATCCGCCCACCTCTGCCTCCCAAAATGCTGGGATTACAGGTGTGAACCACCACGCCCAGCTGATATATTTCATATAAAATTAATCATTTAAAATGTATACTTGGGTGGTTTTTGTTTTTTGGAGGGTTTTGTTTTGAGAGACAGGGTCATGCTCTATCACTCAGGCTGGATCACAGTGGCACAATCACAGCTCACTGTAACCTCAAATTCACAGGCTCAAGTGATCTTCCCACCTCAGCCTCCAAAGTAGCTGGGACTACAGGCACACACCACCATACCCAGGTAATTAAAACAATTTTTTTTTTTTTTTTGTAGAAACAAGGTCTTGCTGTGTTGCCCAGGCTGGTCTTGACCTCTTGGCCTCAAGCAATCTTCCCGCCTCAGTCTCCCAAAGTGTTGCGGTTATAGGCATGAGCCACTGCACCCAGCCTTTGAGTGGTTTTTAGTATATTTACTATGTTGTACAACCATAATCACTATCTAATTCCAGAACAGTCCCATCACCCCAAAAAGAAACTCTGTCCCTACTAGCCGTTAATCTCAATTCATCCCTTCTCTCACTCCTTCTCAACCACTAATCTACTTTCTGTCTCTATGAATTTGCTTATTGTGGACATTTCACGTAAGCAGAATCATACAATTCGTCATCTTGGTGACTGGATTTTCACCTAGCATAATGTTTCCAAGGTTCATGTTGTGGCACGTAATAGTATTTCATTCTTTTTATTTATTTATTTTGTAGAGACTGGGTCTATGTTGCCCAGGCCAATCTTGAACTCCTGGCCTTAAGCAATCCTCCCATCGTGGCCTCCTAAAGCAATGGGATTACAGTTGTGAGCTACTGCACCTGGCTTCTTCATTCCTTTTTACAGCTGGATAAGATTTCATTGTATGGATATACCACATTGTATTTATCATTTCATCAGCTGATGGACATTTGGGTTGCTTCCACTTTTTGGCAACTATGAATAATGCCACATGTTAATGTATGTACAAGTTAATGTATGAACATATGTTTTCAATTATCTTGGGTCTATACCCAGGAGTAGAATTGCTGAGTTATTCTATGTTTAGTTTTTTAAGGAACTGCAAAACTTTTGTGCAGTAGCTGCATCATTTTACATTCCCATCAGCAATGAGGGCTCCAATTTCTCTACTTCCTTATCAAAACTTGTTACTGTCTTTAAAAAAAAAAAAAAAAAAAAAGTATGACCATCCTAGAGGGTGTAAAGTGTTATCTCTCATTGTGGTTTTGATTTGTAATTCCCTATGGACTATGATGTTGAAGATCTTGTCATGTGCTTATAGGTCATTTGTACATCTTCTTTGGAGAAATGTCTATTCTATTCAAATGCTTTGCCCATTTTTAAATTCCATTGTCTTATCTTTGTTGAGTTGAAAGGGTTCTTTGCATATTCTGGATATAAACAACATATATATAAAATATATATACTTATCAGAGATATAATTTGCAAATATTTTCCCCCATTCTGTGAGTTGTCTTCATTCTACAGTGTCCTTTGATGCATGAAAGTTTTTAACTTTAACAAAGTCCAGTTTATCTACCTTTTTCTTTCACTGCTTGTGTTTTTGTGTTATATCTTTAAAAATCACCATTTAATCCAAGGTCATACAGATTTTCACCTATGTTTCCTTCGAAGAACTTAACAGGTTTAGGTCTTTGATCCATTCTGAGTTAATTTTCATATGTGATGTGAGGCAGGGATCCAAATTTATTTTTTTACATGTAGATATCCAGTTGCCCCAGCAACATTTGTTGAAAAGATTATTCTTTCCCCAGTTAATGATCTTGGCGCCCTGGTCAAAATCAACTGACCATAAATGTATGGGTTTATTTCTGGACTCTAAATTGCATTCCATTGGTTTACAAGACTCTCCTCATGCCAGTGACATGCCATCTGGATTACTGTAGTTTTGTAATAAGTTTTGAAATCAGGAAGTATGAGTCCTACAATTTTGTTCTCTTTTTTTCAAGACTGTTGTGGCAAATATGGCTCTGCAATTCCATATGAATTATAAGATCAGGTTGTCCATTTCCGGGAAAAAGGCAGTTGAACTGTGATAGTGATTGCATTAAACCTGTAGATAAATCTGGGTAGCACTGTCATCTTAACAATATTAAGTCTTCCAAGCCATGAACACAGGACGTCTTTCAATTTATTTAGATCTCTAATTTCCTTCAACATGTTTTCTGTTTTTTAGTGTACTTTTTAGTGTACTTCTTTGGTTAACTTTATTCATAAGTATTTTATTCTTTCTGATGTTATTATAAATGGAATTTTTTCTATTTCATTTTCAGATTATCCATAGCTAGCATATAGGAATGCAACTGATTTTTAGATAATAATCTTGTATCCTGCAACTTTGCTGAACTCATTTATTAGTTCCAATTTTTTTTGGTAAATTCTGTAGGATTTTTCTACATGTAAGATCATGTCATCGGTAAATATAGTTTTATTTCTTTCTGATATAAATGTCTTTTCTTTTTCCTGCTTAACTGCCCCACCTAGAACCACCAATAGAGTGTTGAATAGGAGTGGCAAGAGCATCCTTGTCTTGTTCTGATCTTAAGGGGGAAAGCTTTCAGTCTTCAACCATTAAGTATGATGTTAGCTGTGAGTTTTCCTGTTAGTTGGATTTTGTTTGTTGAACTGAATTTTGACAGTGCCAACTCATAAGGTTGTGCTGAGAATCTAATAAGAAAAGATCTGTGAAGGTGTTTTTAAAACTGTAAAATATCGTTTAATTTCAAGATCGTCTTATTCAGTGACTTGGTACTCTTACTCTAAAAAGTTTCAGAGTAATGTTGTTAAATGAATCAAAATGTTTCTGAAGCTTTTTTAATTCCCAACATCCTGACAAAGCTTTTGCACTTATGTTGTTTTGAAAGGGGAAGAAAAAGGGAAAACTCTTTGGAGAAGGAATCAGAACAAGGATCCAAGGCCTAGAGCCTCTCCCCTGTCCCAACAAGGGAATGCCAGCCCAGTAAGACTCAGAATGTTCAGGAAAGCAGAAAGGAGAAATGCAAAAATGGGCAAGAGGCAGCATGGTATGGAGGAACGAACATGGGATTTAATGGAAAAAGACAGCTGAGATTCCAGTTGTTCAGAAACAACTGAAGAAAACAGTGAGGCTGGGTGCGGTGGCTGAAAACTATAATCTCAACACTTTGGGAGGCCAAGGAGGGAGAATCATTTGAGGCCAGGAGTTCAAGACCAGCCTGGGCAATATAGTGAGACCCAAACTCTACAAAAAGAAAGGAAGAAAGGAAGAGAGAGAGAGAGAAAGAGAGAAAAGAAAGAAAGAAGGAAAGAAAGAAAGGAAAGAAAGAAAGAAAGAAAGAAAGAAAGAAAGAGAGAGAGAGAGAAAGAAAGAAAGAAAGAGAGAAAGAAAGAAAATAAATTAGCCTGGCTTGGTGGCACAAATCAGTAATCCCCGTTATTCAGGGGGCTAAGGTGAGAGGTTTGAGCCCAGGAGGTCAAGGCTACAGTGAGCCCTGATCACGCCACTGCATTCCAGACTGGGTGACAAAGTGATACCCTATCTCAAAAAAAAAAAAAAAAGAAAAAAGAAACAGTGAGACACCCGAGAATATTAGAAGATCTAGTAAACTGCACATCTTCAATGCTGCATGATCTTACGGACTTACATCCGTAAGGCCACACTATACTTATCTAAATTGTTGATACTACTTTTAGTCATTATAACACAGCATGCTAATAATTTATGATGTGTCCTTAATATTGAGAGGTTTCTCATTTAATAAATTCAGCTTACTAATAAATATAAACATAATAGTATTTACATATTTTATTATTTAGAAACAACTGAGTAGAAATCATATTTACAAATAATTGAATCAAAAACTGGCTGTTGGAAAGCAAAAAGAAATTACTAGCCTACTTCTTTTCCATAGAACAAATATTTAATAAATATCTATAATGTCCCAGGCACTGTGCTAGGTGCAGGAGATGCTCAAATTAACAACAAAGCAGTGACTACTTTTTATATTTTTTGGACACTGAACAGGAATAAAATATGTATAAAACACAGGCAACACATAAAACACCATAAACCTACTACCCAGTTTAAGAAAAAGAACATTATTTAAATCAAGTTTTTATTGAAGAAGAACATATATACACAAAAATGCATACATTGTACGTGTTTGGCTCAATGAATTTCTACAAGTGAACACACCCAGGGTAACCAACAGTTAGGTCAAGAGGACATTACCAGCATCCCATACTGCCCGCTCCTAGTCACTATCCTTCTACTCAACCACAGATACCCACTAGCTTAATTTCTGTCATCAGAGATAGAAATCATGAATAGAAATATATTCACTCCTCCCACCCCCAGGACTATAAGTGCTGGGTCATGGGCATCATGCCTACATTCAGTTTTAGGGAATTCTGCTAGTTTTCCAAAGAGGTTGTGCTCATGCATTTTCATCAGTTCCAGCTGCTGCACATCCTCATCACCACTTAGAATTGTCATGACAGGCCAGGTGCGCGGGCTCATGCCTGTAATCCCAGCACTTTGGGAGGCCAAGGCAGGTGGATCGCTTGAGATCAGGAGTTCAAGACTAGCCTGGCCAACATGGCAAAACCCCATCTCTACTAAAATACAAAAATTAGCCAGGCGTGGTGGTGGGTGCCCATAATCCCAGCTACTCGGGAGGATGAGGCAGGAGAATCACTTGAACCCAGGAGGCAGAGGTTGCAACAAGCTGGGATTATGCCACTGCACTCCAGCCTGGGCGACAAGAGCAAGACTCCATCTCAAAAAACAAAACAAAATCAAACCCAGAATTGTCATGACAAATGTGTTCTTAATTTAACTTTCTGGTGGGTGTGTAGTAATATCTCCCTGAGGTTTTAACTTGTATTTCTCTGATGACTAATGAGGTTGAGCATTTAACATACGTTACAGGTAAGTTCTTTGTGAAATCCCTGTTTGAATCCTTTGTTCATTTTTCCATTGGCTTTCTGTCCTTTCTTTTTATTCTTGATTTGTAGTTCTTTATATATTCCAGGTACAAGTCCTTGTCAAATACATGTATTTCTTTTTTTCTTTTCTTTTTTTGAGACAGAGTCTTGCTCTGTCGCCCAGGCTGGAGTGCAGTGACGCAATCTCGGCTCACTGCAAGCTCCGCCTCCTGGGTTCACACCATTCTCCTGCCTCAGCCTCCCAAGTAGCTAGGACTACAGGCACCCGCCACCACGCCTGGCTAATTTTTTGTATTTTTAGTAGAGACGGGGTTTCACTGTGTTAGCCAGGATGGTCTCGATCTCCTGACCTCGTGATCCGCCCGGCTCGGCCTCCCAAAGTGCTGGGATTACAGGTGTGGGCCACCGTGCCTGGCTGTCAAATACATGTATTTCAAATACCTTCTTCCACTCTGGTCTTTCTCCTCAATGGTGTCTACTATGGAGTGAAATGTGCACTCCCCACTGCCCCCAACAAAATTCATTAGTCAAGGCACTTCCCCCACCCCAACTATTTTGGAGATAGGGACTCTGGGAGATAATTGAGGCTAAATTAGGTCATAAGCGAAGGGCCCTAATCTGACAAGACTGTGGCCTTATAAGAAAAGGAAGAGAGATGGTGAGATCTTGCTGTCTGTCCGCCACACAGACACGTGGCAAGAAGCCTGTGTGCAAGTCACGAAGACAGTGCTCACCAAAACGCAGTCATACTGGCACCCCGGTCCCAAACTTCCAGCTTCCAGAACCGTGAGAAAATACATTTCTTTTGTTTAAGCCACCAAGTCTATAGTATTGTGTTATGGCAGCCTAAGCAAACTAAGTCAGTGTCTTTTGATGAAATCCAATTAATCACTTTTTTCCTTTGTATCTAGTGCTTTTTATATTCTGTTTAAGAAATCTTCACCTGTCTCCCATGTTTCTGCCTTTTCTTGTCATTAATTTCTAACTTGCCCACATTATGATCAGATATTATTCAGAGATCTGCACCTTGGATGTGGTGTTCAATACTCAATTATTAATATTGTTAATTATATTAAGTCTTCTAAATTAATGCAGTGCAAAAGTACTTTCTGTGCTGTCCAATACAGCAGCCATTGTCACATGTCACTAGTAAGCCCTTGAAAAATGGCTATTGCAACCGAGAAAATGAATTTTTAATTTTAATTTTCAGCTGTAACCATTTTGTCTTTTTAATTTTTCAATTAGGGAGTTTTGAAACTCCTCACCATGGTAGATTTGTCTATTTCATCTTATAATTGTGTCATTTTGTTCTTTGTATATTGAGGCAATTATTAGGTTCACACAAGTTTGGAATTGTTTTTACCTTTATGGATAAATAAACCTTTTCTCATTGTTGAGGGACCTATCTCTAGCTGTCTCTTTTGTCTGAAAGATCATATTGTCTGATGCTAATATAGTTAGTTTACCTCCCTTTTGGTTAGAGTTTGCCTGATAGACTTTTTCCATCCTTTTGCTTTCTATCTTTCTACATTCATATGTATTAGCTATCTCTCTTGAAAATTATAGCTGGATTTTGTGTTGTTTCAGTAAGTTTGTTTGCTTGCTTTTATTTATTTATTTATTTATTTTTGAAACAGAGTCTCACCCTGTTGCCCAGGCTGGAGTACGGTGGCATGATCTTGGCTTACGGCAATCTCCGCCTCCTGGGTTCAAGTGATTCTCCTGCCTCACCTTCCCAAGTACCTGGGATTACAGGTGTGCACCACCACACCCAGCTAATTTTTGTATTAGCTGGCCATGGCCAGCTGGCCGTGTTGGCCAGGGTGGTCTCGAACTCCTGATCTCAAGTGATCCACCCGTCTCAGCCTCTCAAAGTGCTCGGATTACAGGCGTGAGCCACTGCACCCGGCCTGCTTGCTTTTAAATAATCCAATCTGACATTCTTTGTCTGAATGAAGCATTTAGTCTACCATATATTTGATTTGATTTCTATATTTTATTGTTTCCTCTTTATCTGACCTTTTCTATGTTTTTCACTTCTTCCTTGCCTTTTAAAAATTGTTTTTTCTGCTATAAATTATTCCTAATATTTATATTATTTTAGTAGTTACTCTGAAAATACTAATACACATACCTATCAAAATCTAAAGTTAATTGAATAGCTTTACCTTTCTCTTCAACAGTATAAAGATCATAAAATACTTTAACCACTCTTTTGATTTGGATGTTGTTATCATATATTTAGTTCTTTTTTTTTTTTTTGAGACGGAGTTTTGCTCTTGTTGCCCAGGCTGGAGTGCAATGGCGTGATTTCGGCTCACTGCAACCTCTGCCTCCCAGGTTCAAGCAATTCTCCTACCTCAGCCTCCTGAGTAGCTGGGATTACAGGCATGCGCCACCACACCCGGCTAATTTTTTTTTTTTTTTTTTTTTTGTATTTTTAGTAGAGACGAGGTTTCTCCATGTTGGTCAGGCTGATCTCCAACTCATAACCTCAGGTGATCCGCCCACCTCAGCCTCCCAAAGTGCTGGGATTACAGGCGTGAGCCACCACACCTGGCCTATTTAGTTCTATTTTTAAAACCTCCGCATACATCATTTTATAAAGCCAATATTTATTTCAATATATCCACAGATTTACCATTATTCTTTACTCTTCAATCCTTCTTAAATCTCAGACTTTACATCAGTGGTCACTTTTTTTTTTTTTTTTTAGCCTTCAGGAAATTGATCTGAATTTCCACTAGTAGGGAAGGTTTGATGGTTACAACATTGAGTGTTTGTCTGTTTTAAAGTGTCTAATTTTGCCCCCATTCTTCACAAGATATACAATTCTTGGTTGACAATTATTTTCTCTAAGCATATGGAAAATATTACTCCCTGTCTTATGGCTTTCATTATTATAGACAGGAAAACAGCTGACAGCCAAATACTTGTTGAAGGTAATATCTTTTTTCTCTGACAGCTTTTTTTTTTTTTTTGAGATGGAGTTTTGCTCTTGTTGCCCAGGCTGGCATGCAATGGCACGATCTCGGCTCACTGCAACCTCCACCTCCCAGGTTCAAGCAATTCTCCTGCCTCAGCCTCCTGAGTAGCTGGGATTACAGGCATGCACCACCACGCCCGGCTAATTTTGTATTTTCAGTAGAGACAGGGTTTCTCCACGTTGAGGCTGGTCTTGAACTCCTGACCTCAGGTGATCCACCCTCCTCGGGCTCCCAAAGTGCTGGGATTACAGGCGTGAGCCACCATGCCCAGCCTCTGACAGCTTTTAAGACCTCTCTATGGTATCATGTAGTTTCTTTAAAAAATGTTTATGTGTGAATTTTTTTTCTTTTTATCCTTTCTGGGATTCTTTAGCTTCCTAAATTTGTAGGTTGTTTTTCATCAGTTCTCTGTCATTATCTCTTCAAATACTGCCTCTGCCTCATTCTTTTCCATGCCCCTGCTCCCCTGCCCCAGAATTCTGACTAGACTGAACCTTCTTATTCTACCCTCTGTATTCTCTTAACTCTTTTATTACTTTTCATTTTCTTGCCTCTATACTGCAATTTTTTCAGATCCACTTTACTAAATCTTTCTTTAGCTGTGTCTAATCTGTTATTAAATTTGTACACTGGTCATTTTTGTATACTTGCTCCTCATTCCTATTTTAAATTTCTTTTTTTCTATAAGCATATTAAATATATGTACTTATAATCTGTGTCTGCTAACTCCAATATGTGAACTCTTTGCAGGTTCTGATTCTGCTCTTTATTGTTTCTGCTTCCTCTCATTCATTGCATCTTATTTCTTTCTGCATTTTGTGAATGTGAGTTCATATTTCTTACAGCTTTATGTTTAGGAATTTTCTAAATCCTAAGATCAAGATGGGTTCTCCCAAGAAGCTTTGTATTTGCTGCTTTTTAGGCATTCTTAGGCATTTTAAGGCATCGTCACTCTTGTACCACTTTTATATTTAATTACTGGCTTAAGATTTTCATACCATCCAGGTAATATAAAATCAGGATTCAAACCTGCATGAAGGTCAGCTTGTGGGTAAAACTTCTCAGGGAATTTCTGTACCCTTCCCATCACCACCAAAGTTTGAGGCAGGAAATTTTTCTTTCCGATCCTTAGACAAGGTACGTTTATTACTAGTTCTCATTTATTATGATGTATAGACCCTTGGGGTACCATCTTTACCAGGAGAGGTGGGACGTTCTACCAGAAAACTACTTTTATCTTCCGTTCTCTGAGCTTCTTGAGGCACAAGCACAAGTTAACTAGGTTTTCCAAGTAATGTCATTTGCAAATAATGTCCTCAAGGCAGCAGTACTTGGCTTATATCTCTGGGTTTTCACCTTCACATAGTTTTTGGCCTGATTATTCCTTACTTTTCAGCCAGCTATCTCCATGCACATAAGGTTTTTACTTAAAAAATATTTCATCTGCCAGGCACAGTCACTCACACCTGTAATCCCAGCACTTCGAGAGGCCCAGGTGGAAAAACTGCTTGAGCCCAGGAGTTCGAGACCAGTCTGTGCAACAAGGCAAGACCCCATCTGCACAAAAAATAAAAAAATTTGCTGGACATGGTGGTGTGCACCTGTGGCCCCAGCTACTCGGGAGGTTGAGGTGGGAGGATCGCTTGAGCCCAACAGGTCGAGGTTGCAGTCACCCATGTTCACACTACTGCACTCCGGCCTGTGTGACGGAGCAAGACCCTGTCCTCCCTCCAAAAAAAAATTATCCAGAATTTTAAATTGTTTATCTGGGAAGGTCAGTCAGAGTACCTAATTCACCATACTGCAGCAAAATAGCCATGCTTTCTTAAAAGTTTGAAAATTGGATATAGATGAAGGTATTAATGGGAAGAAGACGATAACCTTGAAACCTATCAGTAACAAGGTTGAGCACATATTTGGAAAGAAATCTGGAAAAAATATCTTCAACAATTTATAAGGAACTAAATTGGAGAGCTCAAAACACTAAGTGAATGCTTCTCAACTTTAACATACATCAGAATCACCTGGAGAATTTATTGAAAGAGAATGCTAAGCCCTACCCCAGGGTTTCTAAATTAGTCAGCCTGAAGTGGGAACTGAGAATTTGCTTTTCTAACAAGTTCTCAGATAATGCTAATTTGCTGGTCTGCAGAACCCACTATCAGAATCACTGTACTAAGAGAAATAAACTTCATAAAAACAGGAACACTGACAGGTTCATTTCATTACCTTCTACAAAAGAAGAGAAGAAATGTGTGGAAATGAGATTTCAATAACACTCTTGGTCCATCTCATCATTTAACTTATAATTAAGTTAATTTGATGACTGATAAGTAGATTTACTGAAAGGCTATGTATACAAAACAGTTATCAGACTCAATATCTGCAGGTGAAGAAAAAGGACTGGAGTGCAGCAGCTGTTTAAAGCTAGATCTATAATACTAATGATTTAAATAATAGAATAAACAACATTATTTAGAGTATTCAATACCTTGGCAGAGAATATCAAAATTCAAACTACAGACATTGTCAGAAGTGATAATTTACTAAGATGTTCAGAAGCAAATGTCTTGTTCAACCATTCAAGAATCATAATATCCCCACACCAGGCTCTATTCTCAGCAATGGGAACTGTCTGCTATGGTTCACAAAATTATATCAATATTATTCTCTAGGAGAAAAATAGGATAATTAAATTTAAAAATTTGACACAGAGGTTCATTGGAAGACTCAGAATTAGTGATAATTGGTAGTTTCATTGCTTGTCAAAGCAACTACAAAAATATTTGTCAGCACATAACACTAAAAACACTTCACAATTTTTTTTAAAAACCCACCAATGCAGCCCTTAAAGTTTTTATTATGTGGTGATTTTAAAAAGAAATGAATCTTGCATTTCAAAAATGACTTCTTACCTGAAATTAATAATTTTCCCATTTCCTCCTCCACCAAAGATCTATACAGCTAGTGCAAATCCATCAGCACTTTAACATTTCTTTCTGAATTTAGCAAAAGACCAAAATACCCTGCATTACTCATAAACAGCTGATGCTAATTGATTTGGTTTCAAATCTATAGAGCACAAGTTGTGAGAAATTAACACTTTCAGCTTAAAGTCAAAGAAAAGGAGATCAGGTTAATAAAGTTATTGAGCTGAATTTTATTGAAGTGCTCTCTGTGTCTACTCTTATAAAATACAAGAGGAAAAATGTAGGTCAAAAATCCATAGCGGAAGGTTAAAAGTGTCTTTAAAACAAACAAACAAAAAACTGTCTCGTTCTGTTGCCCAGGCTGGAGTGCAGTGGCACGATCTCAACTCACTGCAACCTCCACCTCTTGGGTTCAAGCTGATTCTCATGCCTCAGCCTCCCAAGTAGCTGGAATTACAGGCGTGTGCCACCATGCCCGCTAATTTTTGGTAGAGACAGGGTTTTGCCATGTTGTCCAGGCTGGCCTTGAACTCCTGGCTTCAAGTGATCCACCCGCCTCAGCCTCCCAAAGTGCTAGGATTACAGGTGTGAGCCACCATGCCAGGCCAAAGTGTCTTTTTTTTTTTTTTTAAAGGAGTGGGGATTAAGTTGTTCCCAGAATTCATACGGAAAAGAGCCAAGAAATGCCAAATTAAGAAAGGTAATGAAAGTACGCCCTATGAAATAACAAGAATAATTTTAAAGCTACAGCAATTAAAACAGTGTTATTGATGCAAATATGGACAAAAAGAATTATGAAACGGAATAGAGTCGACACTTAGACCCACACATATATGGGAACTGGATATAATACAGAGATAGCATTGCAAATCAGTAAAGGAAAAAAATGGACTCAATAAATGATATTGAGACAACTGGTTATACATATGGAAAAGATAAAATTAGTTCATAATTCACACCAAACACAAAAATAAATTCCTGATCAATCACCAAAATGTGCAAGGCAAAATTTTAAAACTTTTATAAGAAAATGACTTCAGGGTGGAGAAAGATTTCCTGAAAAACACATAAAAGCACAAATCACCAAGGTAAAAAAAAAAAAAAGGGTAATTATAACTATAAAATTTAAATCCAACACTCTATAAACATCATGAAAAGACCATCACTGTCTGAGAGAAGCTATTTACAACAAAGGATTAGAATCCAAAGCATACCCTACCCCCCAAAAAACGAAAAATTATACAAATCACTAAAAAAATACACAGCCCAACAGAAAAAATGAGCAAATATACAAAAGTAATTCACAGAAGGGGAAATCCCAATGACCAATATGAAAAATGCTTAATCTCACTAGTAATGAGGACAACATGCAAATTTAAACAATAGTTTTACACCTATTATATTGTAAAAGTTAAAATGTCAGCAATATTAAGTGTTGGAGAGGATATAAATAACAGGTACTCATATACTGCTAGTGACAGTATAAACTGGCATAACTAGGTAAAGATGAGTATGACTTATCGCCCAGCAATTCTACCTCTGGACACACATGCTAACTCTTACACATATATGCATGGAGACACACACTCATGTGTTGCTTAACAATAGGGATACATTCTGAGAAATGTGTCACTAGGTGATTTCATCGTTATATGAATATCATAGAGCGTACTTACACAAACCTATACGGTATAGCCTATTGCTCCTAGGCTACAAACCTGTACAGCATGTTACAGCACCAAATGCTGTAAGCAACTGTAACATAATGGGTAATTGTGTAACTAAACATATGTAAATATAGAAAGGTAGAGTAAATATATGGCATTATAATCTTTTGGGATCACCTTCCTATCTGCAGTCCCTCACTAACCAAAATATCGCTAATGTGGCAATGGCACTCGACTAAAATAATGTACATTCCGGGAAAAATAAAATTGGAACTGCCTAAATTGTCCTCTAATAAGAAAGTAGATGATTGTGGTATATTCACAAAACAGACTACAGAGTAGCTAAGCAGAATTAATTGGCTCACTATATATCCACAGGACTAAATTTCAAAATTATTTTAAGTGAAAAATGCAGGTTGCAGAAAGAAAGATATAGCATAAAACCATTATATACATTTTAAAGACACACAAAGCAATATATTGTTTTTGAGCATAAACATGCATAGATGTAGACAGAAAGAATCTATACCAACTTCAGGACAGTGATTACTTCTGGGAAAGGTCAGTGGTCTCAAGAAGGGATACTGCCAGGTGTGGTGGCTGCCACCTACAACCACAGCTACTCAGGAGGCTGAGGTGGGAGGATCACTTGAGGCCAGGTGTTGAGACTAACCTGAGCAACACAGAGAGATCCTATCTCTAAAAACTTTTTTTTAATTAGCCAGATGTGGTGGCACACCTCTGCTAGTCCAAGCTACTCAGGAAGCTGAAGCAGGAAGATTGCTCGAGCTCAGGAGTGTGAAGCTGCAGTGAGCTATGACTGCGCCACTGCACTCCAGCCCAGGCCACCAAGTGAGACTCAGCCTCTAAAAAAAATTTTTAAATAAAACTAAAAAAAAAAAAAAAAAGGAGCAATACAAAGAAGAGTCAATTGGATCTGTAATGTTCTATTTTTTATTTATTATTATTATTTTTGAGACTGAGTTTCACTCTTGTGGCCCAGGCTGGAGTTGTGATCTCGCTCACCGCAACCTCTGCCTCCCAGGTTCAAGCGATTCTCCTGCCTCAGCCTCTCGAGTAGCTGGGATTACAGGCATGTGCCACCACGCCCGGCTAATTTTGTATTTTTAGTAGAGACGGGGTTTCTCCATGTCAGCCAGGCTGGTCTCGAACTCCCGACCTCAGGTGATCCACCAGCCTCAGCCTCCCAAAGTGCTGGGATTACAAGTGTGAGCCACCATGCCCAGCTGTAATGTTCTATTTTTAAAAAGATAAATATCTGAAGCAGATATCATATGTTAACATTTCTTAAACCTCAGTGGTAATCACATGGATATATGTTATTCACTGTACTTGTCATGCTTGAAATCTCTTAAAGTGTGCATGAATTATACTCATTCAAAAATACTTAGGGCTTCCAGAAATGGTTACATCTACAAAAGGAATATTTAGTTTTCACTATAAAAAATAAAAGTTGGAAATTAGTAGTTTAAATCACTAGGAAACTGAAGTCAGTATAAGGTAGCTCTCAGAGCAATATTAAGGATATCAGTACTAAAATACGAAAGAGTATCTCACTGAGAGATTTTCACTTAAAATACCACAGCCAGAGTATAGATGTTTTAAAAAGCATTACAGCAAGTGCTTAGTGTATTGCCCAATGAAGGTATTTGTAAGGGTTCGCTCTTCTGCCACTGCCAAAATTTTCAATGGCAAGATAATATACTTTACCTTATACTTTTGCACCTTAACTTAACTACTTGAAAAAAAGAGTCATCCTATACATAAATTCCTCTGGGTTTCAGAAAGAAGAAGCTATCTAATGATGCTTTAAAGAATTGTTTTGTTTCCTAAAATTCATTGCATTTGAAGATACTTTTAAAAATATCCACTAAAGCGATACACAAAACTAATAACTACTGCATGTAAGACTGCAGAAAGTTGATATACTTTGGACAAACTTTCATTCAGGAAATGGACTACCAAACACTTTATAGTATTTGTTTTGATTTGTAGTACTGCACATGAGCTATCCACAATTTACAGCTTGAGTTCCAAAGTTTCATCTGAAAGTTTGTTTGGTAATGATGTCATTCACCCACAAAATGTTATAAATGACTAGGTTTCTAAACAAAGGCTACAAAAGCTTCTGATATTGATACTGATACTGAATATTCTGGCCTGCCCTAGTCAAAACACTAGATTCGACAAATTTTACCTCTAACATCTTTCCATACCCCTTTCAACTCCTAAGCAAGTTCTCTCTCGTTGGTTCCTATTTCACATTATCTTACTCCTATCTCTGCCAAACAGATGACCTCGACTAGGTTTAAGGACTTATGAAGAAAGAGATCCACTGGCTTTATTTGCACTAAAGTATGTGTATTTTCAGAAAGGGACTGCTGAATCTCCAGTAAGTGAGATTTCTGGCAATTTTAAAAGATAAGCATACAAAACAGTTCAGGCACTGTGGAAAACTTTTCTTTTTTCTTTTCCAGTAGTGGGAAGGTAGTGGTATCTTCTGATGACCTAGAAACTGTACACTGAATAACATCACACATTTTATTCTTCAGCCAATTTCCCAGATAAACTATATACGGTGCTTCATTGGAAAAAACTTCAATTACATAGTGAATATAAATCCCACTTATAAGATGATGTCAGAATATCAAAAGTAGTAAGAATGCAAAATAAACTGTCCCCCACAAAAAGGAAATATAAAACCCATTAAGAGTATCGCAACAGCCGGGCTCAGTGCCTCACGCCTGTAATCCCAGCACTTTGGTAGGCCAAGGCAGACAAATCACTTGAGGTCAGGAGTTCGAGACCAGCCTGGCCAACATAGCAAAACCCTGTCTCTACTAAAAATAGAAAAATTAGCTGGGTGTGGTAGCACAGGCCTGTAATCCCAGCTACTAGGGATGCTGAGGCAGGAGAATTGCTTGAACCCAGTGAGTGGAGGTTGCAGTGAGCCAAGATCGCGCCACTGCACTACAGCCTGGGCAACAGAACAAGACTCTGTCTCAAAAAAAAAAAAAAAAAAAAAAAAAAAAAGAGTATTGCAACAACAACAAAAACATTTGATAAAATTCAACATCCCTTCATGATTAAAAAAACTCTCAACAAATTAGGCATAGAAGGAATATATCTCAAAATAATAAAGTCTATACACAACAAACCCAGAGCTAACATCATACTGAATGAGGAGAGGTGAGATCTTTCTTCTAAAAGCTGGAATGAGGCAGGGATGCCCATTTTCACCACTCCTATTCACCACAGTACTGGAAATCCTAGCCAGAACAATCAGACAAGAGAAAGAAATGAAAGGCATCCAAACTGGACAAGAGAAAGTCAAATTGTCTCTTTGCTGATTATATATCTGTAGGTTTAGAAAACCTTTAAATCAGTAGCATTTCTATACATCAATAAGGATCTAGCCAAGAAAGAAATTAAGAAGGCAATCCCATTTACAATAGCTACCGAAAACAAACAAAAACCTAGGAATACATTTAACTAAGGAGGTGAAAGATCTCTACAAAGAAAACTACAAAACACCAATGAAAGAAAATAAATCAAAAAACATCCTATGCTTGTGGAAAGAATTAATATCACTAAAATGACCATATTGCCAAAGCAATCTACAGATTCAATGAAATCCCTATCAAAATACCAATGTGATTCATATGGGACCAAAAAAGGAAAAAGAAAAAAGCCCAAACAACCAAACCAAACCTGGGCAAAAAGAACAAAGCTGCAGACATCACATTATCTGACTTCAAAATATATTATAAAGCTATAGTAACCAAAACAGCATGGTATTGGTATAAAAATAGACATGTAGACCAATGGAACAGAATAGAGAATCCAGAAATAAAACCACATAATTATAGACAAATGATCTTCAACAACACTGACAAGAACTCACACTAAGGAAAGGACACTGTCTTCAATAAATGATGCTGGGAAAATTGCATAACTTCATGCAGAAGTGTGAAACTAGACCCCTATCTCTCACCATATACAAAAATCAACTCAAAATGGATTGAAGATTTTAAGACCCAAAACTATAAAAATACTACAAGAAAGTCTAGGGAAAACACTCCTGGACATTGGTGTAAGCAAAGAATTTATGATTAAGACATCAAAAGCCCAGGTAACATAAAGAAAACTAAACAAATGGGACTTAAGCAAACTAAAAAGCTTCTGCACAGCAAAAGAATAATCAACAGAATGAAGAGACAACCTGTTGAATGGGAGAAAATATTTGCAAAGTATTCATCAAGCAGAGGACTGATATCCAGAACATACAAGGAACTCGAACAACTCAAAAGGAAAATAACAAATAATCCCATTAAAAAAGAAGACATACAATGGCCAAAAGAAGACATGGAAAAATGTTCCACACCACTATCAGAGAAATGCACATCAAAACCACAATGAGATATCATCTTACCCCAGTCAGAATGGCTATTATTAAAAAGACAAAAAGTAACAGATGTTAGTAAGGATGCAGAGAAAAGGGAACTCTCACATACACTGTCGGTGGGAATGTAAACTAGTACAACCACTAAGGAACACTGTATGGAGATTTCTCAAAGCTAAAAATAGAATTACCTTCCATCCAGCAATCCCACTACTGGGTATCTACACAAAGGAAAAGAAATCAATGTATCAAAGGGATAGCTGCACTTGCATGTTTATTGCAGTACTATCACAATAGCAAAAATATGGAATCAACCACCTAAGTGTCCATCTACAGATGAATGGATAAAGAAGATGTCATACATGTACACAATGGAATACTATTCAGCCATAAAAAGAATGAAATCATATCATTTGCAGCAATGTGGATGGAACTGGAGGTTATTCTCTTAAGTGAAATAAGCCAGGCACAAAAAGACAAATATTGCATGCTTTCACATATATGTAGGAGCTACAAAATTTGAACACAAGGAGGCAGGGAGTGGAAAAATAGATAACAGAGACTGGGAAGGCGGAGTAAGGGAGAGAAAGGCTGAAGAGAAGTGGGTTAAAAGGTAAAAAGATCCAATGAGGTCAGTCGCGGTGGCTCATACTTGTAATCTCAGCACTTTGGGAGGCCAAGGCGGGTGGATCACCAGGTCAGGAGTCCAAGACCATCCTGACCAATGTGGTAAAACCCTGTCTCTACTAAAAATACAAAAATTAGCTGGGCGTGGTGGCACATGCCTGTAATCCTAGCTACTCAGGAGGCTGAGGCGGGAGAATCGCTTGAACCCGGGAGGCAGAGGTTGCAGTGAGGCCAAGATAACACCACTGCACTCCAGCCTGGGTGACGGAGCAAGACTCCGTCTCAAAAAAAAAAAAAAAAGATCCAGTGATAGGAGGAATAAATTCAATGTTTGATAGCTGAGTAGATGACTATACTTAATACATTGGACTCATGTACCCTGACTTGATCACTACACATTATACACATGTAAAAAAATTTTCATGTACTCCATAAATATGCACAAATAAAAGTATTGCAACAAGGTGAACTATTTTTGCTAAAAATCACTCAGTAGTTACTAGAAAATAAAGGCTATCAGAAGAAATGATAGACAATCAGATGGGCCAAAGTTTTTCAGATTTTCCAAAAGGTAGAAGATAGTTTCTGAACATTATTATGTCCAAAAAGTTCTAGGTGAGGTAAACCTAGTCTTTACTACACTCTTGCAACTAAGCTGGTGAACTAGGTAACAGTACCAGGCTGATCTGAGTTCAAATCTTGACCCTGCTTCTTGCTGGCTATGTGAACTTCTCAAGTTACTAAATCTCTCTCTCTTTCTCTCTGCAAAAAAACAAAGATAATACTACCTACTTTGCAGGTTGTTTTGTTGGAATTAAATGAGACACATCTGTATTTAAGCAACAGTGCCCAAGTGTATTAATGGGTATCAGTCTAGAGGCATGTCACTGGCAGCATGTCCAAGGGTTATTTCTGACCCTGTCTTATTCTATCCTTTACCAATAACTCAAACGTAGAAACAGAAGTCATGATTAAACCTACAGATCTAACCAAACTGGAAGAGACAGCTATTATGTTTCCTAACATGAAAGAACTAAGAATCCAGATTACCTCAACAAACAGCAGACATGCACTGACCTAAAAAAATGAATTGTAAAAGGATAAGGTCTTGATTTAGGTTCAATAAAACTGCTCTAAACCTAGAATGGAGCTAGGGAGCTGATTTTAAAAGAACATGAGTTTTCACTGACTACAAGCTCAGTATGAGCCAAGAATGTGATTTACTATAGAAAAAACGCTAATACAATTTTATCTGGTATGAATAATGGTAGTGTCCATCTCAAGACAATAATAGCTTAAGTACATTCTTCTCTGATCACTGTGTTCCACTCTGGGCACATTTTAGAAGAAAGGTTGACAAAACAGTAACATTAGGTTACTTCCAGAGGAAGGTAGCCTAAATGATGAAGGGTTTGGAATATGAAATATGCTAGGAATTGGGGGATGTTTAACTTGCAAAATCGAAAATCTGAGGAGATATGTAACCTGTATTCAAGTAAATGAGTAGCTTGAGTAGCTATTACATGGAAAAAGAATTGTGTTTAGTTCCGTATGGCTTGAAACAGCAGAAATAGTAACTACGTATAAAAGTTACATGGAACTCCAGATAACAAAGACCTAACATAGCTGTATGACATTACAGGCAAGCTTTAGGGTAATATACCATCTATCACCAGAGTGTTCAGAGACTGATTCATTTTCAACAAAAATGTATTGAGTACCTAAGTCCCACAAGGTACACAAAGCGCAGTTGATAATGACTAAATAACTTGTATGTTCTCTGCTTTTCACTGAGGTGAAGTGGTAGAAGCAAATAATAACACACACTCAAAGTAACAAAAAGATAAATCTCTAAGGAGAGGAATACAGTTCTTCAAGAGTATATAACAAAGGATCCTGACTTATAATGTGGGGTCAGAGTAGGCCTCCCTTGAGTAGCTAAGTGATGTCTGAGTAGGAGGTAAATGGTTGGGGGGAAGAACGTTACAAAGAAAGGAAACACCACTCGCAAAGACCTTGTGGTAAGAGAAACTACAGGTTCAAGGAATTGAAAGGCTCGTTTACCATATAACCTGAGCACACAGAGTAAGAGAATGAGTGGAAAGAAGCAGGAGCAGAACCACAAAGAGTCCTGAAGGCCTCATTAAGGATTTGGTTTTCTCCCAAAAGTAATGGGATGCTGCTGAGGAGGGGTTTAAGTAGTAATAGGCACGGGAAGGAACAATGAAGGTCAAGAATGAATTGGAGGTGGGCCACATGCTCTAAGAAGACTACTTGGGAGGCCGGGCACGAATCTCAGCACTTTGGGAGGCCAAGGCAGGTGGATGACCTGAGGTCAGGAGTTCGAGACCAGCCTGGCCAACATGGTAAAACCCCGTCTCTACTAGAAATACAAAAATTAGCCGGGTGTGGTGGTGGGCGCCTGTAATCCCAGTTACTCAGGAGGCTGAGGCAGGAAAATGGCTTGAACCCAGGAGGCGGAAGTTGCAGTGAGCAGGGATCACGCCATTGCACTCTAGCCTGGGTAACAAGAGCGAAACTCCATCTCAAACAAACGAACAAAAAAATACTTGGAAGCTTCCTGCAGTAGTCCAGACCAGAAATGATGGTAGTTTGGGAAAAGGAGGTAAAAATGAAGATGTGGAAAGGTGGACAGACTGGAGATTTTTAGGTTAAAATGACAGAACCCATGTGACCAATCCAGATAGTCCAGTGGGTGACTTGGAACTAGTCTAAAGCAACCATTCCCCCAAACCAGAGTCTTTGGCCCTAATTAAATACCTTTATGGGGGGCAGGAGCAGAACTCTGACAAATTTTACCGGGGGATAGGGCAGAGGACATGGGTACAGCAAAAGAGAGATATAAAGGGTTACCCACCCTCTCCCTCCCTCAGATTCCCAGCCTATATAACTGGGTGGATGATGGTATCATTCAGTGAGATATTCCTATCTCACTGGATAGGTACAGATGGTCCCTGACTTACAATGGTTTGACTTAACATTTTTCAACTTTACAATAGTGCAAAGGTGATAGGCATTCAGCAGAAACTGTACTTTGAAGACCTACACAACCATTCTGTTTTTCACTATCAGCACACTAATAAATGACATGAGGTATTCAACATTTTATAATATAGGTTTATGTTAGATGATTTTGCCCAACTGTAGGCTAATGTAAGTGTTCTGTGCATGTGTAAGGAAGGCAGGCTAGGCTAAGCTATGATATTCGGTAGATCGGGTGTATTAAATGCATTTTCAACTTCTGATACTTTCAGCTTACAATGGGTTTATCGGAAGGTAGCCCCATCGTTAAGTCGAGGAGTATCTACACAAGTTAGGTGGGCTAAGATCCTGGGTTCGGAGTTGAAAAAGCTGCGTTTCGGGACCTTGATTTTAAATAAGCAGTTGGACATATTAACCTGAAACTTAAAGGGCAGGTCTGGACTGGGGGTAAAATATTGAGAATCACTGGCATATAGACAGTTGTAGCTATGGGCTTAGAAGAAATTGCCTGAGCGGGAAATTGAGAGTGAGAAGACGGCCTTTGAGGAATACCAGCAATGAATAACAAAGTAGAGGAGGGTGAGGCCGCAAAAGAGAGGTCTGAGTCAAACCAGGAGCGAGGCATTCCAGAACACATGTGAAGAGTGCTTTCCGTCAAGGAAGCCATGGTCAACAACGTCAAACGCTGCTGAGATATCAAATAAGATAAGGATTGAAAGGTATCAATTAAGTTGAGGGACAGGTTTCAGTGGGATGATGGGGCAGAAATCAGACTGCAGTAGGTTGAAGGGTGAGTAGGTGGTAAGCAAATGGAAGACAATAAATATAGACAACTCTATCAAATTTCCTGCTGTAAACTGGGACGGGAAAAGGTGACAGCTGTGGGGGTGGGGGAAGGGTTTAAGATAGAGAAGCTTGATTATGTTAAGAAGGAGCAGGTGAATATACAGATAGGGTCTGAAGTACTGGCAGAAGGACTAGCCTTAAAAGGAGAGGCCATGGGGAAAAGGAAGAGAAAGAAGCCAAACTAAATGACCTTTAAGATCCCTTCTTACTCTAGAATCTCATGACCTACAAGTCCCTTCAGATAGGGCATTTGCATATATGCATAAATCTATGCAAACTTATTCAAAAATTCTGTTATAAATAGATCAGTCAATCACATCTTTCACCCCCAATGACGCAGTTAATGTCCTCAGGTTTATGACCAGTGTAATCTCCGGGCAGGACTCATCCCTTGAGAGCTTTTAGCTCAAGGCAGACTGCAATACAGCACTCAACCAGCTCTCTCTCCTCGCCAAACCCATCCTACCCAACGATCCTAAAGGCTAAAGGAGGAAGTAAATTTAAAACCCTGAAACTACAGCATATCCTGCTGCATTCGAAGCGAGTGTCATCCATAAAAACAAAACGTGACACCCCAAATCCATCCTCACTCCAAGCTAAAGCCAATTCCTGCCTGACCCGACAGTTGACAGGTCCCCCAGATGGCCGGGCTTTAACACTAAAAGTCATTGGCACCCCCTCCTCTTTCCCAACGACCTTTAATTTGTGAAGAGCCAGA
The DNA here is from genome assembly GCF_000001405.40 of Homo sapiens. Classification (NCBI taxonomy): domain Eukaryota; kingdom Metazoa; phylum Chordata; class Mammalia; order Primates; family Hominidae; genus Homo; species Homo sapiens. Next base: position 1,577,295 of record NT_167251.2, on the reverse strand, counting down.
CATGGGTTCCTGAAGATCCTTCCTACACCCCTTGCCCCGAATGCAGCAGAGGTGCTCCCGGCAGTTACTCCGGCGCCCCCTAATAAGCCCTCGCAAGGGGGTGCGGAAAGACCCCCAGAGCCCGTCAGAGGGGGCTTCGGCGACCGCGACCCTGCGGCTGTGTGGAGGACGAGGGAACAAGCCCCAAGGGATGGGAAGGGAGGATGACGGGAGGCGCAGCAGACGCGTGTAACGAGGGGTCATCTCCCCTCGAGGGGGGTGGAGTTGTTGAGGAGGGCTAATCCCCTGCCACCGCTCCCCTGCTACCCTCAAGTCCCGCTCTGGCCTCGCGCCCCATTGCTCGGATTCACTCCCACTCCTCTGGGGCCGCCTGGACCCCAGAGTGCCCGCGAGCCCGGCGCCCCTGCCTCAAGCCTGGGCTCCCAGACCGGCACTCACCCGGCCCGCCATCTTCGCGGACACGTCCGGCTCGGCGGCTGCAGCTCTGCGCTCGGCAAAGCCCGCCCCCGCCGCGCGCGCGCCCCCGCCGCCCGCCCTCGCGCAGGCGTGCAACCGCCGTGAGGACGCGCGCGTCCCTGGCCGCGTCCCCGGCGTCCTCGCTCCACAGGGCGCGCGCGCGGGCTCGGCGGCCGCCTGGGGTGCGCGGGGTGGGCAGAGCGGCGGCGCCATTTTGGCTGGAGCTGCGGGGCTGTGGTGGGTGACTCCGTTTCCAACGTGCGTGTCAGTCCGCCGGGGCCTGGAGGGCTGCGCCTGCGAGTCTCATCCCCCACTGGCGGTTCGCGCCGGAATTTGTCTCAAGGGCTTTAATGCTTCGGATCACTTATCCCTTTGCCAGCTGCTGTTCGCCCTCGAATGTCCATTTTGGTCTGTGCTTCCACACTCTCTTTAAACATGGTCTTGCTGATGAGAGCGCCCGGCGCGTTCCCTGGCTTCCCCCAAAAAAGATCAGCTCCGAGGAGTTGGTTCTGAGTTCAAATTCTCCATGAATTTTCTCACTTTTCTTTGTAGGCGTACTTGTTTTCCTAGTTGCTGGAATTGTCATCGTTGGCAGTTTTATTTATGTGTAGCCTGGAAAACTCAGTATTTTCAGATTTGAAAGTGAATTGTGATTATTTTTATACATTATTTTTATTAAATATTTGTCTTTATTTAATAAAGGCAACTTGCATCTTCGACCAACCTTTTCATTCCCCAGTGTTGTTTCATTTTAGACAATATATATGGTAGAATCTGAATAAAATATGCCCTAAATTGAGCCTTGTTGAACCTCAATGTTTCCACCATACCATTTCTCCACTGGAATCTCAGAATATCTAACTGCAAGCACGCTGAGAGGAGAAAGATTCTGCCGAATGGATTCCCTGATGCTTTTATTTACCCCACTATCATATCTCTCTTCATATTTGCACAAGACAATAGGGAATGATAGGATTTGTTCGCTTTCATTTCTCACAATTAGAATAAATCGGGGTTTTTTTCCCAACATGAGGAAAGAAGGGAAATAACTAGAAGAGCTGAGCATGCATAGTGATTTAAATTTGAGAACTAATAAAATCAGACAGTGACCTGAAGATGAACTAGGGACAGAAGAAAAAATTCATGCCAGCCAGGCGCGGTGGCTCATGCCTGTAATCCAAGCACTTTGGGTGGATCACCTAAGGTCAGGAGTTCCAGACCGGCCTGGCCAATATAGTGAAACCCCGTCTCTACTAAAAATACAAAAATTAGCCGGGCGTGGTGGCGGGCGCCTGTGATCTCAGCTACTCAGGAGGCTGAGGTGGGAGAATCGCTTGAACCCCGGAGGCAGAGGTTGAAGTGAGTTGAGATTGCGAGGCTGGGCAACAGAGCGAGACTCCGTCTAAAAAAAAAAAAAAAAAAAAAAATTCACGCCTATTTCATTAAGTCTCACACTGAACCTGAGGACCAGGGTGCTTGGTTGACCAAATCAGATGTTAGCTAAATCATGGGTGGGTCGGAGAGGTTATCAGGAAAGATAGGAAACTAGTTGAGTTCTGACATACTAACGTGCAGAAGCTACTAACTTACAAAAACAAATATTAGAATGGCTTGGGGAGTCCAAAGGGTTAGGTTCTTTTCTTTGTCCCTATCTACCCATCACCTGTGTACCTTCATCTCTCTGAGCCCAGTTTCCTTATTTGTTTTTGTTTGTTTGTTTTTGAGACGCAGTCTTACTCTGTCACCCAGGCTGGAGCACAGTGGCATGATCTCGGCTCACTGCAACCTCCGCCTCCCGGGTTCTAGCTATTCTCCTGTCTCAGCCTCCCAAGTCGCTGGTATTACAGGCGCCTGCCACCACACCCAGCTAATTTTTGTATTTTTAGTAGAGACAGGGTTTTGCCATGTTGTCCAGGCTGGTCTCGAACTCTTGACCTCAGGTGATCCACTGGCCTTGTCCTCCCAAAGTGCTGGGATTACAGAAGTGAGCCACCACGCCTGGCCTAGTTTCCTTATTTGTACAGTGAGAGGTATAATTAAATAAGCTTAACAGTTGTATCCTTTTTTTTTTTTGACACCTTGACTTTGAACCTAGAATCAAAGAGATTTTGTCCAAATAATTACCAGATCCAGAAGATGACATTGGTTCTCAGTCCAATAATCTGACATTATTTTCAAGGTTGGAAAATAATGCAAACATGTTTCTCCCTATCACTGGTTAGTTTGTCTTGTTTTACTAGATAAGCTAGATTGCAAGTACAAATGTCTTCAATTTCTCCAACAAGGAGGAATATTTATCATCTTGGAAGGATATGCCTGCTGGAAAGTTTCCAGTGTATCAGCTAATGTGCATATCTACCCATTATAAGAGGCCCTCTGTGCCCTCTCAAAGCCCTCTGTGCCTTCTCACAAGTAGTAAAAATTAAATAGAATCATTTGCACAGCCCTGCAGGGCCTGCCAAATAAATTGCAAGCAAAGATAGCTCTTGTCCTTAAGGTCCTTAGCATCCAGCAGGAGAGGAAGGATCCTGAGACAGTGCTCCAGATACTCCACATGTCTCTGCAACCTGTTTGTGCCTTGCTCTGACATTCAAGGTCATCTTAGAAATAGAGGGGTGCTGATTCTGCATCACCCTCTGAGTAATCCTTGCAGTGATAGTCGATAAGCAATAAATGTTTTTGCTGCCCCAAATTCACTCTGCCCTTTTCTGGTAACAGCTCTTCTGGTTCATGCAGCCTTGGAAGGACTGTCAGACCAGGTACCCTGCCTCCCCCTGGCCCAGGAGTGAATACAGAACCCAAGTTCAATCAGTCAGATGCTCTGTCTCTCCTAAGTAACTGCAATCTTGAATACCCTGAAGAATAAAGACAGAAATAGCTAGAGCTCATTTACTGCAATGATGACACCCTGAAGAGACCATTTGCTAGTTCTCTAGATCTCTAGAGTTTACCTGCTTTCTGTCATCTGAAAAATCTGATTGTCCCCCTTTGTCTTGATTTCTGTTAGTCACTTTCTCTTCCTAGAAAAATACCTCCCTCAGCTCTTCGTCGATCCCTGAAATTCTTTTAATATGCTTTCCTTTCACAGTGAGAAAGTTAGTAAGACGGCTAACAGAATGATTAATTTAAATCCTAAAGTGTAATGACTAACATCATTTTTTAAGGAAGGAAGGGCTTTGAGTGGGGGGTAGGAGGTGAGTCTAGGGATAGGGTCAGAGAGGAAAGGTACCTGAAAGGTGGGGAAAGAAGATGAAGACATGATAAAATGGAAATAGCAGGACCCAGAATGAAGAAGAGTGGGGCATAAGGGCAGGGGCAGGGTTTGACCAAGGTCAGTTCTTGCTGAACACAGCCCTTGTGATCCAGTGTGACGGTTAATTCTGTGTCAACTTGGCTTGGCCATGTTGCCCAGATACTTGATCAAATATTATTCTGGATGTTTCTGTGAGGGTGTTTTTGGATGAGATTTACATTTAAATCTGTAGACTTTGAGTAAAGAAGGTTGCCCTCCATAATGTAGGTGGGCCTCATCCAATCACTTGAAAGCCTGAATAGACAAAAGGCCAAACTCATCCAGAACAAGAAGGAATTCTCTAGCAGGTTACCTGTGGACTAGAACTGTAACTCTTCCCTGGGCCTCCTGCATGCCAGCTTCTCCCATCAGATTTTGGGCTCCCAAAGCCTCCACGATCACACGAGTCAATTCCTTAAACAAAATTTCCTCCTATGTATATACACATTCTGTTAGTTCTATTTTTCTGGAGAACCCTGATGAATATAGTCAGTTTCCTGTCAGTTACAGGGATGTGATTCCTGGTTTTTACAAAGTGATCCTTAGCATCACCTGTTGCTCCCTGATAGGTAACCAACATCTATAGGTGGAGGCCTGATTCAAAGACTTGAAAACAGTGCACAGATAGAATTTTATGTTCAAATTATGTCCCATTAAACATCACTTAAAATGTGCTCTATTGGAATGGGGCTGACTAACATTTTGGTTATATAGACATTTGTTTGTAATGGTTGTGGTAACAGAATTTAACTGGGGGAAAGATAAATATCTTCTGTGATTTGTGGAGTGAGGGCAATATAAAACATAGAAGTGAACAGATTCACCGTAATCCACTTTATTTAACAAAGCAATCTGACTATTTGGTGTTTTCATATTAACCAAAGGAAAACTACCTTTAGTCTGTGGAAACTGTAGGGTTAAACAAGTGGCACTGGGGACAGAGTTTTTAGTCACTGCAGGGCTGTTTCAAAGGTCTTCCAGCGGGATTGTATGTAGGTGTTTCAGGGAACAGTCCTGTTCGGTGAATTCACTACTGTATTGTAATTGTCAGAAGGCGTCCTGCAGTGTGTGTGTGTGTGTGTGTGTGTGTGTGTGTGTGTGTGACAGAGAGAGACAAAGAGAGAGATGAAGACCTGCACTTCCCCTCTTGCAGAAGATGTCACTGTGAAGCACACAAAGGTGGTCTTCAGAGCCCCTTTTATTCCCTTCCCGCTGCACCCCCTCCTCTCTTTCCCAAGTTCTTTCAGTATTAGTAACCTAACGTATTACTCTTCCCAGGAGTATTGGCAATTTAGGAAAATACTGACAGGACAGCAGTGCCTGACCTAAGAAAACAAACCTCAAAAGGCAACACTTCAGAGACTGTGACACTGTATGGGGAGCCATCTGTGTATAGAAAGCCTTCTCTTGCCCCTCCAATCGTAACTCACAGGTCAGCCACACATACCATGCAAGCCTAGGCTTTCTGGGAGCCCCATGAACACTTAATTTTAGAGCCCCGTCACAGCCAGTTTTAGGATGATGGAGTTGCCATCTGTTTGTTTTCTGTCAGAGAAACCTGTTTTCCAAAATGATGGATAAAGCTAGAGAACGGAGCAAAATGGAGAAAGGACATGGAATTTTTAAATGAAAGGAAGACCAGCTGATGCAATGCAGTATTCTAGCTGCAGTCAGTTGCGGGGCGGGGCGGGGGGTGTTTGTTTTAAATGAATATGTCTTTTCTCTTTGCAGGATCAAGGACAAACACCTATAGTCACAAAAAACAATTCATTCTGGAAAGCCTGAGTGAGCAGGAGAGATGATAGAATCCTCCGTGGAAAGGAAGGACTGTTGCTATGGAAACCAGATGATCCTTCAGTGGGGGCCCCAGTGCACTTGCCAGGCTGCCTAACCCTGTGTATTAACATCATGGGGCTGGAAGGCTGCCTGCATCTCTTTGAAAAGAGATTTTTCAGATATTGGTGTGATGAGACTTTATGCACCTTGAGAAAAGTAAATCAGCATCTCCTGGGAGGGGCTAAGTTGCCTAGAACCTTAAAACACTAGAGGCCCACACACCACAGCCGACTGGGGTGACTATATTGGCTACTCTTGACATTTCTCCAGAGGGCATCCAAGAAGGTGTGTCTTAAGGATTCTCTCTCTCTCTCTCTTTTTTTTTTTTTCGAGATGGAGTCTTGCTCTGTTGCCCAGGCTGGAGTGCAGTGGAACGATCTCAGCTCACTGCAACCTCTGCCTCCCAGGTTCAAGCAATTCTCCTGCTTCAGCCTCTCAAGTAGTTGAGATTTACAGGCACGCACCACCATACCTGGCTAATTTTTTTATTTTTAATGTTTATTTTTTGGTAGAGACAGGGTTTCACCATGATGGCCAGACAGCTCTCGAACTCCTGACCTCAAGAGATCCACCCGCCTTGGCCTCCCAAAGTGCTGGGATTACAAGCGTGAATCACTGTGCCTGGCCAAGGATTCTCTTAAGGGCAGGTTTATGGAGGGCTGTTTCTGAGGTAAGGAACACAGCTTTCCAAGAGAGGAAGAAGACATCCCTTGAGCAGAGGTTTGATTAGAAGAATAAGTTTAGTGGCACTTGGGGGAAGGTGGTCTGGGTATTCTGTGTGACATTTAAACTGTAACTACCATACCAATACCACTATTACTACAACTATCCCTAATTACACTATTAACTAATTTTAAAGTCTAAGCCAGAGATGAGGAGCTTTCTCCAAATAGGTTTCTCAGAGTGAAATTCTCTTTCTACTTCTCCCAAGAGCACTTTGTCCTTTCCATGCTTTACAAATAACATTATATTGATAAGATGTGTTTTCTATTAAGGAAAAAATAACTCTATTAAGTCAATATCATCACAAGCAATTCATGCTTATTGAGTCGTTGCAGTTCGAGATTTATAAACTTCCCTGAGCAGCCACTGTGATTTCAATTAAACCTCCCTCTTGTCAGAGTTTTAATTTTTAAAAAATAAGTTGAGTTTTCCATTTTAAAATCAGTACACTATTTTCCCTCGATCACTTAAAAACAATCACAGTCCTACCTCCTGAATATATTCACTAGTAAGTTCGGCCTATTTTTAGCCTCTTCCCCTATACATTCCTCATGCATATCATTATAAAATTCTCCCTCTTTTTCTCTCTTTATATGAATGTATTTTGTTTGTTTGTTTTTTGAGACAGAGTCTCACTTTGTCTCCTAGGCTGGAGTGCAGTGGCACTATCTTGGCTCACTGCAACCTCTGCCTTCCAGGCTCAAGCAGTCCTCTCATCTCAGTCTTCTGAGTAGCTGGGGCTACAGGTGCACACCACCATGACCAGCTAATTTTTGTATTTTGTATTTTTTGTAGAGATGGGGTCTCACCATGTTGACCAGGCTGGGCTTGAACTCCTTGGCTCAAGCAGTCTACCCAACTCAGCCTCCCAAAGTGCTAGGATTACAGGTGTGAGCCACTGCACCCGGACGTATGTATTAAATATATATTATATATATATATATATATATATAAAAAACATATACGTATATGTGTATGTATTTATGTGATTATAATTGTTTAGCAATTGAATGCCATGTGGGCAGGAACTTTGTTTATTCAGAGGCTTGTGAAAGGAAAATAAAAACTTGGGAACCCAATTCATTCTGCCAAAAGAAAAAAAATTAAGCTGAAAGCTGAGTCATGCAAGAAGTTGCCTTTCCTTTCATTCCTAAGCAGGACTGACTGCAGCTAACTACTCTATGTCCACCTTATCTTATGGTAAGCACGAGAGTAATACATAATTGACTATTCCCCTACTTGCTCCTTGTCTCTTGCAACATGTGAATTCAGTAATGTGACCATACTCTCCTTCTTTCCCTTCCAGCCTGCTTTTCCATTTTAAATATTAAATCCTTGCCGGGCACCGTGGCTCATGCCTGTAATCCCAGCACTTTGGGAGGCCGAGGCAGGTGGATCATAAGGTCAGGAGTTCGAGACGAGCCTGGCCAACATGGTGAAACCCCGTCTCTACTAAAAACAACAAAAATTAGCTGGGCATGGTGGTGTGCGCCTGTAATCCCAGCTACTGGGGCGGCTGAGCCAGGAGAATGGCTTGAACCCAGGAGGCGGAGGTTGCAGTGAGCCGAGATTGTGCCACCGCACTCCAGCCTGGGTGACAGAGCAAGACTCTGTCTCAAAAATAAAAAAATATAAATAAATAAATAAATAAATAAAATATTAAATCCTTCTGGCCGGGCGCGGTGACTCACACCTGTAATCTCAGCACTTTGGGAGGCTGAGGTGGGCGGATCGCCTGAGGTCAGGAGTTGGAGACCAACCTAGCTAACATGGTGAAACCCCGTCTCTACTAAAAACACAAAAATTAGCCAGAAGTGGTGGCACGCGCCTGTTAATCCCAGCTACTTGGGAGGCTGAGGCATGAGAATCATTTGAACCTGGGAGGTGGAGGTTGCAGCGAGCCAAGATTGTACCACTGCACTCCACCCTGGGCAACAGAGTGAGACTCTGGCTCAAAAACAAACAAACAAACAAAACTAAATCCCTCAAAATCACCTTTGGAAAAAGGCACAGGCCTGTCTCCCAGGTAAGCATCCTTAATTTTGGCAAAATAAACTTGTAAATTGATTGAGACATGTCTCAGATACATTTTGGTTTACAGGCTCAGTGCAGATATTGGGAAAATAATGAATATTCTTAGGCTATGAGGGATGGAAGGATAAATTCTCATAATTATCAGCTCCAGCATTCCTTCTGTAGGAACAAACAATGGTAAGTAAAAATCTCACCTTCGTTATTTCACCTTTTTTTTAGGTTATGATGACTCCATTCAAACAACCTTCATAGTTCCTGGCAAAACAACTTTCTATCTTTCCCTTGGAAGTCAGTAGGACATGAATATATCATTTCTAATAGATGAAATAAAAATACTAGTAAACATTTGGAAAAATAGCAAGTCATCAAATAAATGAAAATTAAACTAGCATGAGTTTTTTGTTGTTGTTGTTGTTGTTTGAGACAGAGTCTCACTCTGTCACCCAGGCTCTGCACCCAGTGCAGTGGCTCTATCTCGGCTCACTGCAACCTCCGCCTCCCGGGTTCAAGCAATTCTCCTGCCTCAGCCTCCCAAGTAGCTGGGATTACAGGAATGCACCACCACGCCCAGCTAATTTTTGTATTTTTAGTAGAGACGGGGTTTCAGCATGTTGGCCATGATGGTCTTGATCTAACCTCATGATCTGCCCGCCTCGGCCTCCCAAAGTGCTGGGATTACAGGTGTGAGCCACTGCACCCGGTTATGTATAATTTTTATAGTCAGAAAAAACATACTTTAATTTTTAAGGAGTCATATGTATTTATATTAACCCTCATACATATAAGCACTGTAATTAGAAGAGTAAGTAGTACTGTAATTTAATAGTTTTGTTTGCTCAATGCACAGTGAGTCAGCATACAGAGACACCTGGCTGCAGCAAAGAAAGAGTTTAATAATCACAGGGCATCTGAATGAGGAGATGGGAAGAAGCCTCAAATCCACCTCCCTGAGAGGTTTGGGGGGCAGGGTTTTTAAGTCCTCTGGACAGGGGCTGCAGTGTGGGGATCGATGATTGGTCAAGAAGTGAAGGGCGAAGTCATGAGACAGGGAGACCAAGAAACCTCATTCTTGTGCTGAGTGGGTTCCTTGGTTGGGGACGTCAGAATTCAGGATCTGAAAAACAACCCGTTCTTGGGCAAAACGATCTTATGAGTCTAGCGTCAGAAATTCTTACTCATGGTAAGAACCATGGAGAAACAGGTAGGAGGTGGTCTAGCACGTGGAGTGATGTTCAGTGAGTTAGCAGCTGCAGGGAAGTGGGTCAAAGTACACTTGTGCACCCTGGATAACAGCTAACTATATATAATGCTGCCTAAAGCCTGGCTTGTAACTCTCCTTAATCCTGTGAGGGCAGTTTCCATTCTGTATTTGCTTAAAAAGATTAAGGTGGCCAGGCGCGGTGGCTCATGCCTGTAATCCCAGCACTTTGCGAGGCTGAGGTGGGTGGATCACTTGAAGCCAGGAGTTCAAGACCAGCCTGGCCAACATGGTGAAACCCTGTCTCTACTAAAAATACAAAAATTAGGCAGGCGCAGTGGCACATGCCTGTAATGCCAGCTACTTGTGAGGCTGAGGCAGGAGGATCACTTGAACCTGGGAAGCAGAGGTTGCAGCGAGCCGAGATCGCACCACTGCACTCCAGCCTGGGCGACAGTGAGACCCTGTCTCAAAAAAAAAAAAAAAAGGAAAAAGAAAGAAAAAGATTAAGGTGTGGGAGTGGGACAGACCCAGGCTACTTAATATTTTTCTGTAAAACAGCAGGGATAATAGTTTCTTTTCTTTCTTTTTTTTTGAGACAGGGTCTTGCTTTATCGTCTAGGCTGGAGTGCAGTGGCACGATGTTGGCTCACTGCAACCTCTGCCTCTCAGGTTCAGGCAATTCTCCTGTCTCAGCCTCCCAAGTAGCTGGGATTACAGGCGTGTGCCACCACGCCCGGCTAATTTTATATTTTTAGTAGAGATGGGGTTTCTCCATGTTGGTCAGGCTGGTCTCGAACTCCCAACCTCAGGTGATCTGCTCGCCTCGGCCTCCCAGTGTGCTGGAATTACAGGTGTGAGCCACCACGTCTGGCCAGGGATAATAGTTTGTAATTCACTGGGCGTTACGGTCCTGCAGGTAACATTGTTTTTCTTATTTATTTATTTATTTATTTAGTCAATTCTAGCAGTATCTTCTAACTTTTTTTGTTCGTGTTTTTTGAGACAGGGTCTCGCTTTGTCACCCAGGCTGGAGTGCAGTGGCGTGATCACGGCTCTCTGCAGCCTCTACCTCCTGGGCTCAAGTGATCCTCCTGCCTCAGCCTCCCGAGTAGCTGGGACTACAGCCGCTACCATGCCCGGCTAATTTTAAATTTGTTTTTTTTTTGCAGAGATGGGGTTTTGCCATGTTGCTCAGGCTGGTCTCGAACTCCTAGCTCAAAGCCTTGGCCTTCCAGGCGTGAGCTACCGCGCCGGGCCTGCTGAAGTTCTTGATATAGTTTCTGGCACATAGTATATGTTTAATAGATGTTTGTTGTTCTGATAATTTCAGTTATGTACCATTTACAGGCGTTTGTAACCTTTTTAGCTAACAAGTTGGGCATTTAGGGAACTGACTATAGAAAGCATTTCTCGGAAACGAGGACTGGTTCTGCGACGTCTTAACGAGGTGCGGGTGGCCAGTATTTTCCCCAACTTGAAAATCTGTGTAGAGGTGGGAGGGCAGTCTAGCCTCAGGCGGAATAGGAAAACTTCCTTATGCCTAATTTCAGTGTCAGTGTGTGGTATTTCCTACGCGGAACACCGCCCCAAACTAATGTCTACGTTTAACTCAACCGCGGTAAATTTCCTTCCATGGCACTATTAACTTGGCCCGGCCCACATGTCCCCTCCCGGTTGGTGTGAACGCTCCGAGGTTAGCTCAAACCTCGGCGATTTTCCCAGCTGATTGGCCGTGCAAATAGACAATCCTTTTGCTTTTCTGATTGGTCGCACATGGCATCGGGGGTGGGGGACGTGGGCGTGTCTCGCCAGAATTCGTTTAACTGTGATTTGAAGATGAACATGGTATTGCCAGAGCTTCATGGCGTCGCCTACGGCGCTCCCTCCCTCCCAGGCCCTTACTCTTCTTTGCATTGGCCAGATATGTCGTCACTCACAAAACTTCGAGCTCATTGGTGCAAAAGCTCCAGGAGGCGGTGGGTGATTGGTTGGTTGCTGTTCCTGCCCCCACGCCTGTCGTGGTTTAGCTGAACTGAGCTGAAATCCTAAAGGCCGCGGAGTCGGCGGTGTTGTAGGTAGCGGTACCTTGAGTGGCAACAGGTGAGTCTCCGGCTGCAGGGATGGGGCGGCAGCACTCAAGACCTGGCTGGATCTCCACTTCGTCTGCGGGCCAGAAACTGGAGGGCGGCGGTGGCTTTCGGAAAGGGATTGGGCTCCGCTGTTCCTTCTTCGCCCTCTGTAGGGCCGGAGCAGCGAGGAACCGAAGGAGGCTTCATAGGTTCCACGCAGGGCCCTCTCTTTGCTCTTCCAGGGGCGCACAAGTTGAGAAGGAGCGGCCTGGCAGCCGGGGCAAAAAAGGGGCGTCCTTCCCCGGGAGCCGGGCGTGCCTGGCTGCCGCGCACGCTCACCTGGGCCACCACGCTTGTTCGCGCCCTTGACGTCGTGCCGACGTTTCTCCCTAATGCACTTTTGGCGCTTGGGGCTGGGAGACTGAGCGTGCCAAAAAGGCCCTGTAGTCGGAGCCATCTTACCTTAGAGGGGTCTCCAGCGGCGCAGGGGTGTCAGGACCACGGGCGCCTGGGGCACATGAGTAGCAATAAGAGGAAAGAGAAGGGAGAGGGAGGTCAAGGTGGTGTGTCTGTGCGGTTGGCAGGGGGAATTGGGACTAGCTGCCTCAAGGGGCATCTGAGCGGGAAGTACCTTCCCTCCCCCAGCATGTTCCTGAAAAGTCTCCTCATCTGTGAGATTTGTTTTTCGAAACAAAAAAAAGGAATCTCTAGTTTTGTCGCCCGGCAAGATTTTGAGTGCTGCAATGCACTGGACTTTTATAGACCTATAATGGACTTTCTTTGAATGATTAAAACATTTATCATTCTTTGGTCACTTACGCCACATTTGTGAACAGGATAAATTCTGTGCTCGCTTTCTCTCATCCTAGAAAGGAATGTTGTGTACTTGGGCGTAATCCATGATATTAAGCTACTGCTGGCCACTGTTGAATTTCAGCGGTGAGGCCTGTGGAATTTGGTTACCTCCGCTCTGTGGTTACCAGAGTCCGAATGAATGGGAGATTGGCTATCCTCCTTGTGTCTTCCTCCTCCCCTGCCCAGGAGTAAAGCTTTCTTTGGTTAGCAATTTAAAAAGAAAATAAATCACAGTCTCTGGAACAAGGATGTATGTCTTTTTCTTTTTGAATTTTTTTTTGTTTTATTATTTTTAAAAATAGAGGCAGGGTCTCGCTATGTTGCCCAGGCTGGTCTTGTACTCCTGGCCTAAAGCAATCCTCCCTTGTCTTCTGTTATCTCAGTAAGCAAAAACTAAAGTGACCCTCTTGCCTCAGCCTCCCAAAGTGCTGGAATTACAGGGGTAAGCCACCCTGCCTGGTCTGAAGATCTTTACAGACTTCCAAGAGCTTAGTTAGAGGTGTAGACCCAGCACTGCTTGTAAGTCTTTACTTAGAATGTCAAGCTCACATTTCAAGTAGGCTGATCTCAAAGAGACTGTAAATTTCTGTAAGTTAGTCTGACTTTACTATTGACTTACTTTATATAACCTACCATGATTTCTACTGAAAAATAAAATATTGAACATTTATGCTGTTAGAAGTCAATATAGTGATTACCTTTTATGGAGTAATGACTGGGAGGAGGCACAAGGAGAATTGGTCTGATAATCATTTTTTTTTTTTTTTTTTTTTGAGATGGAGTCTCACTCTGTTGCCCTGGGCTGGAGTTCAGTGGCCCAATCTTGGCTCACTTCAACCTCCACCTCCCAGGTTCAAGTGATTCTTGTGCCTTAGCCTTCTGAGTAGCTGGGACTGCATGTGTGTGCCACTACACCTAGCTAATTTTTGTATTTTTAGTAGAGACGGGGTTTCACCATTTTGGCCAGGCTGGTCTCGAACTCTTGACCTCAGGTGATCCACCCACCTTGGTCTCCCAAAGTGTTGGGATTACAGGCATGAGCCACTGTGCCCAGCCTGATAAATCATCTTTTCTTGATTTGGTTACATAGGTGTGTTTGGTTCATGAAAATGTATTGAACTTTACAGTTATCATGTATGTTTATATCTGTATGTAAATTATACTTAAATAAAAAGTTCTAAGAACTGGTTGAGAGTAAGGTGATAGTTACAGCAATAGAACACTGGATACTGGCTGGGCCTGGTAGCTCACGCCTGTAATCCCAGCACTTTGGGAGGCTGAGGTGGGAAGATCACTTGAGCCCAGGGGTTCGAGATTAGCCTGGGAAATATAGTGAGACCTCATTTCCACAAAAAATACAAAAATTAGCTGAGCGAGGTGGCGTATGCCTGTGGTCGCAGCTGCTCCAGAGGCTGAGGTGGGAGGATTGTTTGAGATGGGGAGGTTGAGGTTGCAGTGAGCCGTGATTGTGCCACTGCACTCCAGCCTGGGTGACAGAGCGAGACCCTGTCTCAAAACAAAACAAAAAACTCAAACGAAAACTGGATGCTGTGGTGCCTCCTCAACTCTGCCAAGTTATCTCTCTTGGCAGTGAAGCTTCCCAACGCTGAATTTCTTTGCCTCTGAAATTTCTTAGGTTATTTCCAAGGTGTCTGCTAGCCATAAGGAACTACTACGTTTCCAAGGGATATTGTTGTTTAACCTGTCTTAAAGACTTTGTTTTATAGTGCATAAAATAAAAAGCTTCTCTGTTTCATAAATTCTCATTTCAGTAGAGTTTAGAATGAGGTATAGTTGTATTTGTTGTATCATTGCTTCTGTACTTGTTTTTTAAAAAAAATTAATTAATTAATTAATTTTTTGAGACAGTCTTGCTCTGTTGCCCAGACTAGAGTGCAGTGGCGTGGTCCTGGCTTACTGCAACCTCTGCCTCCCCAGGTTCAAGTGATTCCTATGCCTTAGCATCCTGAGTAGCTGGTACTACAGGCGTGCACCACCGTGCCCAGCTAATTTTTGTGTTTTTAGTAGAGACGGGGTTTCACCATGTTGGCCAGGCTGGTCTTGAACCCATGACCTCAGGTGATCCACCCACCTTGGCCTCCCAAAGTGCTGGGATTACAGGCGTGAGCTACCGCGCCTGGCCTTGTACTTCTGTACTAAATGACTAAAGGCTGCCACTGTCATAGCAGTGCTGAGGCTATGTTGCATATCCCACTTGGATGCTGCAGTGGAAAATAGAATTTTCTGGTAAGGCATGGAAAGGTTTAGTTGAGTTTCCCTTTGAAGACAAGACTCACTACTCATTGGCCAAAGTGTACCTAAAATTGTTGAATTTTTCCTGGGAGCCATTTCTAATTGACACTTGTATTTTCTGCGTGTTGCTTCTATATCTCTGCAGAGAACAATTATTTGGCTTGCTTTTCTTGTCATGTTACAGAATTCGATTAAATTACAATGGGAAACATTTTTGAAAAGCTCTTTAAAAGTCTACTTGGGAAAAAAAAGATGCGGATTCTTATATTGAGTTTGGATACAGCTGGAAAAACCACCATCTTGTATAAATTGAAGCTGGGGGAGACTGTGCCTGCCGTCCCTACAGTAGGTAAGTTAATGAAAGACCTGTGGCAATTCCAGTTTACAATTTAGTATGTTATATATATTTTTTAGGTTCTGTTTCACCAGAGAAATATGTTTTATTTTTACATGCTTCTTATGTTATTGAATAATTCTTTTTAAAAATCTTGTCTACTCCATGAGCATACATTTTTAGAGGCCAAAAACCAGGTTATATTATATATCCTTTTCTTTTTTTTTGACTCTGTCACCCAGGCTGGAGTGCAGTGGTACATCTCTGCTCACTGCAGTCTCAACTTCCTGGGCTCAAGTGATCCTTCCATCTCCCTCCTGAGTAGCTGGAACTACAGGCGTGCACCAGCATGCCCAGCTAATTTTTGTATTTTTAGTAGAGACGGGGTTTTGCCATGTTGCCTAGGCTGGTCTTGAACTCCTGGGCTCAAGCGATCCTCCCGCCATGGTTTCCCAAAGTGCTGGGATTACAGGCATGAGCCTCCGCGCCTGGCCAGGTTATGTATCCTTTTCTAGTGGCTTGCACATTCTTAGGTTCACAAGGGAGACATGTGAACACATGGAGGCTAAGCAAATTTAACCCCATTTGCTTGGCAAAAAAGAAAAAGATAATGGGCAAAACAGGGAGGGTAGTTCTGCCCCTCATTCCTCGCAGCTAGTGTCCCAGCAGAAGGCTGAGGTGGGAGCTGGGAATCTGCTGGTGCCTCCTCAGTCAGCCTCTGTTCCAGCTGGCCTTCCTTAGTGGCAGCATCTCATCTCTACACCAAGTACGCTCCCAGTGCTTAGAGATGGAGTGTGATTTCTTTTCTTCACTCTGGCTCAAACCAACTGCTTGAGATGATGTCCAACTAGAGAAATAGACAAGCTGGCTGCACTGCTCTTACTGTGAACCAGCACTGTGTTTTACGGGCTTGTTAAGAGATTTACAAAGCGAGTTTTGACAGAACTGAATCTTTGCCTTGTGAACTGCCTCTAGATCCAAACTTCTGACTGAGGACACACCCCACAGGTGGCATGTGAACATTACTACTGTTCTGTTCTGAATATTGAATTAGGCACAGGACTCAAATGATCAACTTTCTTTTTTTTTTTTTTTTGAGATAGAGTCTCGCTCTGTCACCCCAGGCTGAAGTACAGTGGCGCGATCTCGGCTCACTACAACCTCCGCCTCCTGGGTTCAGGCGATTCTCATGCCTCAGCCTCCTGAGTAGCTGGAATTACAGACGTTCACCACCATGCAAGGCTAATTTTTGTATTTGTGGTAGAGACAGGGTTTCACCATGTTGGGCAGGCTGGTCTGGAACTCCTGACCTCAAATGATCTGCCCGGCTAAGTGCTGGGATTACAGGCGTGAGCCACCGCACCTGGTCTCCAAATGATCAACTTTCAACTTGGGCAGTAGCTGCAGAGATTGCATCGATTGAGGAGTGGGAAACCGAGGAGAATGTTCGAGTTATGAGATGGTTGTGTGTAAGGTAGTAATTTGGTTAAATTTTTCAAATGGATAAGCCAGTGCTGCCCAGGAGGCACTTTCTGCAGTGATTAAAATGTTCTGTGTCTGTGCTGTTTAGTGTCGTAGCCAATAGCCATGTGACTGTTCATGTGCTTGAAATGTGGCTAATGCAACTGAGGAACTGAACTTTTTTGTTTTTTGAGATGGAATCTTGCTCTGTCACCCAGGCTGGAGTGCAGTGGCGCGATCTCAGATCACTGCAACATCCGCCCCCTGGGTTCAAGTCATTCTTCTGCCTCAGCATCCTGAGAAGCTGGGATTACAGGTGCACGCCACCACACCCGGCTAATTTTTGTATTATTAGTGGAGACGGAGTTTTACCCTGTTGGCCAGGCTGGTCTCGAACTCCTGACCTCGGGTGATCCGTCCACCTTGGCCCCCCAGAGTGTTGGGATTACAGGCATGAGCCACTGTGTCCAGCCGGGAACTGAACTTTTAATTGTATTTAACTTTAAGTTTATTTTTTATTTATTTTTATTTATTGATTGATTTTTGATTTTAACTTTAAGTTTAAATAGCCACGTTGCCAGGCGCAGTGGCTTATGCCTATAA
The DNA here is from genome assembly GCF_000001405.40 of Homo sapiens. Classification (NCBI taxonomy): domain Eukaryota; kingdom Metazoa; phylum Chordata; class Mammalia; order Primates; family Hominidae; genus Homo; species Homo sapiens. The sequence continues at coordinate 1,560,178 of NT_167251.2, read as the reverse complement.
TCCCAGCACTTTGGGAGGTTGAGGTGGGAAGATCACTTGAGACCAGGAGTTCGAGATCAGCCTGGCCAACGTGGTGAAACCCCATATCTACTAAAAATACAAAAATTAGTAGTGGCATGCACCTGTAATCCCAGCTACTCGGGAGGTTAAGGCAGGAGAATCACTTCAGCCCGGGAGGCACAGGTGGCAGTGAGCTGATATCGCACCATTGCACTTCAACCTAGGTTACAGAGCAAGACTGTGTCTCAAAAAATAAATAAATAGGCCGGGCATGGTGGCTCACGCCTGTAATCTCAGCACTTTGGGAGGCTGAGGCAGGCGGGTTACCTGAGGTCAGGAGTTCGAGACCAGCCTGGCCCCGTCTCTACTAAAATTGCAAAATGGGCGTGGTGGCAGGCGCCTGTAATCCCAGCTACTTGGGAGGCTGAGGCAGCAGAATCACTTGAATCCGGGAGGCGGAGGTTTCAGTGAGCCGAGATCGCACCATACACTCCAGCCTGGGTGACAAGAGCGAGACTCTGTCTCAAAAACAAAACAAAATAAAACAAAAACATAAACAAATAGTCACAAATGGCTAGTGACTATGTATTGGACGGTGCTGGGGTAGACAGTTGTTCAATGTCATTTATTGAATAATTTTTCCATGCTGATTTGAAATGCCTTCGTTACATACTAAATTCTCACTGGTATGTGTGTCTTTTTTTGGGCAAGTACCTGTTGCATTTATATTTGAACTCTATTCAAGTGTTACTAGGGCTTGGCATATCCTTAAAAATAATTCATTACTCATTTTCAGAGATTTCCTGGTTATGCTTACTTGTTTATTTCTCCAGGTTAAATTTTAGATAATTTTGCTAAGTTTCCTGCCCCTGCCCCTACCATCATTATAGGATTGGAATGGCATTGTATTTATTTATTTAGCAAGAATTTAGATTGTTGCAATGTAACGAGTGTCTCTCACTAAAATAAGGCATGACTAGAATTGAGGTTTGGAAGGTGAGCAGACCCAGCTTGCTTGGGTCTTGACAGTCATGTTTGGGATTTGGGTGTGGGAAGCCGCTAAGGGGACATCTTTCCTTCTTTTCCTTTCCTTCCTCCCTCCCTTCCTCCCTTTTCTGTCCTTTCCTTCCTCCCCTCCCCTCCCCTCCCATCTCTGTCTCTCTCTCTCTGTCTCTCTCTTCCTCTTTTCTTTCTTGGATGTTATTCTGTCATCCAGGCTGGGGTGCGGTGGTGTGATCTCAGCTCACTGCAATGTTTGCTTCAAGCAGTTCTCCTGTCTCAGCCTCCCAAGTAGCTGGGACTATAGGCACACGGCACCAATGCCTGGCTAATCTTTGTGTTTTTTTGTAGAGACAGGGTTTCACCATGTTGCCCAGGCTGGTCTCAAACTCCTGAGCTCAAAGCAATCTGCCCACCTCAGCCTCCCAAAGTGCTGGGGTTACAGGTGTGAGCTACTGTGCTCGGCCTATTCTTTCTTTTTTTTTTAATTTTTAATTTTATTTTTTGGGGCGATTATTCTTTCTTTTTTAAGTTTGAAAATATTCCAATCAAACATAAATGTGTAGAGAAATGACGTGACCACACTATGTGTTTTTAAGCTATTGCTTTGTTTAGAAGATGGTGACCGGATGGAGAGAGGGAGAGTGGCTGAGGTGAAATTAGTTATATGGTTTCAGGAATTGAGGCTAGAAATGATGGTCTGTTGGGTTAGGGTGACTATTAGTTGTTGAAGGGGTTGAATTGATAAGGTGTGGTAGTAGGGTTCTAGGGGTGCGAGCATCGGATGTTACCAGGGCACCTCTCAGGCTATCAGCTTGTGGAACGAAGTCAATGATGGGATAACTAGCAGAGGAGGAGGTTGGGGGTAGGGACCTTAAATTCCATTTTTTGACTGATCACCTTGTTTTGGGGCCTTGAAGACATTTGCCAAAGCTGTTAGATTATGAGCCTGAAGCTCAGGAGAGAGGGCTAGGTTGGGGGATATAAATCTCAGAGTTAGTACAGAGATAGGAATGAAGTCGTGGGAGTGAGTGAGATTGCCTAGGGAGGGGTGCAGAAAGAGGAGAGTGGATGGGGCCAGTGAGAGCCAGGGCGACTCCCATCATTGCAGGATCAGTTAAACGTGGCTGAGTTCACTAAGGAGACTGAGACAGTACAGCCATAGAGATAGAAGGAAAAGGGAAGCTGGGGAAGGGTGTCAAGGAGGGAGTGAGCAGTAGCGTCAGATAGAAGATCAAATTATGGAAGAACTGAGAAGGCCTGTGTTAGATTTATTGACCTGGTGATCACTGCTGACCTTACTGAAAACCAGCTACCCAATGGTGGAGCAGAGCTAAGGTGCTGTTGCGTGAGAGGACCAAAGAAAGCTTAGTGGACAGGTTGCTTGACCTCAGGAGTTTTAGACCAATCTGAGCAACATAGTGAGACCCTGTGTCTACAAAAAACTTTTTAAATTTAGCTAGGTATGGTGGCTCATGCTTATAGTTCTAGCTGCTTGGGAGGCTGAAGCAGGAGGATCCCTTGAGCACAGGAGTTTGAGGCTGCAGTGAGCTATGATTGTACCTCTGTGCTCCAGCCTGGCCAACACAGCAAGGCCCTGTCTCTTAAAAAAAAAAAAAGCAAATAGAGGGTGAAGATGTGAAGGAAGAGAGTGCGATGAAGATGTGGGGATCAAGGAAAGGTTTGTTTTGTTGTTTTTAAAGATGTAAAAGGCTTAAGCATGCCAAGGTGAACAGATTGGAGATATTCAGATATGGGAGAGAATAGGAATAGTAAAAAGTTCCAGACAGTCTGGGTAGGGTGGATCTGGCTCATAGAGGGAGGGAGTTGGTGGAAGAGAATTACCTTCTTCTGTTGTTCCAAGAGGGAGGAAGAAAAGCATGGGTAAAGATGTAGACTGGCTTTTACACTGTATGGTGGAAGTGGAAGTCATTCCCATCGGCGGCTTCTCTGCTCTGAAGTACACTGTGATAGTCTCCTGCTGAGAGAAAGGGCAGGTGCGTGGCTAGAGATTGGAGAGTAGAGAAGGTTTGAGACACCTGTCCTGATGAATGGGCGAGGGGGCCAGCACATTCTCTTTGAAGGCTATAGATCTTTGACTAGCAGGCTGCTTTGTAAATTAAAAGTACTGTCCGCATGTTGAAATTATTTTGAATTGTTCAACCAGCACAAATCATAATTAAATGTTTTCCCCATGTTTCATTTAGGTTTCTGTGTGGAGACAGTAGAATATAAAAATAACACCTTCGGTGTCTGGGATGTTGGCAGCCACTTCAAAATCAGACCTCTGTGGCAGCATTTTTTCCAGAACACAAAAGGTAAAGATTATTCGGTTTGTAGCCTCGATACTGTTTCTGTGAAATGTCTCTAAAGACGGATGCTTGAAGTGATACCTTCTGGTGCTCTGCTCTATTTACACTGTCAGCCATTTCCTCTCTTAGGGTCTCTTTATACTTACTGGGGAGGTTTCTTTTGTGAGACAGAGTCTTGCCCTGTTGCCCAGGCTGGAGTGCAGTGGTGTGATCTTGCCTCCCTGCAACCTCCGCCTCCCAGGTTCAAGTGGTTCTTCTGCCTCAGCCTCCCAAGTAGCTGGGGTTACAGGCATGCACCACCACGCCTGGCCAATTTTTGTATTTTTAGTAGAGATGGGGTTTCACCATGTTGGTCAGGCTGGTCTCGAACTTCTGATCTCAGGTGATTCGCTCACCTTGGCCTCCCAAAGTGCTGGGCTTATAGGCGTGAGCCACTGTGCCCAGCCCCCCTGTCTACTTTAAATCACTACTAGATTACTTCTTATGTCTACTAGCATGTAAATGCTATATAGTTAGACTGTATTATTTGTATTTTTTTTTTACTGTTGCGTTATTATTTTTATTTATTTACTTATTTATTTATTTTTTGAGACGGAGTTTCACTCTTGTTGCCTAGGCTGGAGTGCAATGGCGCGATCTCGGCTAACCACAACCTCCGCCTCCCGGGTTCAAGTGGTTCTCCTGCCTCAGCCTCCTGAGTAGCTGGGATTACAGGCATGCACCACCACGCCCGGCTAATTTTGTATTTTTAGTAGAGACGGGGTTTCTCCATGTTGGTCAGGCTGGTCTCGAACTCCCGACCTCAGGTGATCCACCCGCCTCGGCCTCCCAAAGTTCTGGGATTATAGGCGTGAGCCACCGTGTCCGGCCTGCGTTATTACTTTTTAATATTTTTGGTTCAAGGTGGGTTGAATCTGTGGATACAGAGGGCTGACTATAGTTTTTACACCCCGATTTTCATGTAAAATATTAACCATATGGAATCTACAAATTTCTCATTTTAGAATTTATTTGGAGTCTGTTTGTTTTGAAGATTCTCCTGCATGTACTTGATAGTAAAGACTTACATATTCGTCAGTCTTTCCAGATGAAATACCCAAGTCGACTGTCCCTTTATATTTTATATCATTGTTTTAGCTGTTACCTTTGGCAATTAACTCTATTTGCAGTTATCTTTTCCAGGCTATAGATTTTAGAATGTTTTTTCTCAAAGTAGTGCATTTATTTTTTTAACTTTTTTAGTGGAAAATCTAAAACAAATACAAAGACAGAGAGGATAACATAACGAACCCCCATGTACCCATCACCAAGCCTCAACAGTTATAAGCATTTTGCCCATCCCAGACATGATGCCTTTTATTCACATGTCCTTTAGTGTTCATTTCCAACTGATAAGGCATATATATATATATAAAATCTTCATGCTATTATAACATCTCCAAAATTAATAATAATTCTTTAATATCTAGCACCTAGTCCTTATTCTAATTTCTCCAGTTGTATCAAATGTATCCTGGCTGAGTGTGGTGGCTTACACCTGTAATCCCAGCACTTTGGGAAGCCAAGGCTGGTGGATCACCTGAGGTCAGGAGTTGGAGACCAGCCTGGCCAACATGGTGAAACCCTGTCTCTACTAAAAATATGCAAAAAAAATTAGCCAGGCTTGGTGGTGCATGCCTGTAATCCCAGCTACTCGGGAGGCTGAGACAGGAGATTCTCTTGAACCCAGGAGGCGGAGGTTGCAGTGAGCCGAGATTGCGCCATTGCACCCCAGCCTGGGCGACAGGGCGAGACTCCATCTCAAAAAAAAAAAAAAAAAGAGAAAAAAAAAGTATCCTTTCTACATCTTTTCTACATCTGCTTTGTTTGCATCTGGATCAGAGTTCGCACAGTGCATTTTGTTGTTTTGCCTCTTTAGTCTTTTATTCTACAGCAGTTGTTCTTTTTCTATGCCTTTTTTTTTCCTTTTTTTTTTTTGAGACAGGGTCTCGTGCAGTGGCACAATCTTGGCTCACTGTAACCTCTGCCTCCTGGAGTCAAGCGATTGTCTGACTTCAGCCTCCCAGGTAGCTGGGACCACAGGTGCATACCATCACACCTAGCAAATTTTTTTGTACTTTTTATAGAGATGGATTTTCACCATGTTGCCCAATCTGGTCTCAAACTCCTGGGCTCAAGCATCTGCCCACCTTGGCCTCCCAAAGTGCTGAGACCATAGTGTGAGCCACCTCGCCTGGCCTCCCCCCCCCTTTTTTTTTTTTTTTTTAACTGCTTATTCCACATTCTGGATTTGGTTGATTACTTTATTATAGTGCCATCTAACTTGCTTGGCTATCTGTGGATTTCCTGTGAACTGGTTGTTTATTCTAGAGACTTGATTAGATTTTGGTTCATTTCAGGGGCAAGAATACTTCATAAGTATTCTTCCTATCCTAACACAGAAGTTCGGTTGTCAAACTTAGACATTTTTAAAAAAATTTTTATTGTGGCAAAGTATATATAATATAAAATTTACAAGTTTATTCTTAAGTGTACAATTCAGTGGCATTAAGTACATTCACCGTGTTTTACAACCATCACCACTGTCCAGTTCCACAATTTTTTCATCATCCCCAACAGAAACTTTGTATCCATTAGCAATAACTGCCCATTCTCTTCTCCCCCACCCCTCATTAGCCTTTATTCTATCCTCTGTCTATGAATTTGCCTATTCAGTGGAATTGTATATTAGTCTTTGGAAGTTTAGCTGCCTGGCCTCTTTCACTTAGTACAATGTTTTCAAGGTTCATCTATGCTGTAGTATGTATCAGAACTTAATTCCTTTTATGGCTGAATGATATTCTATTTTATGGATATACCACATTTTGTTTATCCATTCATCTATCGATGGACTCTTGAGTTGCTTCTGCTTTTTGTCTATTATGAATAGTGTTGCTATGAAGATTCATGTCCAAGTATCTGTTTGAGTCCCTGCTTTGAGTTCTTTGGGTATATGCCTAGAAGTGGAATTGCTGGGTAACTATGTTTTCTTTTCTTTTTTTTTTTTTTTGAGACGGAGTCTCCCTCTATTGGCCAGGCTGGAGTGCAGTGGTGCAGTCTCGGCTCACTGCAACCCCAGCCTCCTGGGTTCAAGTGATTCTCCTGCCTTAGCCTCCCGAGTAGCTGGGACTATAGGCGTGAGCCACCACGTCCGGCTAGTTTTTTTGTATTTTTAGTAGAGACAGGGTTTCACCATATTGACCAGGCCAGTCTCGAACTCCTGACCTTGTGGTCCACCCGCCTCGGCCTCCCAAGGTGCTGGGATTACAGGCATGAGCCACTGCACCCGGCCTCATTTTTTTTTATTGTGGTAAAATACACATAACTTAAAATTTAGCATCTTAACAATTTGTTTTGTTTTGTTTTGTGGTAGTGATGTTTTTGTGAGATGAGGTCTCTATATGTTACTCAGACTGGTCTCGAACTCATGGGCTCAAGTGGTTCTCCTACCTCAGCCTCCTGCATAACTGGGACTACAGGTGTGCAACACTGCACCCAGCTCTATCTTAAACATTTTTAAGTGTATAGTCAGTCATAATATTCTGCAACCATCACCACCATTCATTTCTGTAACTATTTTCATCTTGTAAAACCAAAACTTTGTGCCCATAAACTATAACTTCTGTTCTTCCCCCACCCTCTCCCCTTCCTCCCTGGCAGCCACCAGGTTGTCACATTTTTAATGATGCCAAATGGTTTCAGATGGTATCAGCCTAATTCCCCTGAATTAAAATTCTCCATCAACTTTTCACCTAATCGTTTTAGCATCCATTGAAAACTGTTGCCTAGACCCATTATTTTATTAGAAGTCACAAAATGGTGATTTCTCCCCCCTCCTAAATCTTGTTATTCCTCTGCATTTATTAGCTAAAATCCTTCTAAACAAAGAATTCCCTCATCAAATATTTGGTTTCCCTGAAATATAGTTTGTAGAAGAAAGGCTGGAAAAATGCTTTATTCTTTTCCTTCATGGATTTTCAGAAAAACCACTGGATGCCCCGCAACTTCCATGGTGACTCTTAGATGTTTGTATCTTCGTGTTTTGATCTGCAGATTATGTATTTTTTTGATACTCAGAGTGTCCATTTATCTTGGACTGGCACTTGACAAATTGGCAAACTCTTGCAGTTTCTTAACTGTAATAAAACTAGAACACATGGGTTTGAACCACAGCTCTGTGGTGAAACCTTGAGAGAGTTAGGTAATCTCGTCTGTCTCAATTTCCTCATCTTAAAATGGAGATAATACTTACTGCCTGCATCACTGGGCTTAAATTACTTATGTAAAATGCTTCATTTCGTGGCTGGATGACAGTAGGCACTCAAAAGCCCAAATTGTTTGAGGTTTCACTTCATCATTTCTCTGGCAGAATTCTTTTTTCTTACCCTACTGGGAGTTTCCACATTCAAATACCAAGATGAAATAAATACCTTTATTTCTTCAATCTTCTCTTCATAACAAGCCTAATTTTACTGAGTTTTGGTAGCTATTGTTTTTGATGGTAGGGAGCTGGCTGTACTCTAGGACCTTGGGGTGGGAAATTTGGACTTTTCATAAAATAGCAGTTGGGAGCTGCTGGAAGAATGGACGTGCCGTGAGTGGTCTTGGATGCAGCCCCTATTTTTTCTGCCAGTTTCTAAAGATCAGGCTGTCTTTTAGTTCAAATTTTTTTCATCAGTATGTTGAGTATGACAGAACTTAATGCTTTTAGCTCTCTATTAAGACATTTAACTGTGTAGGTTTCACTTGTATAGATTGGAATTTGAACAGTTTCTGATTTCTTTTTTATTTTTTTGAGACGGAGTCTCGCTTTGTCGCCAGGCTGGAGTGCAGTGGCGCAATCTCGGCTCGCTGCAACCTCCACCTCCCAGGTTCAAGCGATTCTCCTGCTTCAGCCGCCCAAGTAGCTGGGACTACAGGTGCGCGCCATGCCCAGCTAATTTTTGTATTTTTAGTAGAGATGGGGTTTTACCATGTTGGCCAGGATGGTCTTGGATCTCTTGACCTTGTGATCCGCCCGCCTTGGCCTCCCAAAGTGCTGGGATTATAGGCGTGTATCACCGCGTTTTTTGTTGTTGTTGTTGTTTTTTGAGGCGGAGTCTTGCTGTCACCCAGGCTGGAGTGAAGTGGTGTGATCTCGGCTCACTGCAACCTCCACCTCCTGGGTCAAGCAATTCTCCTGCCTCAGCCTCCCGAGTAGCTGGGATTACAGGTGCCCGTCACCATGCCTGGCTAATTTGTTTATATTTTCAGTAGAGATGGGGTTTCACCACGTTTGCCAGGCTAGTCTTAAACTCCTGACCTCAAGTGATTTGCCCGCCTCGGCCTCCCAAAGTGCTGGGATTACAGACGTGAGCCACTGTGCCCGGCCGTGATTTCTTAATTGATATTTTTATAGACGGCGTAAGATGGTCCATTAGTTATTAGGGATAAATATTTTTCTCCTTGATTGTAGGTTCAGTTATTTTAATTTGTTGAATTGCAGCGTATCTGTCTGGTTCAAAATTCGAAAGTAAGGAAAGGTGTATACTCATCCTTTGGTATCTGTGGGGGATTAGTTCCAGGACCTCCCATAGATACCAAAATCCTTGGATATTCAAGGCTTTGATATAAAATGGTGTAGTATTGGCATAAAACCTATGCATGGTGCCATCTTGGCTCACTGCAACCTCCGCCTCCTGGGTTCAAGCAATGCTCCTGCCTCAGCCTCCCTAATAGCTGGGATTACAGGCACCTGCCACCATGCCCAGCTAATTTGATATTTTTAGTAGACGCGGGGTTTCACCATGTTGTCAAGGCTGATCTCAAACTCCTGACCTCACGTGATCCACCCGCCTCGGCCTCCCAAAGTGCTGGGATTACAGGCGTGAGCCACCGCGCCCAGCTGTCTCATAGTTTTAGACACTGTCTGTTGCCTTCCTGGTAAACCTGGCAAGGACTTAGCTCTTTTACACCCTAGCCCTGTCCATTCTTGAGGTTTGGGTTTGCCACAATTTGTAGAAAATGAACAGTGTTTACAGAATTGTGACTATATAAATATTATTCACCACAGAGCTTAATAATGTGCTGTGAGGTCAGGCATGGTGGCTCACGCCTGTAATCCCAGCACTTCGGGAGGCCAAGGTGGGCGGATCACCTGAGGTCGGGAGTTCAAGACCAACCTGGCCAACATGGAGAAACCCCATCTCTACTAAAAATACAAAAATTAGCCGGGTGTGGTGGTGCCCCCCTGTAGTCTCAGCTACTTGGGAGGCTGAGGCAGAGAATCACTTGAACCTGGGAGGTGGAGGTTGCAGTGAGCCGAGATCATGCCACTGCACTCCAGCCTGGGCAACAGAGTGAGACTCTATCTCAAAATATAATAAAATAAAAATAAAATACACTCTGATGATGGCTGCTTCCCCCAAGGGTGCCTCAAGCTCTCTCCTTTTCTTTCAGTGCCATCTGCCATTATCGTGCCCTCGTTCTCTTCCAGTGCTCTGGCGGAGCAGGTGGCGCCCAGGCCCACAGTGCCCTCTCCAAGTTCTGTCCTCCATGTGCTCAAGTTATCCCCTAAACTTGTCACATGGGTCATCCTGGAACTTTGCTTAACTGCTTCCTGGGTTGGGGCCTTTATTTCCTGGCTCCCTTCTCTTCTTGCTTAATTTCCCCTCCCTTTGCTGCAGCACATACCCAGTTAATCCCTTTCTAACATTAAAAAAAGAAAAAGAGAATAGTTCTTGGACCTCCTCATGATAGAAATTATATCTTTAGGCCGGGTGTGGTGGCTCACTTGTGTAATCCCAGCAGTTTGGGAGGCCGAGGCAGGTGGATCACTTGAGCTCAGGAGTTCAAAACCAGCCTGAGCAACATGGTAAAACCCTATCTCTACAAAAAGTACAAAAATTAGCCAGGTGTGGTTGCATGTACCTGCAATCCCAGCTACTCAGGAAGCTGAGGGAGGAGAATCTCTTGAACCCAGGAGGTGGAGGTTGCAATGAGCTCTGATCATGCCACTGCACTCCAGCCTGGGTGACAGAGTGAGACCCTGTCTCAAAAAAAACAAAATAAAGTTGTATCTTTAATATCCATTAACTGAAAAATAAAAATAAAAATAAGGACCAAAAATTACTATGTGGACACACATGCTTTTAAATGAATTTGTGTGTTATTAACCACAGTAACATCTATGAACTTGTGAAAAACTGTTACTGGTTTAGGCTTAAGGGTTTGCCCAGTCTAGCTTCAATGTTCAATGGGTGGGCATGGTGGCTCACACTTTGGGAGGTGGCCAAGGCAGGCAGATCGCTTAGTCCAGGAGTTGGAGACCAGCCTGAGCCACATAGTGAAACCCTATCTCTACAAAAAATTTAAAAATTAGCTGTGTGCGGTCACGCGCACCTGTAGTCCCAGATATTGGAGGGCAGTGGGGGGTGGCGCTGAGGTGGGAGGATCACTCGAGGCCAGAAGGTCAAGGCTGCAGTGAGCCGAGGCTGAGTCACTGCCTGGGTGGCACAGCAAAACTCTGTCAAAAAAACAAACCAAAACAAAACAAAACAGACAAACAAGAACCAAAGTTGGATGCAGTGGCTCATATCTGTAATCCCAACAACTCGGAAGGCTCAGGCAGGAGGATTGCTTGAGGCCAGGAGTTCAAGGCCAGCCTGGGCAACATACTGAGACCCTCGCCTCTGAAAAAATTAAATATTAATAAAAACAAACCCTAGTAGCTTCAGTCTTTGATTCTCCATCCCTCATTTCATCCCTTTGTCTTCTGGTAATAGAATTTCCTTCTTGTTTTTCTTTTGGGATGAGCCACCTTCGCTCCCTGGGATTCTGCTGGGATTGAGTTACCGCCTTCCGGGCTCAAGCGATCCTCCCACCTCAGCCTCCCAAGTCGCTAAGACCATAGGTGCATGCCACCATGCCTGGCTAATGTTTTGTATTTTCTGTAGAGCCGGCGTTTTGCCCTGTTGCCCAGGAGTTTTTCCTTTAATGTTCTCCTGCTACTTACTAATTCACTTTGTCACCCTGTGAGCTCATAAGAGCAGAGAGATAGCAACAGGAGCTAAAAAAACTCTAAGCTGTGAAAAAATATTAAATATGAAATCATGATAGCTATTAGCTTAATTTGTTTTAGGCAAATTGCAAAGTAATTTTTTGGGAATCAGTGTCCCACTGCAGTGATTCCATATGGGGATTCCTAATTCCCAGTATGTTTTTAAAATAATTTGTAAACACCTAGTACAAACGCATGATATGAAATTCAAGAGGTACAAAAGGGCATACAGCCCTGCACTCTCCCAGTTTCCCTCCCGGAAGGCAACCGCCATTACCAGTTTCTCGTGTGTGCTTCCAGAGGTATTCTTGTCCAACAGAACTTCAGTGATGAAAACAGTTGCCTGTGCTGCCAGTTTGGAAGCCATTAGCCACACGGGGCAGTTGAGCACTTGATATGTGGCTAGTGTGTCTTAGCAGCTGACTTTAAAAATTTTTTTTTTTTTGTTAAAGACTCAGCGTCTTGCTCTGTTTACCAGACTGGACTGCAGTGATGTGTGAACATGGCCTCAAACTCCTATTTATTTATTTTTTGAGACAGGGCCTCACTCTGTTGTCCAGGCTGGAGTGCAGTGGTGCAGTCATAGGTCACTGCAACCTTGACCTCCTGGGCTCAAGAAATCCTCCCACCTCAGCCTCCTAAGTTGCTGGGACTACAGATGAATGCCACCATGTTTGGCTGATTTTTACAATTTTAAATTTTTTGCCTGGGCGCAGTGGCTCATGCCTGTAATCTCAGCACTTTGGGAGGCTGAGGCGGGCAGATCACCTGAGGTCAGGAGTTCAAGACCAGCCTGGCCAACATGGCAAAACCTTGTCTCTACCAAAAATACAAAAATTTGCTGGGTATGGTGGTGCGTGCCTGTAGTCCCAGCTACTTGGAGGCTGAGGCACGATAATCGCTTGAACCCAGGAGGCAGATGTTGTAATAAGCTGAGACTGCGCCACTGCACTCCAGCCTGGGTGACAGAGTGAGACCCGTCTCAAAAAAAATAAAAATAAATAAATAAATAAATTTTTTGTAGAAAAGGGGCTTCACTATGTTGCCCAGGGTGTTCTTGAACTATTGGCCTCAAGCTATCCTCCCACTTGGCCTCCCAAAGTGCTAGGATTACAGGCATGAGCCACTGTGGCCAACCTAAATTTATATGTAAATAGCCATATGTGGCTAGTGGCTACTGTATCAGACCTCACAGTTCTGTACAGATAACGCACAGCGCACAGTAGCATACTATACACGCCCTACTAAATCTTGCTTTGTTCCCTTAACAGCACCTATGCATCTTGGAGATAGATTGTCCCAGTCTGCCTCATTTTTAAAAACTGCTGCATAATATCCTCTTGTAATCCACAAAGGGAATCCCAGACCCAGCCTGGGGGGCCATGGGTCATCACTTTTTACAACAAGCTCTAAAATCTTCCACATGTACCATAATCAAGGCACTTCAGAACAACCCTAGGTTCCTCATGCCTCTACTTTTATTAGCCTGGGCCTGACATAGTTGGACATTGAATAGTCACTTCTGGGGGCTGGTGGAAATAATTTACCATGAGTGACTGCCCTAAAGTATACTCTCCACCCACGTGGCCCGTGCCTGGCATTCACTAGTGCTGGTGGCATTCTTTAAGGTTGCTCATATCTCTAAGTGGTTCTCCTTTAAAGAGCAAAGTCTCCTGGGGAAGGTGGTCATTAAGCAGAACATCTGGGGCTCATCTTGCTTTTGCCCTGTTGAGAGGGGCCAAGGGACTTGGTAGAGCAGCAGGGGCTCTGACGGTGAACCTCATTGTTTTTAAAATTATTCATAAGAGGCCAGGTGCATTGGCTCACACCTGTAGTCCCAGGACTTTGAGGAGCAGAGGCAGGAGGATCATTTGAGTCCAGGAGTTCAAGATTAGACTGAGCAACACGGGGAGACCTCATCTCTACAAAAAATTTAAAAGAAAATTAATTGGGCATCGTGGCACGAGCCTGTGGTTCCCGCTACTCGGGAGGCTGAGGTGGGAGGATCACCTGAGCCCAGGAGGTTGAGACTTGCAGTGAGCTGAGTTCACACCACTGCACTCGAGCCTTGATGACAGAATGAGACTGTCTCAAAAAAAAAAAAAAAAAAAAAAATTGTCCTTAAGTCCATGTGGACCCCTGACTAGGTTTGTGCCCTAGACAGCCTTCCTCTGAGGGCAGTTCAGGTGGTGAGACTCCAGCTTTAAATGGCCTCTAGAGAAATTTCACTAACCTGCCTTGGTGTTTGACCCTGTATAACCCCTTTCTTCTGGAGGTCCCTTTGGGTGGCAGTAGATACGGGATTTGGTGTCTGACAGCTCTGGGGACAGATCCCAGCTCCAAATGGCAGAGTCTCTACAGATTACAAGCCAAATACTTAGCACTATGTGCTGATCTTCAGGAAGTCAGTCTATATTTCATAACAAGTCACATGGGGATAATGAAGGAATGGCCTAAAATGCTCTCAGTAATATTCCTGAGTCATCCCTCAGGGCTAGGCTTGGTGTTAGGCATGGCGGGGAAGGGAGCAGAGCTGTGTGCAGAGGAAGATGCAGTTCTTGCCTTGTCAGGGTCCCTGACCTGATGGCGACCCATGGTGGAGTCTTCATAGTGACAGACACCACTGTAAAAGCAGATCCAGGTTGTGCAACCCTCAAAGCAGGTCTCCTCACTCACCGGGATAGATAGACTATTGGCCGTACCTGCATCCACCGCTTGCCATGGTTTCGTTGTGGGTGGAGGATACTTTCCTGTCCCCTGGCTTTGGGTTTGCCCACGTGGCTTGCTCTGGCCTTGGAATGAAGCAGAAACGAAAGGCTGCCAGTTCCGAGCCCACGTCTGAAGTCGCCTTAGGTGGTTCCGCGGGCCCCGTGCGCTCCCACCTTCACCCAGAGGGCCTTCTCTGGTGCAGCCGCTGCTTCTTCAGCCTCCGCCCAAAAGGAACGGAGCCCCCTGGCCGATCCGCAGGCCTACAGGGAGCCACAGAGCGCAGCGGCTGGACCAGCGTTCAAGCCCAAGCACAGGCCTGCGAGAACCTTGTTCCAGCCGCCGTTTAGGATGGTTGATTAGGACGCGTTGCAGTGGCGGTAGCTCACCAATCCAGTGCGTGCACCCGCTCCTTTATTAGGCTATAGAGCCAGTGGCTCCCACAGGGACCTGATACAACAGTGCGTTAAATAAGGAGCATATTGAGCTCTCATGTCGTAAGCCAGTGGAGAAGTCCAGGGCTAGTGTGGGGGCTCCGGCGGGGGCTGTGGCCCCCATCCGCATGGAGCCTCCCCATGGTTCACAGGTCTCAGTCTTCGGAGCCTTCGGCCCTGCGAGCCCGAACAGTCCACAGGGCGGCGCCAGACCCTCTTTCGAACGCCATCCTCTAAAGCCTCGGCTCCAACCGGTTCCACTTCTTCAGGCTCAGGATTTTCACTCTTCTCGAATGGGGGTGGCCCTCCCCCAATCTTCTGAGTCGCAACAGCATCTCCCTCCCTCCAGGACCTCAGAGCCAGAGCTGGGCGAGAGGCCCTGACCTCCGGGGTAGGGTGGAAGCGTCCCTGTGAAGGTGCAGTCCTGCCTCCCATCCCCAGGCGCCGGGCCTCTCCCACCCTCAGCGCCCTGCTCACCTCCAGCTGAAGATGCCAGGGCACCTCTGCTTCCTCCCTGCCCTCTCTGCAGTACCGCCGAGTGTGCATAAAAGGGTTTAATATAGGCTTTGCCGGGCGCGGGGACTCCCACCTGTAATCCCAGTACGTTGAGAGACCAAGGCGGGAGGATCACTTGAGGCCAGGAGTTCAAAACCAGCCTGGGCAACAAAGTGAGGCCCGTCTCTGAAAAAAAAAAAAAAAAAAAAAAAAGAATAAAAGAGGTCCCTTTTTCTGGGAGATTGATATAGGGGAGTGTGAGTTAGAAGGGAGGCATCGAGGATCAGTCATTTAAAGCAGCATCCAAGGGTGTTCAAGGCTAGAGATCCACAGGTGTATTTTCAGAAACTGAATTTCCTGGCGGGGCACAGTGACTCATGCCTGTAATCCCAGCACTTTGGGAGGCCAAGGTGAGCGGATCACTTGAGGTCAGGAGTTCAAGACTAGCCTGGCCAACATGGTGAAACTGTTTTTAGAAAAAAAAAAAAAAAAAAATTGGCCGGGCATGGTGGTGGGTGCCTGTAATCCCAGCTATTCGGGAGGCTGAGGCAGGAGAATCACTTGAACCTGGAAGGCAGAGGTTGCAGTCAACCGAGATCACGCTGCTGCACTCCAGCCTGGGTGACAGAGACTGTCTCCAAAAACAAACAAACAAACAAAACACAAAAAAAACCCCAAAACCCAAAACAAGCCAGGCGCGGTAGCTCGCACCTGTAATCTCAGCCCTTTGGGAGGCCAGGGCGGGTGGATTACCTGAGGTCAGGAGTTCGAGACCAGCCTGACCAACATGGTGAAACCCCATCTCTACTAAAAATACAAAAATTAGCCGGGCATGGTGGTGCATGCCTGTAACCCCAGCTACTAGGGAGGCTGAGGCAGGAGACTTGCTTGAACCCAGGAGGCGGAGGATGCAGTGAGCTGAGATCGTGCCATTGCATTCCAGACTGAGCAACAAGAGCAAAACTCCACCTTAAAAGAAAAAAAAACAAACAAAACTCCTGAATTTCCCTGTGGATACCTTTTCTCTGGCAGCCTTTTTCAATGAGGGCTAAGTTTTCTCCAATACTATATGGCCTGCAGACCGCTCAGCTTTCATTCCAGTGAAAACATTCCAGAAAAAACTCTGAATCAATCCCAGGTGTTTCTCCAATCAGCTCAGGATGATTGTGTGTTACCTGCTGCCCAGCCAGTGACACCTCTCCAGGCCTCTGACTTAGCTAGGTCTCCACCATGTGACTCCACCATAGACTCCCCACCTTCTTCTTTTGCAAAGCCTCAGACACCCAAACACCTACCAAAAGTGGGTAGGGCACCAGGACACTCCAAGTGTAAGTGGGGCTCTCCAGCACACCTGGATGTGGAGGTGTGATGCAGAGTGGTGGCTGCTCGTGACACTCATTTCACCCCTTTCTGTGCAGGTGCCAGAAGCCCAGGAAGCACACATCAAGGCTCACTTGCCAGCGGGGTGCTGCCAATAAAATGTAGTCACGTGGAATTTGGAATGTGGAAAGGAGGTAGAAGTCATCCTTTCCTCCCCCATAGCAGCAGGTGTGCAGGCTCTGGTGGTCAGCTGGACTCCATACTCCCCCACCAGTCACCAGCCTGGGGACCGTGGGGCTGCAAGGACCTCAGCAGCGGTTTCCCAAGTTTCCTGACTTCTTCCATCCTCTGGAAATCAGCTGTGGTAAAGTAGCCTGAAAGCCAGTGGTGCAACCCCATCCCCACAACCTTCACCACCTCTGGCACCTCCAGTGATAAGCACTAATTGCCTGTATACAACCCTTTTTTGTTTGAAATATCTAGAGTAATTTCTGTTTTCCTATCTGGGGTAGTGTAACATAAGAAGAAATATATATTTGGTCTCTGCCCCCAGTTCCTAACACAAAGCTCCTAAAACCCTTGGAAATTCCTGAATGATGGCGGTGCTAAGAGCATTGTCCTTTGTTAATTTATCATTTTTCTTTTCTCCTAGGTGTTTTTTCCTTTTTAAACTTTTCTTTTAGGTTAGGGGGTACATATGCACGTTCGTTATATAGCTAAACTTGTGTCATGGGGGTTTGTTGTACAGATTATTTCATCACCCAGGTACCAAGCCTAGTACCCAATAGTTTTTTCTGCTCCTCTCCCTCCTCCCACCCTCCACCCTCAGGTAGGGCCCAGTGTCTGTTGTTTATGAGTTCTCATCATTTTGCTCCCACTTAAAAGAACATACAGTATTTGGTTTTCTGTTCCTGTCTTAGTTTGCTGAGGATAATGGCCTCTAGCTCCATCTGTGTTCCTGCAAAAGACATGATCTCGCTGTTTTTTATGGTTGCACATCTTTTGTTCTAACATTTGGTCCTTAAACCTGGTTCCTGACACAGAGCTCCTAAATCCCTTGGAATTTTCTGGGTGATAGAAGCGTCCTTTGTTCTCATGAGGTGACTCTTGGTGGGCTCCTTATTTGGGGACTGGTCACCAAAAAGACCTATGGTTGGAAGCGTTGTGCTGT
This sequence comes from Homo sapiens, assembly GCF_000001405.40. Lineage (NCBI taxonomy): Eukaryota > Metazoa > Chordata > Mammalia > Primates > Hominidae > Homo > Homo sapiens. Next base: position 1,542,664 of record NT_167251.2, on the reverse strand, counting down.
CAGCCCCATTCCCCATCCTCTGGCGTGGGGAGTAGAGCTGGAGCTCAATCATGCCTATGTGATAAAGCCTCCAGAAAACTCCTTAAAAGACAGGACTTGGAGAGCTTCCGGGTTGGCGAACACATCCATGTTCCAGGAGAGTGGTGCACCCCAACTCCACAAGGACCCTTCCAAACCTCACCCTGTGTATCTCTTCAACTGGCTTCATCATTTGTGTCCTTTAAAATATCCTTTGTAATAAATCAGCACTAGTAAGAAAACTGTTTTCCTGGGTTCCATGAGCTGTTCTAGCAAATGTTCAAACCTGAGGAGGGAGTTGTGGGGACCTCCAATTTACAGCCAGTTGGTCAGATGCATAGGTGATGCTTGGCCTTGCACCTGGGGTCTGACATGCGGATGGTCCTGTGTGACTGAGCCCTTAACCTGTGGAGTCTGGTGCTCACTCTGCTTAGGGCTTCTCTTGCCTTTTTAGTGTCCTTCTAGGCGGCCTTTCCTTCCTCTTGTCAGCTCAGAAAACTTTTCTTCCACTTCCCTTCTTCTAAACCATCCCTTACATCTACTCCTTTCCAGCCGACCAAGAGCAGAACCACGGCTGGTTCCACTGCCACCATGCTGTCCCACACTGTCTCCTCAGGATGTATTCAGATGTCCAGCCCTCCCCCCAGTCTAGGAGCCCCCCCTTTGAGGAAAGGGATGCTGGCCTAGTCAACTCTTTCCCAGCACCAGGTACAGCATCTGGCACGTTCCATCTTTTTCATGGACTCTCCCCAGGCGGCCTGACCTTCCCTCCTCTGAACCGGTGCATTTCTTGTCTGCATCATGTTTGCCCTAATCAGATATCACCTTATTTCCTCTTTTAAAAAATGCTTTTTTTCTCTGGCAGGCTTCATCGGAATCACAATTTTCATTCATTTAGTAACTGTTGTTGTTTATTCTATGTATTTTTGCAGGAGGCCTGAGGTGGGCTGTGTTCTCCTCCTATGGCAGGGCTTCACTCTCCTCCTCCTCCGTTGGGGCTTCGCTGTCCCTGGGATAAGAATAACAATGCCAAGGTTTTCATTCTTGAAAGGAGCAATTAAGCTTCTCACCCCCTCCTCATTTTAGATGGGAACTGTGAGGGCCCCATCATTTACCCAGGGTCCCTGTTGAGGATCTTGTCCTCATTAGATGACTTCTTGTGCAGCTTCCATGCATGATTATTTATTCTTGTGGCACTGAGAGGTTTGTACATATCTTTAAACCAGAGCGGCTGTCCAAATGAGGAAAGTCCATCCTAGAAGATAGAAAGGGAAATATTAATTTTGCATGTCCTCTGCTTTCCCTGGCCACAGCAATGAATCCTCCAATGTACCTGACTCTCCCTTCGCGAAGAGCATCCCCTCCGTGGCAGAAATCTGAAAATGCCCCTGGGGAGACACATGCACAAGACAGTGAGTGATGCAGCCGTTTCCCACGTATCTCACAATGTACTTCTCTGGTCTTATTAGGACTAAATGAGTATCTCAGTCCATAATCACAGGGAGAACCACCACCACAGACCACATACCCGGGGTCTTGAAAATAATTCCATGCATGTGGGACTTTCAGAAGCTCTCCATGTCTGCCCAGAAGGGCCCCACAATATACTGGGGGGACTTTGTATGTGGCTCAGCATGGAGCAGGGGCAGGATTTTCAGTCCCACTCACTCCCTTGGCCAAGTGCCCTTGTGCAGTGAACAAACTGCACAACCATGCTGGGCAGAAGCATTTTATATCAGTCCCCTTCGGACTTAGTCTCACAGGCATCATTTGATGGGGGATGGGAGATGAAGTGGTTCTTCGTTTTCTAGATACTTTATTCTATAAGTTGGATCACCTCAAGCAAATGCGTGAGTGCAGCTAGCCAAGTTCTCTATCTCACAGTCTTCATATGGCTGGCTGTCGCTGATGAGTGAGTGAGCTACGAAATCAGCTTAAAGCACAACATGTTATTTTTGAATTTGAATAAAATAGGAAAAGGCAGAGTGCATTGTGTGACCATGGGGTAAGTAAGACACTCTCCCTTTCTCCTTCTCAGTTTTCCTGTCATAAAAGGACAAACTACTATCTAAGGTCTCCGTAGTTAAAATTCTTTTTTGTTGTTTTTTTTTTATTTGAGACAGTTTGGCTCATTCCCCAGGCTGGAGTGCAATGGTGCTATCTTGGCTCCCTGCAACCTGCGCCTCCTGGGCTCAAGCAGTTCTCCTGCCTCAGCCTCCCAAGTAGCTGGGATTACACGCCTGCGCCACCACACCCAGCTAATTTAGTATTTTTAGTAGAGATGGGGTTTCACCATGTTGGTCAGGCTGGTCACGAGCTCCTAACCTCAAGTGATCCCAAAGTGCTGTGATTACAGGCGTGAGCCATCCTGCCTGGCCTTTCTGGTTAAAATTCTGTGAGGTTTGCATAAAAGGAATAGAGTAGGGGCCCAAAAACCAGTAAGATGAGAAAATAGTGTTTCCTCAGTTCTAGGATCCAGGGGAAAAAAAAAAGAAATAAAAGAGAAAATACTGTTTCCTGCCACTTAAGAGGAAGGACTCACATATCCTACCTTCCATCAGCCTTGAAGGAGACAAGTGCCCTCTCTCTCACACCCGGTGGCCTTCCCTTCCCCTTTCCCAGAGCCTCCAAGAAGGCCCCTGGCCTGGCCTGATGCCCACCATCAGCAGCAATAGGCACCAAAACCTTTCTCCTTCCTATCCCTCCCCACCTCCCGAAAGGGCTGGGGACAGCAGGTGTGTCCTTGTTAGTTCCATCCAGCTCAGCTTTGGCTGGGGAGCTAATTTCACTGGAGCCAGGCTAAGCATTAGGGTAAGTATTTGTCCTGTCTTGGGCAGTTTCCTCACTGAAAAATGAGGGCAGAGTTCTAAGCCCTCCTCTAATTCTAAAATTCTAATTAAAACGTCGCGAGACTAGTGGTGCATGCCTGTAATCCCAGCTACTTGGGAGGCTGAGGCAGGAGAATCGCTTGAACCTGGGAAGTGGAGGTTGCCGTGAGCCGAGATCGTGTCATTGCACTCCAGCCTGGCAACAAGAGGGAAACTCCGTCTCAAAAGAAAAAAAAAATCACCAGACTAATATTTACCTTGAGAATCCTTCTTCATCTTCTTGTAATGACCTTCGGTGACAACATATCTGTTTTAGAAGAAAACGCAATTAAGATTATCTATGACAACAACCACCGTCTCCAAATCTGTATTGATTCCTTTTATTCATTATAAGTCTCATCTACCTGATGAGGTAACTTTTTTGAAGACAGGAATTGTATGCTGTGTAACACTGCTTTGATTCTTCCATAGTTCAGTCATCCTTGCTATCTTGCGGGGGATTGGTTCTAGGATACCGCCCCCACACCATACCAGAATCTGTGGATGCTCAATCCCTTACATATAATGGTGTAATATTTGCTTATAACCAACACGCATCCCCCCTATACTTTATTTACTTAGCGACAGGATTGCCCTCTGTTGCTTACGCTGGAGTGCAGTGTCATCCTCTGTTACTCAGGATGGAGTGCGGTGTCACGATCACAGCTCACTGTAGCCTCAACCTCCTGGGCTCCAGTGATCCGCCCACCTCAGCCTCTTGAGTAGCTGAGACTACAGGTGCATACTACCACACCTGGCTATTTTTTTTTTTAATTTTTAATAAAGACAAGGTCTCACTATGCTGCCCAGGTTGGCCTCCCAATGTGTTGGGATTACAAGTGTGAGCCACCATGCCTGGCCCCATGTAATTTAAGTCATCACTAATAAAATGTATACATATTGTACATTGTTGACAGTTGTTATATTGTACTTTCTGTTTGTATTTTTATTGGTTTTTTTTTTTCTTCAAATATTCAGCCTGATCTAGTTGAATCTGAAGATGTGGACCTGCTGATGAAGAGGGCTGACTGTATCTAACTTAGGGTCTTGCATGCAGCTGGCACTTAATACATTTTATTGACTGTTTTAGATAACATTCAACAGATAATTCCTAATAAAAACTCTTAAAAGTAGGAGAAAAAGGAAACCTGAGTCCTTCCTCTGAAGTGGCAGGAAAACCAGCCTGGGCAACATAGCAAGACCTTGTCTCTACGAACACATTTTTTAAATTAGCTGCCTGCCTGTAGTCCCAGCCACTCAGGAAGCTGAGGCAGGAGGATCCCTTAAGCCCAGGAGTTTGATGTTACAGTGAGCTAGGTCACACCATTGCTCTCCAGCCTGGGTGACAACAAGGCCCTGAGAAGGGAAAAAAAAGGAAAGGAAAGGAAAGGAAAAAGGAAAAGGGAAAGGAAGGAAAGAGTAGAAGTATTGGAAAGGAAGAGACAAAACTATCATTATTTGCATATTAAATGATAAATGTTAGCCAAAGAAGCCTAAGAGAATCAACTAAGATTTTACTGGAAGTAATGAGAATTCAATACAGTGGCTATCTACAAAATCAAGAAATCAGCACACAAACCTCAAATACTTTTCCCATGTACCACCAATAACTAATTAGAAAATGGAAGAAAGATCCCATTTACAATGGCAATACAAATGTATGAAGAATTTAGGAACAAAAATACAAAGATCTTTTATCTAACAAAAGATGTATAAGATCTATATATGGAAACACTAAAGCTCTTCTGAAAGACATTAACAAGAAATGAATACATGACATGAGATAGCACGTTCCTAGAATGTCGTACAGATGTAAATTCTCAAATTAATCTACAAATTTAACGTAATCCTATTCAAATCCCAAGATAGTTTTTGGTGGTGGCTGTTTTTAAGACAGGGCCTAGCTGTGTTGCCCAGGCTAGAGTGCAGTGGTACGACCACAGCTCACTGCATCCTCGACCTCCCAGGCTCAAGCGATCCTCCCACTTCAGCCTCTGAAGTCTCTCATATGGTGTCCAAGAAATGGTGACAAATCTCACAAAGGGACCAGGCTCAGCAGGGCTGGAATATTCAGGGAAGGTGTCAAGAAGAAAGATGAACTTGAGTTGGCTTTTGAGAGATGCATAGGACTCCCACAGGCAGAGTGAAATAAGGGCATTTTAGATGGACAAACACACAGACAAAAGCAGAAATGTGGGTGGTGTGACTGGGGTTTGGTGAGGGGCTGCTGTGGCTGGAATGGAGGGCTGCCACAATAATGGAAATGGTAAATGAGGCAAGTAAGGTTGGACTGGTGGCATAGCGTCAAGGTTGCCAGCTTTATTAAATCACTCTTCCAATATGCTAGCACTGGCCTGTTGGGAAAAGTAATACATCATGTAATCGAACAAAAGACAGAGGCAAGCTCCAGGAATGGGCACTGTAAACAGGACTTGTCCCAGAGTAGCCAGATGTAGGCTTTAGGTAAGTTGATGCAAGCTGAGCATCTCTAATCTGAGGGGGAATGTCTCACATGGTGTCCAAGAAATGGTGACACATCTCACAGAGGGTATAGGCTCAGGAGGGCTAGAGTATGAGACGTTCCCCCTCACCAGTGAACTTAAAAATGTGGCCAAAAATTTTTGTAAAAGATGGCTACTCTGTAGTGCTTTAACTGGACCTATTTAGACAATGCCTTACACACTGGAGGACGATACTGTGTAAATCTAATAAGTCTACAAGACAATACGTATGTCTTTTGGCTCTCTCCTTCCTCTCCAGGGTGATGACAACTCCGTGAGGGTGGAGATTATACCTCTCTCATCATTTCAGCACCAAGGAAATAAATTAGTGGCAGAGTAAGGGTGACTTGATGAGTACATCCAATTGTTGACATAGTTTTGGGTGGGAGAAATTTTGCTATTATATCGACTTCTTAAAATAGTCTAGTGGGATTCACTTGGTTTCAATTCACAGAGATCTGAAAGCGAGGATCCTTTAAAAATCCTGAAATATACACTGCAGTAAAAGAACAAAGCATACACCTCAGCCTTAAATGACTGAAGAAGTATGTCAAGTAGCAGCAGGTGGGAAAGTGGCTTTGGTTTTCAGTTTGTGAGCTCTGAATCCACACAAAGACAGGACTGCATTCTGAAAACCTGAATTAATTATTGTCCTTACCACAATAAGGCAGAAAAGTATAATCAAAATCGTTAGTATTCCAGTAACAATTAATGCCAAGATGAGTTTGTCAGTATAGCCATATCCTGGAACTTCTTTTTTGAGCTAAAAAAAAAAACACACAAAAAAAAACCAGAATGAGAGCTAACTATTCAAAACCCCAGTATTCCAGGTGAGTAGCTGACAGGTTCTTTTTTATTTTTTTGAAAGAGGGTCTCACTCTGTCACCCAGGCTTGGGTACCGTGGTGCAATCACCGTTCACTAGACTCGACCTCCCTGGGCTCAGGTGATCCTCCCACCTCAGCCTTCCAAGTAGCTGGGACTACAGGCACGTGTCATCAACCCAGCTAATTTTCTTATTTTTTGTGGAGACAGGCTTTCACTATGTTGGCCAAGCTGGTCTCAAACTCCTGACTTCAAGTAATCCACCCACCTTCGCCTCCCAAAGTGCTGAGATTACAGGCGTGAGCTACCACCCCCGGCCTACAGTTCATCTTGTGCCCTAATCTATTTCTCTCTCTACATGAGCAAAGTGGGAGATCACTGTCATGACCAAAGTTACATGGCCAAGATAAGCTATGGCCTGGGAGTCCCAGACTCTTCTGTGTGGGCACTTTCCTGGGATATGCTAAATGATGGGAAATCTGGGTCTCATGTTTCTGTGTGGTCCTCACCTCAAGCGACTTCTCTTTCTGTTCACTCTGGGCTTCTGTGCTCTCATTAATGTAGTTCTCAATCTTCCATTGGTCCGTATCCCATTCTATCTTGGATGCCTTTACTTCCTGCTGCCCACTGAGAAGCTTCATCAGGTGGCCTGTCCTGGAGATGAGCTTGGCACAGGTCACTTGCACATGGGCCCCAGAGCAGTCCATCTTCAAGGTCCGGATAACATGAGCAATGAGCCTTCTCACATTGTTGTTGGGGATAAGGGACTGTAGCTGCTGGGTTAGCTGAATTTCAAACTGATCACCTGGGGACGAGAGCAATGGGTAATTGAAGCTTTTGGGCTCGGGGGACGGGTCAGTGCCCACGTTGTTGTATTCCCATTTTGTCTCAGTTTGTTTAACAGTTGGCCCTAAGTTGAATGCAGTCCCAGCGGAATCTGCCTCAGGAGGATGATTGTAGTTTGTGTTTTCAGAGATGGTTCCTTCTGGCATGTTAGTGTTTTCCATAAAATCATTTTCTTCAAAGGCATTTCTTGCAGTTGTGTGTTTTGTATTATTCTTTTCTATAAAATGTTCTGAAGGAGCAGATACTTCCAGAAAAGGGTTTTCTTGAGGACTCAGGTCTCCTAAGGATGAAAAAGCCCCTTGTGAAGGGGAATTTATGAGGCTCTTCGCTGCAGAGAATGGAAGCCTGTTTGCGAGCATCAGTCTACTCAGATAACTTTTCTTTCTGACCTTTGGACTCTTTTTGACTTTGGGTGTTCTGTGGGTCACGTGGGAGCGAGTTTTGTGAAAGCGGTATTTTTTTCTGGCATGTACGATTGGTTTAGACGTCTTCGTATTTGTAACTCTAGCCTTTGCACTTTCTAAAATGGAAATAGCGTGGGTTAAGTCTTTCCATCTGTCTCTCACCTGTGGTAGGGCTTTTGCAGGGCTGGAGGTAGAAGGCGCGCCCTTGGAGAAGGGTTTCAGCACAGAGACTGCTGCCTTATGCTCTTGGGTGAAGGAAGGCTTGGTGTAGACGGCGTTTCCCGCTAACTTCTCAGGCCCCTGCTGTGTGTGGGGCTGTTCCACCTCCCTTGGGGCTGGACTCCCGAGCCTTTTTTCTTCGGCAGCGTTCTCCACAGATGCCTGGGCACCCTGTTCCCTCCTGATGCTCTGCCTTCCTACCTCTTTGAAGTGCCTTTTCTGGATGCTCCTTGGGCCCATGAGGACTCTCTTCACTCTCTGCCGGTTTTGGCCTACAGTTTGAATCTTTGCCAGGCTGTTTCCTGTGGTTGGCAGTTTAATTAACGGTAGTAACAGTGATTTCACATCTAGGTTTACCGCTGAGAAATAAGGCAAGATGTAACGTAGTGTACTGATAAAATCACTCTCGTCATTGGTGTCTAGCTGCTCACTCCCAAAGCCTGACAAGTTGATGCCACTGCTGTCTGAGGGCTCCTCTGGCTCAACAATCAGCTCAGTGCTTGTGTAGTTCTTCCGGGCTTGTAACACCTTCATGAACGCTCCTTCTGGATTCCCTACCGATGCTTCTTCAGCTGTCAAAAAAGAAGAGACTGCTTTGATCATGAAAGATGATGGGATGGGATGCATCAGTCCATAGCTGTACACCCCAGTCACACAGAGTAGGAGTCAGCAAACATTCGAGTGCCATTCAGAGAGGAGAAACACACACCCAATCCTAAACCTATGAAATGGCAACAACAAAAGGAGAAAATACATCTTTTGAAAACACGGCCACCTACTTGGAACATTCCATAGTGTGACATAGAGTAACTCTGTTTAGGATTATTTCGTTGATCCCCAGAGGCCAATTGCCCAGTGCTCAGTCAAAGCCCAAGGTGGAAGACAAGTGCTTCCCTGATGAGCTGGCCTCTCTGCAGACTGCTCCGTACCCTGTGCTGTCCTGCCTCAGATGCAGAGAGAGCACAAGGCTCCTGCTCTCCTCGTCCTCGGTGCACCTGTGTTCGTGCTACCATCACAGCTGAATGCAATGAAAGGCGGTCCTCTGAGAGGAGCAGGGTGGAGATGCTAAAGTGGAGGCCCCGTCCCATTGCTGATAGATCCTCATCTGGCATGCGCTCCACCCTCCCCATTCTCTGCTCCCACGTATCGTAGCCCCATCACAGAAGATGTGACATGGAAAAACGCACTGTGTCCACCCTAGTTCTTAAATTTGGGCAGGGATTTGGGGTGTATGTTAAGAGTTTTTCAAATTTGCCAGATTGCATGCCTATGTTGTTAAATACACAATGAATCCCTGGTATGATAGCAGTTTCTGGATAAACATTACTTGAGGTCCTAAAATGCAGAAGGGAAAAAGCAACTTTTGTCAGATGCCTACTTTGCTTTCATTTCATCTCTAATATTTTGGATGGGGAATCATCCAAAGCTTCTGACTGCATGAAGGTCAGGTGTGCCAGTGTGCAGCTGGGTTTCTTTTCTAGAATTAAAAGTACTTTGGGTGGTGGTGAGGGTCAGAGGAAGAAGTAAAGATTGTGAGAAAGGGGAAGAAACATGGGCTTGGGGAGAACCCAGAATTGGGGCCAGAAGACCTGGCACTAGGCTACAGCACTTAGCACCTCTGATCTTGTTTTTCCTCATCTGTAAAAGGAGGTTAACAAAGCTTTTCTGCCCACTTCTTGGGGAGAAGGGAATAACATAATTGGTAAAAAAAAAAAAAAAAAGTTTTGAAAAATAAGCAACACTGACTTTATGTAACCAAGCATTATTAATTCTCCACCCCATATCACTGGTAGATACCTGTATTCAAGCTATCTGGACATGAAAGCAGTCACATTTTAGAAGTCATGAAGTTGATGCTAATAAGCCTAATCTACAGAAACACTCTTGAAAGCCCTTGAGCGTTTGTTCTGTGAATAGAAAGGTTTGAGATTCGGAGCAAGTTCAGAGTTGGATGGTCTAAGAATGGAAAAGCCCTCCATTCCATTAGAAGAGCCAGGTAGCAATTTCTGGTTATGGAACCAGAAGCTCTCAGGCTTCAAATAAAACAGCATCACTTGTACTCTTATAAAACTGTAAAAACAGAAAGACCAAAACCGTATCTACATCTGTCCTATAAGGCAGAGAGTACTTGAGATCTCATGGATTTAAAACCAGCTTACAAACTACATTGCACTATATGAAGAAATTATCACTGTGGGCAAAGCATCAAGCAGAGAGCACAGTATACAGTGTGTGGATGTTAATGTTATTCCCTAGCCTTCCCATTCCTTTGTCTTGGTCCTTTCTGCATATGGAACAGTTCTATTATTAAATTTTGTAATAGTAACTGAGAACCTGACTTTCAGCAAGGGAGTAGTTCGGAAATTGAGGGAGTTTAACTCTGAATGAGTAAATAAAAATAAAGCAATTATGTCATTAGCTTAAAATTTTATCATCATTAAAAATAAAAAGTTTGAAAACAAATACTTAATGTAACAATTTATCACCGCGCAATTTGGACTCACGACAATGTATGGTGTTTGTCAGACATGCACTGTTGCAATGCAGCTTGACTGTCTTGCAGACAGCCTCAATGCTGTTTTTAAATTGGCAGAGGCAGCAGGCCATATGGCTAGGTAAGATCCTATAGATGAAAACAGAGAGCAATAAATTAGCGGTAAAGCGGTTACTTGAGTAGGTAAAGGAGGCAGCCAACGCTACCACAGGTGTGGGAAAAAGGTGTCATTGAAGCCTATGGACTGGACAGTTGGGTAGGAACCAGAAGGCCAATAGGAAGGAGGACAAAAGTGCCCAACTGAAGGGTAAGCATGGCAGTGAGTATGGTATGCCTAGAATAAAGATGGTTGGGATTAGAATTGGGTGACAGTGATTAGTAGTTTCAGAAGTATCTCTTCCCAATTCAAAAGTCTCACTTTGGGCTGAAAGTACAGAGGAAGAAGGTAGACTTTTAAGAAGTCTGAATAAGCCCCCAACTTCTGGAGTCCCTTTCTCAATTCCTGTTGGGAGTGGGAAATATTATAAATTACTCTGGGCATTAAAAATAGCTTAGTTTAACCTGGATTGCGGAGTTAAAAAATAACAAAGACTGCATTGGTCAAATCTGGACAATTTGAGCATTCAAAAGAATAACAACAATAAGTTACAACATATTTAATATAAAGAAGAATCCACGAAGAGTGATATTGAAAAAGAAAGAGGAGGAGTTCTTCTTCAATGAAATAATGCCAGCTAGTAAATGTAGAAGGAATGACAGAATTTTTAAAAGTGTCACTTTGCAACCGTCAGTGTAATACAAATTCATTCAGACAAGGATTATCATTGATGCACATTTGGGTGAAAAAACATTTGAGAACAGGATCTTCACTGAACTCAAAGTAACAACCCACAGATTATTTATTAATTACCAAGGGGAAAATTATTATTTTTTATTTTTATTTTTATTTTGTCACCCAGGCTGAAATACAGTGGCAAAATTATACCTCAATGCAGCCTCAACCCCCCTGGGCTCAAGGGATCCTCCAAATTCAGCCTCCTGAGTAGCTGGGAGTATAGGCTTGCACCACCATGCCCAGCTAATTTTTTTTTTTTTTTTGTACTTTTGTATTTTCAGTAGTGACAGAGTTTCCCCATGTTGCTCAGGCTGGTGTAGAACTCCTGGGCTCAAGCAATCCTCCCACCTCGGCCTTCCAAAGTGCTGGGATTACAAGTGGGAGCCACTGTAGCCAGCAAAATAATTACAATGGAGAGACCTGGAAGATCACCTTAGTCAAGTGATCAAACTTAGTATTACAGGCCATCTGCGGTTACGAGGCAGGAAGGATACATCACCTATGCAGTATTTTTCCCAAAAATGCTTAACTTGAATTTCATCATGAGGAAACAGACAAATCTGGATTGTGGGACAATTTACAAGACAACTATCTTTGACTCTTAAAAAATGCCAGTGTCATGAAAGATCAAAGAAAGTAGAGGCATGTTTTAGATTAAAGGAAATGAAGACATGACATGCAGTGCCTGATCTTTGATTGGATTCTGTACTATTCTTTCATCTTTCTGGCTTGTTTGAATTTTTTCCAATACGTAAATTTGGGCAAAAGAGGTGACCGAGACAATTGATTAATTTATTGTTGTGGCTTATTGGGGGCACTTTCAGAGAGATAAAAACAATCCCTGTAACTGAAGTAAAAGGTTAATCTTAGGCAGTATAGCATGGTCATTAAGAATACAGATTCCATAGCCAGACTATGCTTCAATCTCAGCTCTGATAATAATGTGAATTTGGGCAAATTGTTTAATCTCTGTTCCTTGGCCTTGTCATTATAATAGTACCTACCTCTAATGAATTTTGAGGATCAAATGAATCAATACCTGAAAAATGCCTGGTGCACAGTCAGTGCTCAATAAGAGTTAACTATAATTATTGTGTTGCAGAGGTTGTGGGGGGCCTTTTCTGAGTCCTCCAGAAGGATGGCTTTATTGGGGCCATATTAAGACTATGAAAACAGAAGAGGGTTTCATGGATACAAGAAGTCTGTGAGTTGGGGGTACAATGTATAGAGTTTTAGATTAAAACTGCATCCAATAAGTTGGCCTGAGACATCTTTCAAACCTATAAAGGAACAATCACAAGTGACTAGTAGTATTCCTTTGGGTCCAGTGGAAGCCTCTGATCTTCATATGGAATGGACCCGGAACCGTAACCCAGCATTTTGTTGTATAGCAACCTTACCTCTGCCACAAAGGTGTTTCTTTTGTTTATTTTGAGGCCGGGTCTCGCTCTGTTACACAGGCTGAGTGCAGTGGTGCAATCTTGGCTCACTGCAGCCTCTGTCTCCTGTGCTCAAGTGATCCTCCCACCTCAGCCTCCTGAGTACCTAGAACTACAGGTGTGTGCCACCACACCTGGCTAATTTTTGTATATTTTGTAGAAATGGGGTTTCACCATGTTGTCCAGGCTGGTCTCGAACTCCTGGGCACAAGCAACCCTCTCTCTTTGGCCTCCCAAAGTGCTGGGATTACAGGCATGAGCCCAAAATTTTTGGTATTCTTTTTCTGCCCCCAAGTTTTTATTTTAAACATTTTCTTTTTTTCCTTTAAGCCTTAGGATGGCTGGGAAACATTTTCAAATGGTATAATGAACACCTGTATAACTTTCATCTGGAATCAGTAGTTGCTAATACTTTGCCACATTAGCTTTCCGTGTGTGTATGTCTATACATTTTCTGGACAAAACCATTTGAGAGTCAGTTGCAGACATAATGACCCTTCACCATTGAAGACTTCAGTGTGCAGCCCCTAAGAACCAAGGCATTCTCTGACATAACCAGAGGACTATCATCACTCAATGGAACTTCATATTATCATTGTCTACTATGCGGTCCGTATACACATTTTCACAATTGTCCCAATCATAACATGGCTTAAAAAATTCACAATCCAATCAAACATCAGACATTACACTTAGTACATGATTCTTTAGTCTCCTTCAATCTAGAACTGTTCCCAGGATTGTTTTAAAGTATACTGACAAATCTTTGAGACTGTAAATGACCTGAGGTATACTTGAGAATAATTTTTCAATACACATGAAAGATCATTACACATGAGCCAAGACTCAAATGAGCTGGCCTACTTACTTTGTACATAAATGTGTAAACTCCTGAAGACTTCCAATAATGAACTCCCATAAGACATTTAGTTCAATGTCTTTATGGCCTTGGTGACAAATCATTACAGAGGATGAGAGCATTTTTCCTATCCAATAATGGTCAAGAAAAAAGCAGACAGATCCTCACTATCTTAGAGAACTAAGTGAGAAAGCTGGTCGATGAAGGGGACTTCATCCAGAGAGGAAGGGATCCAGCTGATGGGGAAGATGCTGCAGGAGGCTGAGGAAAGTGAGGCTAGAGCAGTAAAAGAGATCTGACAACCTGGTCAAGATAAGAAAGTGACCTGACAAAAATGAACGGAGCAGAGTGCTAAATGAAGGGCCCTTTCCATGCTAATCTTGCAAAATGCCCTCAACCAGCCCTAGCATAACTGAGTCTCTATTTAGCTTGCCATATTGTGGGGGCTGGTGGCACAATTGAAGTTGCAGTAAATTGTGTAACAAACTCACAATAGGGCCCCGCAGGCATACATATACATATATACACGTACATATATATAAATATATATATATTTTAGACAGGGTCTTGCTCTGTCACCCAAGCTGGAGTGCAGTGGTGCCATCTTGGCTCACTGCAACCTCCACCTCCTGGGTTCAAGTGATCCTCCTGACTCAGGTTCCCTAGTAGCTGGGACTACAGGCGTGTGCCACCACACCTGGCTGATTTATATATATATATATATCTATATATATATCCTGCAAAGAAGGCCAGGCACGGTGTCTCATGCCTGTAATCTCAGCACTCTGGGAGGTGAGGCAGGAGGATCACTTGAGACCAGGAGTCCGAGACCAGCCTGGGGAACATACTGAGACCTCATTTCTACAAAAAAATAAAAAATAAAAAAGATACATCACATATGCAAATTAACTCAAAATGGATCATAGACCTAAATGTGTATCATTTCTGGGAGAAGACATAGGAGAAAATCTTTTAGACGCTGGATTAGACAACAGGTTCTTAAAGATTTCTTAGGTAAGAAACAAAAAATCACAAGCCATTTAAGAAAAAAATGCTAACTTAAAGCTGGTCAAAATTAAAAACTTCTGCTCTTCAGAAAACATTTTTATTTCTTACTTTTTTTTTTAGACAGAGTCCCACTCTGTCGCCCAGGTTAGAGTGCAGTGGTGCAATCTCGGCTCATTGCAACCTCCACCTCTCAAGTTCAAGCACTTCTCGTGCCTCAGCCTCCTGAGTAGCTGGGATTACAGGCATGTGCCACCACACCTGCCTAATTTGTGCATTTTTAGTAGAGATGGCATTTCCACACAACCGGAATACTACTCAGCAATAAAAAGGAGTGAACAGTTGTCCCTCGGTGTCTGCAGGGGATTGGCTCCAGGACCCCCTGCAGATACCAAAGTCCACAGATGCTGAGGTCTTTTTTATGAAATGACATAATGTTTGTATACAGCCTCAGGTATACTCTAAGTACCTAATACAGTGTAAATGGTATGTACATAATTATACTGTATTTTAAATTTTCTACTGTTTTTATTGTTGTATTGTTGTTTTATATATTTTATTTTTTCCAAATATTCTCCATCCATGGTTCGTTGAATCTATGGATGAGGAACCTGCAGATATGGAGGGCCAGCTGTAGTGATAGGTGCAACAACATGGATGGTAGCATAATCTCAAAAAAAATTCTACTGAGTGAGGCCAGGCAAGGTGGATCTTATCTGTAATCCTAGCACTTTGGGAGGCTGAGGCAGGCGGATCACTTGAGGTCAGGAGTTCGAAACCACCCTGGCCAACATGGCGAAACCTTGTCTCTACTAAAAATACAAAAATTAGCCAGGTGTGGTGGCATGCGCCTGTAATCCCAGCTACTCGGAAGGCTGAGGCAGGAGAACCACTTGAACCTGGGAGGTGGAGGTTGCAGTGAGCCTAGGTCATGCCGCTGCACTGCAGCCTGGGCGACAGAGTGAGATTCCATTTCAAAAACAAAAAAAAAATTAGGCTTTGTGAAAGGAGCCAAACACAAGAGGCTATGTGCTATATGATTTCATTTATAAGACATTCTGGAAAAGGCAAAAGTATAGGAACAGAAATCAGATTAGTAGCTAACAGGGGCTGATGGTGGGAGGATGGGATTGCCTACAGAGGGACAGTAGGGGCCTTTTTGAGGCATCAGAAATGCTTTATATTGGGAATGTGGTGGTGGTTATGTAACTATACATTTGTCAGACTCATCAAACTGTACGCTTAAAAAGCGTGAATGTTACTATATGAAAATTATACCTCAATGAACCTGACTTAAGAAAATAATAAAACAAACCTAAAGAACCAACTAAGTAAAAATAAATCTCAGAAAAAAATAACTTACAGTTTTTCCAGTTCAACAGTCATCATGAGAATGTTCTTAAGTGTTGTAAGTGGGACTAGCGTTGTTCCCATGTCTCTGAAGAAGAAAGCCGAAACATTCATGATATGAGCCCCAATAAAAAATTCTGTACTTAACAATTCAATTTTGGCTTCTCTATTAAACAAGCCAGCTCAAGACTTTATTTGCTGTAGAATTCCAGGGAGCTCTTATTAAAGAAATTAAAAGTTGATTTGCATCATCAAATTAATGATACTCAAGAGCAGAACTTACACTTTTTTTTTTTTACCATTATCTTCTCATTTTCATATTGCACTCACCATCTTATTTACTCTTTTCTTTATTTTTAGAATAATGAACACCTTTTCCCCTTTGCTTTCTTGGTTAAATAATATTCCTCCATGTGTCTACATGTTCCAAATCTATATGGGTTCTTCAATGCTGTTCTCTTCCCCTGCTGGCTGTCTTGACCATTATACATCCTCTTAATTTTTTTCTTCGCCAATAACTTTTTTTCAATAACCCAGTTAAAATTTAAATTATGACATTTTAGCCTAAATGCAAAATACTTAAGCTTTGATGAAAAATTTAAAAAGCATAAATCATCTCTTGACTCATGAGAGTACTATAGTACTTACAGATATTTTAATGCTGGCAATTTAAAGAGATACGGATCTTCAACAGTTGTCAGAGGATTGTGATTGAGAATTCTGAAAAATGGAATGGAATTAAAATAACCTGCATTTTCAATGTGTAAAACTGCATGAAAAGTTTACATTCATTTTTTGATATGGAACTTGTAGGTAAAAAAGAAAAAAATGTTTCCTGTCTTTACCTAAGAAATCACCATTAGACTCCGTAAAGCACTATTCCTATGGGAACTACCAAGGTCTCTAGAAGATAAAGGATAGAACGCGGGGAAGAACTACAAGGAAAAAAAAAGTGGATAGCAAAGAAAAAATATGCCACAGAACTTTTCAGGTCAAAAACCCTAAAAGTGACTATGTTGGTAGGAAGCCCCGACTGTGGAGGAAACAGTATTTCTAGCATCCTCCATAATTCAAGTTGCTCATCATAATTCAAGTTGTTCTTCTATTTTTTTTTTTTTTTTTTTTTTTTTTTTTTTGAGATGGAGTCTCGCTCTTGTTGCCCAGGCTGGAGTGCAATGGCTCGATCTTGGCTCACTGCAACCTCCGCCTCCCAGGTTCAAGTGATTCTCCTGTTCTGCCTCAGCCTTCCGAGTAGCTGGGATTACAGGCACCCACCACCACGCCCAGCTAATTTTTGTATTTTTAGTAGAGTCGGGGTTTTACCATGTTGGTCAGGCTGGTTTTGAACTCTTGACCTCAGGTGATCTACCTGCCTCAGCCTCCCAAACTGATAGGATTACTGGCATGAGCCACTGCGGCTGGCTGCTTGTCTTTTATCTTTATAAAGTTTTTAAAATTTATGGTTTAATTTGCACAGTTAAAAAAAAATAGGACCAATTCTTTTGCTTTATAGCCAAAGAAGAAGGAATAAATCTAAGAGGAGGAACTGGTCAAAACCATACTCCCACTTGTCTTCTTGTATGACATCACAGCCTTTCTTACATTGCATGTAATCACCTGTCCACTTGTCAGGCTCCTGGACTATGAGCGCTTTGAGGGCAGAGACCACATTTTTTTTTTTTTTTTTTTTTTTTCTGAGACGGAGTCTCACTCTGTCACCCAGGCTGGAGTGCAGTGGTGCAATCTTGGCTCACTGCAATCTCCGCCTCCCAGGTTCAAGCAATTCTCCTGCCTTAGCCTCCCAAGTAGCTGGGATTACAGGTGCCTGCCACCATGCCCTGTCATCCCCGTGCCTGGCATGATGTCTGAAATGTATTAGGCATTTAACAAATGTTTATTGAATAAACAAATGACATTTTGTTCATATGTCAATAAAATGAATAAATTGATTTTGATGCAAATTTTTATTCCAAAATGCTGGAATCGATTTTCTTTTTAATTCTTTAAGGTGAACAAGAAAAATAAAAGAAACAGGAAGAAATAAAAGAAAATCTACCTTTAGGTTAACCCAAGAATCATCTTTGTACTTAGGCAGAAATTATAAAAATAATAATTATTACACTGAGTATCTACTGGGTTGCCAGGTATTTGTGATCAGCAAATACCTTATGTGGTAGATATTATTATTGCCCTATTTTTAAATGAGGAAACTGAGGCACAGAGAGGTTAGATAACTTGTCCTAGGTCACCAAGCTATTAAGCAGCAAAGCTGTAATTTGAACTCGTGTTTAATCTGTATGAAGAAAAAGGGTTTATTTTAACCTTAGGTTTTTAAAAAATTTTCATTTTTGTTCTTCATTCTTTTTCTCTCTCTTTTTCCTTCCTTCCTTCCCTCCCCCTTCCTTCTTTCTATTTTCTTTCCTTTCCTTTCTTTCCTTTCTCCTCTCCCCTCCACTCCCCTCCCCTCCCCACCCAAACAGGGTCTTGCTCCATTGACCAGGCTGGAGTGCAGTGACGTGATCTTGGCTCACTGCAACGTCCTCTTCCCAAGCTCAGGTAATCCTCCTTCCTCAGTCTCCCAAATAGCTGGGACTATAGGCACGCACCACCACGCCTGGCTATTTTTTGTGTTTTTAGTAGAGATGGGAGTTTCACCATGTTTGCCAGGCTGGTCTTGAACTCCTGATCTCAAATGATCCGCCTGCCTTGGCCTCCCAAAGTGCTGGTGTGAGCCACTGGGCCCAGCCTTAATTGTGAGAAGACTAAATACAGAAGTGCCTTTCAACCTTCTTCTACTCCTCTGGGAGGACCTCTATGAGAATTACAATTTCTCATTAGCAGGGCACGGCAGTGCTTGCCTGTAATTCCAGCTGTTTCAGAGGCTGAGGCAGGAGAATTGCTTGAACCCAGGAGGCGGAGGTTGCAGTGAGCCAAGATCAAGCCACTCTACTCCAGCCTGGGCGACAGAGCAAAAAAAAGTGGATTACAGTTTCTCTTTTTATGTCTTTCCCCTAATCATTTCCCATGATTAAATAGTTTATTAGTCTATGGTCAATGAGACTTTTTTTTTTTTTTTTTAAGAGACACATTCTCACTCACTGTGTTGCCCAGGCTGGAGAGCAGTGGCTATTCACAGCCATGATCCCACTAGTGATCAGCATGGGAGTTTTGACCTGCTCTATTCCTGAACTGGGCTGGTACACCCCTTTTTAGGCAACCTGGTGGTCTCCTTTTCCCGGGAGGTCACCATACTGATGCTGAACTTAGTGCGGACACCCAATCAGCATAGCATGCTACAGCCCAGAATTCCTGGACTCAAAGGATCCTTCTTCCTTTGCCTCCCGAGTATCTGGGACTACAGGCATGTGCCCAGTGAGCCTTCAGAGATTTAAAATCATGTCGTAAGTGACATCAGTGAAAATGGTGGAATAAAGACATGCAGGCTGGGCGCAGTGGCTCACACCTGTAATCCCAGCACTTTGGGAGGCTGAGGCAGGCGGATCACGAGGTCACGGGATCGAGACCATCCTGGCTAACAAAGCGAAACCCCGTCTGTACTAAATATACAAAAATTAGCTGGGCGTGGTGGCAGGCGCCTGTAGTCCCAGCTACTCGGGAGGCTGAGGCAGGAGAATTGTGTGAACCCGGGAGGTGGAGCTTGCAGTGAGATGAGATTATGCCACTACACTCCAGCCTGGACAACAGAGTGAGACTCTGTTTCAAAAAAAAAAAGAGACATCCAAAAATTCATCCCTTCATAAAAGCAACAAATACCAAAAAAAATAGCAAAAAAAAAAAAAAAAAAAAATTGACCACAATAAACTTTTTCAGAACTCTAGAAATGTAACCAAAGTCTTGCAGCAACCCAAGGAGCATTTATTCAAGAAAAATTTCTGTAAGAACAGTGAGATTTGTGTTAACTTGCCTTAGACCATTCCTCACCCTCTAGCTCAGTAGTCGCCTTGGAAAACAGCCCACATCCCCAAACAGAGGGAGCAGAATGGAGCTGGAGCTCCTTCAAAGCCTTATTCTCAGTTAACTGTCATGATGTCATCTGTCTGGTGGTTCCCTGGAAGACCTCATTTGAAAGGTTTGTCTTTATTTGACCAGAATGAAAGCTGTCTAGTGCTAAAGCCTCTCCACAGAGGGTGTTTTTGGAAAACAATTACAGACAAGTGTTTTAACATGGCAACTGTATTCGGCAATGAATAACAGTTTGGGGGAAAAAAGCCTAATCAAAAAGCTTAATAGGAAAAGCTGAGGAATAAGATGTCCACAGGAATTTGAAACACTCTGATATATGCTTGGGAAACTAGAAGTCCATAAGACATATTCCTGGCAATTTGGAATGTCACGCGCATGCATAGGGCAGACTGTCAGCATGGTCAGGAAAGACCTATTAAGTTCATAAACTCTCACCCCTGGCTGACACCTTGAGGTTCTGCACAAGCAAGAAGTGAAAGCTAAGGCATGGCTGTAAATTGTCTAGCTGAGTGCTGAAGGTATGCCCCAACATGTACACAGAGCCCCTTGGCAAAAACTAGGAGACTTATCAGTTCCAAGAATTTAAGTAAATCTTCATTTAATCATTACCTGATCGGTAAGCTAACCGAGGAGGGACTTTAGTGGGAACACATGACATATAATGCGAGACTTTACAGAAGAAGTTCAGAAAAGTCACTAAATAAATAGCAACTGCTAACACAAGCAGGAGTAACACCAAACCCTGGCAGCATGGATCTGATTTTCAGAATTGCTACATTATATTATTTAAAATATTCAATTTTTAACAAACATTTATGAAAGATGCAAGGAAACAAAGTATGGCCCAAACACGTGGTTGGGGGAGAAATAAGCAGAAATTGTCCCTGAGAAGGACCAGATGTTAGACTTACTAGACAAAGATTTTTTTATTTTTTATAGGTGGGGTCTTGCGAAGTTACCCAGGGTGGTCTTGAACTCCTGGCCTCAGCCTCAACCTCAGTCTCAGCCTCCCAAAGTGCTGGGATTATAGGCACGAGCGACCATGCCTGGCCTAGAGAAGGATTTAATTCAGCTATTTAAAATATGTTCAAAGAGATAAGAGAAACGATTCAGTTCTGTAGACTAGAGAACTAAAGGAAAGTATGAAAGCAATGTCTCATCAAATAGAGAATATCAATAAAGAGATAGAAACCATAAAAAGGAGTCAAATAGAAATTCTAGAGTTGAAAAGTATGGTAACTGAAATGGAAAAATTATTAGAGGTTCTCAATGGCACATTACAGCAGGCTGAAGACAGAATGGGGAACTTGAAGGTTAATTGAGATTGTTGACTCTGAGGAACAGAAATAAAAATGAATGAAAGTGAATGGAATCTCAGAGACCTGTTTGTGGAACACATCATCAAGCTTACTAACATACACATAATGAGCGTCCCAGGAGAAGAAAAACAGAAAAAAGGAGAAAGAATATTTGAAGAAATGATGGCCCCAAACTTCCCAAACATGATGAAAAACAATCTGCATATTCAAGAAGCTCAAGGAACTACAAGTAGGAAAAACTGAGGGATCCACATCTAAACATACTGTAATCAAACTGACAGAAGCCAAAGACAGAATATCTTGAAAGCAGCAAGAGAAAAGCAACTCATCACATACAAGGGATCCTCAATAAGATTAATAGCTAATTTCTCTTCAAAAACAATGCAGGTGCTGGACATGGTTGCTCACACCTGTACTCCCAGTACCTTGGGAGGCTTGAGGCTCAAGAATTGCTTGAAGCCAGGAGTTGGATACCAGCACTGGCAATAGAGTAAAACCCTGTCTCTACAAAAAATTTAAAAATAACTGGGCATGCCCGTCTGGGATGTGAGGAGCGCCTCTGCCCAGCCGCGACCCTGTCTGGGAGGTGAGGAGCATCTCTGCCTGGCCGCCCCGTCTGAGAAGTGAGGAGCCCCTACGCCTGGCAGCCGCCCCATCTGAGAAGTGAGGAGCCCCTCCGCCCAGCAGCCGCCCCGTCTGAGAAGTGAGGAGCCCCTCTGCCCGGCAGCCGCCCTGTCTGGGAGGGAGGTGGGGGCCAGCCCCCGCCTGGCCAGCCGCCCCCTCCGGGAGGTGGGGGGGCGCCTCTGCCCGGCTGCCCCTTCTGGGAAGTGAGGAGCCCCTCTGCCCGGCCGCCACCCCGTCTGGGAGGTGTACCCAACAGCTCATTGAGAACGGGCCATGATGACGATGGCGGTTTTGTTGAATAGAAAAGGGGGAAATGTGGGGAAAAGATACAGAAATCAGATTGTTGCTGTGTCTGTGTAGAAAGAAGTAGACATAGAAGACTCCATTTTGTTCTGTACTAAGAAAAATTCTTCTGCCTTGGGATGCTGTTGATCTATGACCTTACCCCCAACCCAGTGCTCTCTGAAACATGTGCTGTGTCCACTCAGGGTTGAATGGATTAAGGGCGGTGCAAGATGTGCTTTGTTAAACAGATGCTTGAAGGCAGCATGCTCGTTAAGAGTCATCACCACTCCCTAATCTCAAGTACCCAGGGACACAAACACTGTGGAAGGCCACAGGGTCCTCTGCCTAGGAAAACCAGAGACCTTTGTTCACTTGTTTATCTGCTGACCTTCCCTCCACTATTGTCCTATGACCCTGCCAAATCCCCCTCTGCGAGAAACACCCAAGAATGATCAATAAAAAAAAATTAAAAAAAACAAAAACAAAAACAAAAAAAACTGGGCATGGTGGTGCATGCCTGTAGTCTCAGCTACCCAGGAGGCTGAGGTGACAGCATTGCTTAAGCCTGGGAGGTGGAGGCTGCAACGTTGTGAGTGGTTGCACCACTGCACTCCAGCCTGGGTAACAGAGCAAGACCCTGTCTAAAAACAAAGCAACCACACACAACACTGGAGGACAAAAGGCAATGAAATGGCATATTCAAAGTGCTGAAGAAACTGTCAACCAATAATTCTATACCTGGCAAAACTACCTTTGAAATTGAAGAGAAATTAAGATATTCTAGATAAATAAAAACTGAGAGACTTTGTTGCTAGAAGACCTGCCCTATAAGGAGTACTAACGTGAATCTGCACAAAGAAATAAAAAGCACTGGCTGGGCGCAGTGGCTCAGGCCTGTAATCCCAGCACTTTGGGAGGCTGACGCTGGAGGATCACTTGAGGTCAAGAGGTTGAGACCAGCCTGGCAAACATGGTGAAACCCTGTCTCTACTAAAAATACAAAAATTAGCTGGGTGTGGTGTTACGTGCCTGCAGTCCCAGCTACTCAGGAGGCTGAGGCACTAGAATCGCTTGAACCTGGGAGGCAGAGGTTGTGGCGAGTAAAGATTGTGCCACTGCACTCTAGCCTGGGCAACAGAGTGAGACTCTGTCCCAAAATAAAGGAAAAAAAAAAAAGAAAAAGATACTTACATAATGCAATAATTATAAATCTAGTTGATGAACATAAGGTATATAAAGATGTAATGTGTGACAATAACAGTATAAAGGAGGGGGTGAGAGTGGAGCTTTAGAGAAGCAAAGTTTTTGTATACCATTGAAACAAAGTTGGAATTAATCTGAACTACAACGTTATAAAATTAAGATGTAGCTGAGACTACAGGAGCGCACCACCACACTCGGCTAACTAAAAAAAATTTTTAGAGATAGGGTCTCACTATGTTGCCCAGGCTGGTCTCAAACTCCTGGCCTCAAGCAATCCTCCTTCCTTGGCCTCCCAAAGTACAGGGATTATAGGTATGCACCACTGCATCTGGCCACAAACATTTTGTTTTCTTACTGTTCATTTTTCAAGACAGGTTTTCACTCTGTTTCCCAGGCTGGAGTGCAGTGGAACAATCATGGCTCACTGCAGCACCGATCTCCTGGGCTCAAGTGATCCTCCTGCCTTAGCCACCTGAGTAGCTGTGACTACAGGCATGTGCCACCACGTTCAGCTAACTTTTAAATTTTTTTTGTAGAGATAAGCTCTCAGTATGTTGCCCTGGCTGGCCTTGAACTCCTGGGGTCAAGCAATCCTCCCACCGCAGCCTCCCAAAGTGCTAGGATGACAGGTGTGAGCCACTGCACTGCAAAAATACAGAAGACCAAATTATTAAAACTAGAAATGAGAGGGGACATTACTATTGTTCTTAGAGACATAAAAAGGATTATAATATGAATAAAAAGGATTATACATATAAACAATATATGCTAATAATTGGATAAGCTGGATGAAAGACACATTACCAGAAAGATATGAACTACTGAATCTGACTTGAGAAAAAAACAGAAAATCTGAATAGACAGACCTATGTCAAGTAAAGAGATTGAGGTAGTAATCAAAAAACTTTCCACTAAGAAAAGCTGAAGACCAGCAGGCAGCCTCACTGGTGAATCTACCAAATACTTAAAGAAGAATTAACACCAATCCTTCATAAAGTCTTTCAAAATACAGATGAGGAAAGAACATTTCCTAACTTATTCTATGAGGGTGATATTAACCTGGTATCCAAACTAAAGACATCACACACAAAAAATTACAGACCAGTATTTCTTATGAATGTAGATGGAAAAATGCTTGACAAAATCTGGCAAACCAAATTCAACGGAGTATTCTGTAAACATGAAGCAGATAATAATAGCATGATTCTCCAAACTGATCTATGGTTTCACTACAATTGTTGTTTTTTTGAGTGAAAAAGTTTTCATTTATTGGCTGGGCATGGTAGCTCATGCCTGTAATCCCAGCATTTTGGGAGGCTGAAGCAGGTGGATCATCTGAGGTTAGGAGTTCGAGAGCAGTCTGATAAACGTGCTGAAACCCCGTCTCCATTGGAGTCTCACTCTGTTGCCCAGGCTTGAGTGCAATGGCGTCACCTGAACATCTATGTGCAAAATAATGAAGGTGGACCCCCTACATCTCACACGATTATAAGAATTGATGCAAAATATGTCAAATACCTAAATGTAAGAGCCAAAACGATAAGACTCTTACACAAAAACATGGGAGTAAATTTCATGACCTTAAATTAGACAACAGTTTTTTCTTCTCCAAACTGGATTTTTTTTCTTTTAAAACAATTTTGTCTTTTGAATTTAATGAAGTATTACTAGCTGAAGGCAGCCTGACATGGTGACAAGAATGTCAGACAGATGAAAGGGACACAGCCTGATTTAAAACCAAACACTGAACCTTTTTAAAGAAGAATAAGACATTTTATACACACACATGACACCAAAAGCACAAACAACCAAAGGAAAAATAGATACATTAGATTTTATCAAAATTAAAAACTTTTGTGCATCAAAGGACACTGGCAAGAAAGTCACAGAACTCACAGGATGAGAGAAAATATTGGCAAATTATCTGTTAAGGTCTAATATCCAGAGTATCCAGAAGATATAAAGAAATTCCTATAATTCAATAAAAAGACAAATCAATTTTTTAAATGGGCAGAGGATGTGAATAAATATTTCTTCAAAGAAGATATATAAATGGCTCATATACACATAAAAATGTTGAATGTCTTAAATCATTAGGGAAATGTCCATCAAAAACTGCAGCGAGATACTACTTTACACTCACTGGGATGGCTATGAGAAGAGACAGACAACGACAGTGTTGACAAAGACCAGGAGAAATTGAAACCCTCAAACATTGCAGATGGAAGTGTAAAATGGAGCAGCCACTGTGGAAATCAGCCTGACAGGTCCTCAAAAAGTTAAACATAAGAGTTGCCATACGATCTAGCAATTCTGCTAGGGATGCACCCTAGAATTAAAAACATGTCCACGCAAAAAGTAGTACATGCATGTCCATAGCAGCATTATTCATAAAAGCCAAAATAAAGTAGAAACAACCACATGTCCACTAAGTGATGAATGGATGAACGGATATAGTGATGGCTCCATACAATGGAATATCACTCAGCCTTGCAAAGGAATGATCCATGCTGCAGCATGGGAGGACCTTAGAAACAACATGCTTCGTGAAAAGAAACTAGACACAAAAGGCCACATACTGTATGATTCGTTTATATGAAAGATCTAGAATAGGCAAATCCATAGGGACTCAAAGTAGATTAGTAGTTACCTGGGCCTGCGGGAAGACAGCACTGGGGAGTGATGGCTAATGGGTACCATGTTTTTTTGGGGGATGATGAAAATGTTCTGGGGTTAGATAATGGTGATTGTTTGCTATACAACCTTGAGAATATACTAACCACCACTGAATTGTACACTTTATAATACTGTGTTGATGGTATGTGGATCAAGTCTCAATGTAACACAAAGAAGCATGTTGTACTGTATAGAACACCAGGTGCCAGAAGACCAAACATGCTGGCAGATGGAAAAAAGAGGAGTGAAGATTCACTCTCCCTTGACCAAGATCAGAGTGAGTCAGTGGCGAGGCTGGGAGCCACACAGCTTGTCCTGCCTTGTGATCCCCCTCCTCTTCCTATTCCAGATGGTTTTTCAGTGCCATTAACTTGTTTTGTAACACTAATATTCAATAAGATGATGTTACAAAGAGAAAGAATGTGAGTGCCACATGACTGGTTAAGTATGGATTCTCAAACTAGGGCTTTAAATATCCTTCGTGATTTTTTTTTGGCATGAAAACTTGTAAGACCACTGGTGGGCTCTGTACAAAGTCGGCTACCCCTTCATTCTATATCTTCCTCTGCCCACTTTCCTCCCAGCTATTAAAAATGAATGTAGGCTGGGCACAGCATCTCAAGCCTGTAATCTCAGCACTTTGGGAGGCCAAAGCAGAAGGAGAGCTTGAGCCCAGGAGTTTGAGACCAGCCTGGGTAACAAAGTGAGACCCTGTTTCTATTTTTTTCTAAACACCAAAAATAATGACTGTAAGGCAGTATGTAGCCAAACAACTTAGCAAAGTTTGTTATCTTTCCTCCAAAATTCTCTCACTCTCCAACCTTCCCTCTTTCTTGATAGCTCATCCATAGCCTTGAGCTCAGCATTACCTCTGAACTAGGAAGCTCTTCTCCAGCTGACATTAGGATCTTTGCATTTGTCCCTAATGAAATCAAAATATAGGGCCATTCGATATTATCCTCTTTTCCTCCTGTTCTAAGGCATTCTTTTCTTGACTAAGGTTGTGCCTGGGCCATGGAGAGACTGAGTGGGAACTGGCTCAACGGCTCAAGTTTGAGGACTCTACAGCAACTCTTTTCCACAAACCAAATGATATGAATGTTTTTATTTATTTATATTTATGTTTCCACTTTTTAAAAGTCTTTTTGTAGAGATTGGGGTCTCACTTTGTTGCCCAGGCTGAACTTGAACTCCAGGGGCTCAAGCGATCTGCCTGTCTTGGCCTCCTAAAGTGCTGGGATTACAGGCATGAGCCAGCGCACCCAGCCTCGAGTGTTTTTAGATTCACAGTAGATGACCATTTCCATTTCTGGTTCAAGTCCTTCATTTTATACATTAAACTAAGGTGCACTGACTCCCAGTCCATCGCCTTTTTGGTATCTTTATGGAAGTAAAATGTGGCAAGCTTTTTTTCAGCCTCAAAGACTGTCTCAGAGTAAAAGTTTAAGAAGTACTGCTCTAAATAATTTTATTAAATATGCCTTATTAGATGAGGAAAACTGAAATATTTTTATACAAGCCTTTTGCTGTAGAACAATGGGACAGAATAAAGGTAGCTCACAAAATAAGGGAACATTTCTTGCCTGTTTTTTTTTTCCCTCCAAATTCTTCTGTACAGGTCCAGATAGATGAGCTATGTTTCCTTTCTATTAACTGAGGAGAGAGAGATGAAAGGACTGGAGCATGTCATCACTGTCTTAAATGTACTGAAATTCTAACAGCTCTAGCTGAAAAAATGTCCAAAGCAGGCCGTGAAAATAAATTTAAATGACAGACTCCAAAATGATCTATGCTAGAATCCCAAGGCTGTCAGGGAAAACTGGTTCCATGGAAGAAGGTAGTCAAAGAAATAAGCAGATGACCTAGACCCTCACCCAATATGCGCGATGTACTTGGGGAGAAAGTAACCTCTTTCCTTTATTCACCTACATAGGTTCGTGAGCCACACATCTCCCCACACCAAGCTCCTCCATACAAGACCTCGGACTGCATCAGGTAAATGCTTTTTCAGGGGCAAAATCTAGAGAATCTGAAACGGTGAGCCTTTTTTCTTTTCTTTCTTTCTTTTTTTTTTTTTTTTTTTTTTTTTGAGATGAAGTCTCACTCTGTTGCCCAGGCTGGAGTGCAGTGCAGTGGTGTGATCTTGGCTCACTGCAAACTCCACCTCCTGGAGTCAAGTGATTCTCCTGCCTCAGCCTTCAGAGTAGCTGGGATCATAGGTACCCGTCCCCATGCCTGGTTAATTTTTGTATTTTTAGTAGAGACAGGGTTTCACCATGTTGGCCAGGCTGGTCTCGAAATTCTGAGCTCAAGTGATGCACCCACCTTGGCCTCCCAAAGTGCTGGGATTACAGCATGAGCCACCATGCCCAGCTGTGAGCCTGTATCTTAATCAAAGTCCTGAGAATAACCTTGAAGAAGACTCCCTTGCAATGAGGAACAACAGAAGAAGCAAGGGACCTGGAATCTGGCAGACCTGGGTTTGAATTCTGGCTCTGTCACTTTCTGGTGAAGTGACTTGAGTAATGAACATGAGCCTTTCTGGGTAGCATTTACAGCACAAAGCAATTTGAGGAATAAATGAAAGAGCACGTGTCTAGTGCCTAGCAATGCGCTGGACACAGTGCCGGTGCTCAGCCATCATGTCACACCAGCACTGACCGGTGAGCATAAACCCTGGGGATGCCCAGAGCTGGTACAGCCAGGAGCTCCAGAAGCGTGGGATTCTCAGAGGGAAGTGGAGCTCACTGCTCTACAGGTCCTGTTCAAGTTAGAAAGTAAGATACAATGCACACAAAGCCAAATTGTCATCATTCAGCTCCTATTACAGGAGAACTAAGAGCTGCATTGAAAATTACTTGCAAAGCTTGTAAGTGGTTCTGCCACTTATTAGCCGTGTGAACCTTAGCAAATTACCTAGCGTCTCTGAGTTTCAACTTCCTCATCTGCAAAATAGAAATGATAATAATAACCGCATCGCAAGAGTTGTTGGAAAAATGAAAATGAGGTATCATAGGAGGTAACATGTATGGAGCATTTACCATAGGCCAAGCACTGTTCTAAGAACTTCGGACATGTTATCTCACTTGTATAAGTACTTAGGTGCCTACAACATAAACAGCACCTGGTAAATTAAGTATTGAAAAAATGCTATGGGGCAGAGGAAGAAATGCTAAGCTTCTGTGAGAAGAGAAGACAGCTTGTTACACAGGTGAAAAGAACAAGCTGCAGCTGAGAGAAGAAAAGTATAAGAGTTGCTAGGTGTGACAATCTCAAGACTTTTCAACCACTACAAATTTAAACAGCCACCCTAAATCACCCCAAAGGACAGACTCGAGTTGTTCTTTTTGTCTTTAATGTTTGCGCCTCTCCGAATCAGAGAAGAAGCTGCCAGGATTCCAGTACATACCAAAACATGATGACAATACCCTCAACTGTGCAAGCTTTTGTGCATCTACCGCTATGTAAAGGAAGCTGATGTCAGTAGACTGGGGGGAACAGTAAGGCATGTTTGTGACCGAAGCTCAATTTGCCATCACAGTGTGGCCACACCTACCTCACTAATATTCTAATAGTGGGATAAATAATTCAATAGGGATAAAGCCTGGATTTTCCTCTTATTCTCTCTTAGTGCTTACATTCTTGGCATGATATCGATATGCCATAGACAAGCCAATATGTGAGTGTACTCTATCTGAATAAAGTATAGCCTTTCTACATTGCAAAGTCATCCAGTTTCTAAAATTATTGTTAGAACCAATGAAGTGACTAAGAGAATTTTAAAAAATAAGCCATCAGTCTGGACCTGTGTATAGGAATGAAGGAGAAGCACTTTAAAGTCAGGGAAAAAATATAAACATACTTAACATTTAGGATTATCAACCATTGCTGCTTTTCCATAAACCATTTCATTCATGATTTCATCTGTAAGAGATATGATTATTGCCCCCATTCAGTGAGGGACTTTGATAGTTAGCCACCTGGTCCTTCTTGCTTGGATGCCCTGCAAATAAATGTCCTCCTTTCCCCAATGCAAAACCTCGATATGGTTGTTTGACTTTACTGCGCTTGGGCCAGCAGAATCCAGTTAAGTCCACGAATAAGCTCTTGGCCTGTCTTTGAGATGGATTTCAGATTCAAAATAGACTGACCCTATCACCCTGCTAATTTGGCCAGTCAGTATTTGTCAATAACATAGAGGCTTCATTCAAGAGATTTACTGGGTTGTAACTATTGGAACCCAGGGATGATTTCAGGATTTTGTGGGGCCTGAGCCTTATCTTGTAAAAACATTAAAAAAATTATGACTACAAAAATTTCCAGGGGCCCTCCCAGGACCTTGGAAGGGCCTGTGCAAGTGAGAAGCCTGGAAGGTTAGGCTCTATTCAATTCATCATCGATCAACCACAGCTGGGGCCTCTTTTTTTGTTTGTTTTTTACAAACTTGTGTAATGCAGGGAAATATATTGTTTCAACTTACAAACACCACAAAATGGTGTCATATTGGTCATAAAATTACTGGCACCTTCCCTTGGCATCTTGCCTTTGGAAGGAAATGCAGTGGGCCTATATGTCACATATGCCAAATATGACTGCAGTGTAGCTTTGTTTACCAGGAAGATTTGACTCCAAAGGAGCCCAGCCCCTAACATACACTTGGTGTGTTGAGACCCTTGTGCCAATCTTTGAAAGTAACTGTGACTTAGTTTGAAGGGTACAGCTCTATTCTGTTTATATGAAATGAGTGCTAGTTTCCAATATCAGCTAGCTCTGATTTTTTCATCACCATGAAGCAAATGCCTTTTTCTGTTGTTTAAGATGAACACAGAAACTCAAGATAAGCAAGTTAGTGTCTCTCAAGTCTTTCTTAACCCAGCCCCCATTCCTGCTTTGTCCTCTCCTTGTCACCCTGCCGTACAGATCCCCACATGGCTCTCATATGTTTTCCCATCAGCATCCGCTTCCTCCTTGAGGAATGAAAGTCCCCTGGGGACAAAGTCCTCATCTTGGTGTGTCTTTGAGATGGATTTTGTAGCCCCAGCACTTAGTACAGTACCTGGCACAAATGGACATGACACTCTGAATGTTTTTGAGTGAATTCATTAATTTTTATCAACTGTGATTCCAGTGTTTTCCTGGTGTTGCCTACATAATTGTTGTGAAGCTGGCTAGATGATGATGATGATGATGATGATGATGATGATTATTATTATATTATTATTATTATTTGAGACAGAGTCTCACTCTGTCCCTCAGGCTGGAGTGCAATGGTGCCATCTCGGCTCACTGCAACCTCCGCCTCCTGGTTTCAAGTGATTCTCCTGCCTCAGCCTCCTGAGTACCTAGGATTACAGTTGCCTGCCACCATGCCCAGCTAATTTTTGTATTTTTAGTAGAGACAGGTTTCACCATGTTGGTCAGGCTGGTCTTGAACTCCTGACCTCAGGTGATCCACCCACCTCAGCAAAGTGCTGGAATTACAGGCATGAGCCACCGCTCCCGGCCACCAGATTTTTATGAGGGACTCCCAGTTGTATAAAGTGCTTAGTAAAGATGGTGAGTTTAAAACATTTGTATTGATGCTACCTAAACCTCTTGGTGGAGGGACCTAATGAGCCTGTTCTCTGGTGTGAGGGCAAAAGAAAAACAGACCTTTAGTGTACTTTTCCTAAGTTATGCATCAGCAAATTAATGAGGACAGAGGGGAGCATGTGCAGAAACTGCTGCTCTAGTCCAGACACATCCTGAATGCCTCCCTCTAACTTGAAATGAACTGTGTGAAACTAGATTTCTGAACCACAAGGCAGGTGGAACGTCTTTTCTAAAGTCAGATGTAGAGGAGAATCTTCACCTTGAGTCCCCTTCAGGCCACTGAATATACCCACTCTGATTTGATGGGTATGTTATACAGAGAAAGCATAGAATTTTTGCAATTATGGTAGAAGAGTAGTCAGGAAAGTATATGGAATTAAGATACAGCGATATATTTTCTTTACAAAAGTTTTTTTTTGCACAATAGCTTAACATAAACACCATCTTGGCCAGGCATGGTGGCTCACACCTGTAACCCCAGCACTTTGGGAGGCTGAGGTGGGCGGATCACCTGAGGTCACAGGAGTTCGAGACCAGCCTGGAGGGGAGGTTGGAGGGTAGTGGCACAATCTCGGCTCACTGCAACTTCCCCCTCCCGGGTTCAAGCCATTCTCGTGCCTCAGCCTCCCGATAGCTAGGATCACAGGTGCCCGCCACCATGACCTGCTAATTTTTGTATTTTTAGTAGAGATGAGGTTTTGCCATGTTGGCCAGGCTGGTCTCAAACTCCTGACCTCCAGTGATCCTCCCACCTTGGCCTCCCAAGGTGCTGGGATTACAGGCATGAGCCACCATTCTGGCCCTACAACTTTGGATTTGATTCCTGCTCATATGCAGAGTTTCTAACTGCTTAAATGTCTGCAACATTTAGCTGCAAGGAAGGAAGCTTAACACAAAGTCCTCCAGGGAGCAAAAAACTGCACCACCACGCCCAGATTTTTTTTTTGTATTTATAGTAGGGACAGGGTTTCACTATGTTGGCCAGGCTGGTGTTGAATTCCTGACCTCGGGTGATCCACCCACCTCGGCTCCCAAAGTTCTGGGATTACAGGTCTGAGCCACCCCGCCCAGCAACAAGGCTAATTTGAGGGTCACTTCTTTGATGCCTTTTCTTGCCCATGCTATAGGTCAGAACTAGGACAAGCAGAGGAGGTCATATATAAGCTACGTAAGTCTCTTGGCCTCTTTGTACCTTAGCTTCCCCATTTGAGAAAAATGAATGGATCTTAAGACATGCTTTTCAGAGTTGATAATGGGCTTATACCCAGCTACCCAATAATTGTATGAGTTTTTGTACATAAATAGTTGTTTACATGTATTCATCTTCTATTTCACTTACAACTTATGTAAAAACTGCATTCCGTGCCAGGCCTGAAATGTTCCAAAGCTGAGTTCTGTAATTACATTGCAACTAAGATTTCTAAAAAAAAAAGACACAAGCCAAAGAAAAAAAAAATTATTTCAGAACATTTATCATTTGCCATGATTCTAATTTATATAGGATGGAACATAACCTCAATCCTTTCTCTATGCACTAAGGAAATCTGACTGTGGAAGATACTGGCTTATGATTTATACTTTAACACTGCACATGTGGTGCATTAGATACAAAACAGTGAATGCTCAGTAAATACCTGTGTTAAGTGATCTTTATTTCTCTAGAACAGGATTTCACAACTTCAGTGCCATCAACATTTTGGACTATATAACTCTTTGCCATGGGGGTTTGTCTTATACCTTGAAGGATGTTTAGCAGCATCTCTGGCCTTTGCCCACCAGATGCCAGGAGCACACTCACAGTTTTGTCAACCAAAACTGTCTCCGGACATTACCAAATGCCACCTGAGTGCAAAATCACACCACCTGAGAACCACTGCTCTCTGATGATTCACTAAGATCTGTGTAATAATTCTCACAATAATCCTTGCTAGAGACAAAAAGGATTTGCTGTATAATTTTAGTAGCTTTCTACTGGTAAAATTTTAATCATATTTCAAGAATAGCAAAAAGGTTTATAATTAAGTTTTATAAAAATTCCAAATGTAATCAAGTTATATTTGTAACTTACATAAACTTCAAAAATGGTAGTGGTTCAAATGTATGTCTTTCAATAGACTGTATTTTATTGCAGGATAAATCTCTAGGAAAACGAAAATATTGCCTTGATTAGTTATTAAATGTCAATTGGTATGAATAACAGCAAGAGTTTAGAATAATACTGAATACCTGTTTTTCATCTCAACTCTAAACGTTTGGACTTGTATTTGAACATTCCAGAGCCCCTAACCCTGCCCATACCTCTCCTAGAGTCTCACCTTCATGGTTTTAATAAATATACAACATAATAGACTTTGGAATTAATTTTTCCTGAGAGCAGTAGACTTGATTAGATGCCCTTTTGTAGTGTCATCAAATCTTAGATTATGAGCTCAAAGATTTTATCTCTATATACACAATTTCTAATATTAAAAAAAATAGTCGGGCCGGGTGCGGTGGCTCAGGCCTGTAATCCAGCACTTTCGGAGGCCGAGGCTGGCGGATCCTGAGGTCAGGATATCGAGACCATCCTGGCTAACACGGTGAAACCCTGTCTCTACAAAAAAAATAAAAAATTAGCCGGGCCTAGTGGCACGTGCCTGTAGTTCTAGCTGCTCAGGAGGCTGAGGCAGGAGAATGGCATGAACCCAGGAGGCGGACCTTGCAGTGAGCCAAGATTGCACCACTGCACTCCAGCCTGGGCGACAGAGCGAGAGTCCGTCTCAAACAAACAAACAAACAAACAAACAAACAAGTCTCACATTTCTACACCTTCTTAGTTTAGGTCTGTTTTCCTAAGTCACTTCAATATCAGAAGAAATAAAAGACATCCTTTCACATCATTTGAAAGGAAGCTACCCCTTTACCTAATACATAACTTTGAACTAATTCAAATCATATTAATAGAATTAATTTCTATCATATTAATAGAAATTCATTTTTGGTTTTGTATTGCTTTAATATTTCATAAAAAAAAATTTCTTCAGTTATACAGTGATGGAGTTTGTCCCTCCCTCTTTACCTGGATGGTGTAACGTTGTCTGGCTGATGTCTCCATCTCTAGTCTCTCCCTACCTAAACTATCCTGCACACAGTCATCATATAAACTCTCCAGAAGTGGCTTGCAAAGACCAGCATCTCCTGGGAAATTACTGAAGATGCAAATTCTTGGTCCCACTCTAGACCAACTGAATCAGTAACTACGAGGGTGGAGTCCAGAACTGAGTTCTAACGTGCCCTCTCAATGACTGTGATGCAGATCTACCTTACAGCGCTGCTGTGGTAACACGGTTCCCCATGTTGGCTCCTCAGCTTGGCATTCAAAGCTCTAGAAGATCTGGCTCCATTTTCCTACTCTCCCTTCTTGTACTCTACGGGTACTCATGGCATTCCTTGAATACTTTCCTGTGTTTTGCCCTCCCATTTTCCTTTTGCAAGTTTAGAGTATTTTCCCCAAGATGTCTGTCTGGTGTTACACAATGGCCCTTTAAAGTCCTATTCAAATGGCATTGTTCTAGTAACATCCTCCTGGGTCCAAATTGAAGGCATTTTTTCCTCTTCTATGTTCGAGAAACAATTTATCCCTCCTAGTGCCCACATCCATTTCTTCTTCTTAATGTAGTTATTTTTTATCCCATTTCTTCTGAGCATAAACTCCCTGAAAGCATGGACTAGGTCTTGCTCATCTGCATTGCCCACCATGTTTAAAACTGACACATGGAAATAAAGCAAACTCAAATATTTGTAAAATAAATGAATAGCTGGGGGAGTGAGTAGAAGGAAAATAACTATTTTAAAGGAAATGTAGTTTTATTATTTCATGGTCTCTGTAGCACTTTGGCATCCACCTGAGGGTCTTTACACCCACTTTCCTTAAGCCTTCTATATTTGAAAGAATCTGTTTGCAAAAGAGCATCACTAATGAGCTTAATAAGGATTAATGACATACAGACCTCTATGGACAAAGGGTAAGAATCAAGCTTTCATAGCAATGAACATAGTATCTTCTTGTCTCTAAACAGACAGAAATACAGGGATCCCTTTCTGGTAACAGGGCTGGGGCGATCGTTATTTTGTAATTAGTGAAGAGTTAGGGGCATTTCTGATGTGCTTCTTAGTGTAAACATTTCTAGCTCTACCAGTTAACCATCATTTTAAACATCTGTTTTAATATAACAATTCCTGAAATGAAATCCTTAATACCAGTCTATTCTCTTGGTAGCTTAATATTCTTGATAATATTATTGATATAATTCAGCTATTTTTAATATTTAAATGTTAATTTAATTCCGATTAAATTACCAAAAAATTCTGGATTAATGATGTTCAAATGAATGCAGGTGGTCTCCATTTTCTTCTCCTTTAGGCAACCATCTGAAGTTAACTTTAGTTCCTTTCATCCTACTAAACCAACTTTTTGAAATTTTTTTTGGTGAAGGTCAGACAGTAAATATTTTAGGTTTTATGGGCCACATATGATCTCTCGCATATTTCTTTGTTTCTTTTCTTTTTCTTTCACAGTCCCTTTAAAAATGCAAAACCCATTCTTAACTTAATGGGCTATTTAAAAATAGACCATAAATTAGATTGGATCTATTGGTTGTAGACTGAATAGAAAAATAATGATATGTGAACCCTTATAAAACAAGGTTCATATGGGTGTCAGTCACTGCTCAGATTTTCTTACCATGTGAAATGTTTTTGTCTGTATTTTGTCTATACAACTTAAAAACTGAAAATGCACAGGAGGTAGCTAGTGCTAGAGATGGGCTGAGACCCTATACAAACTTACAGAATTGCAGAATTTTATTGCTCAAAGAAATCTGAGAGATTATCTAATTTGAACCCCTTATTCATTTTACAGATAATATGACTAAAAACTCATAAATATAATTAACTAACTTACAAATACTGGAGGGATAGCAGGCCTTCAAATGAATCCTTGTGTAATTCAGTCAAGTTATTTTCTCTGAGAATTCTGGAAAATGAAGAAGTTATTTCTAGATTAAAATGCAAACTACAACTATTTGCTACACAGAACCATCTCCTGCATGTGGAGGAAAGCTGGGTCATGGTCACTTCAAGATGGTGGGATCTGCTCTGCTTTCATTCAAACCTTTTCTTATATTTTCCTTTTTGTGTCCATCTCTCTCCACCACCACCACAAACACACACACACACACTCAAGCACACCCCTTGAAGAGTGGGTTTCTTCCCACCAAATTCTATTATTTCATGCCTCCTCTCTAGATCACAAAATCCCTTTTAGAATCCAACTCTGGGTGGCACCAAGATCAGCAGAACCTCCATTTCCTCCTCTCTTTTCCCAAACCTTATTATGAAAGCCCCACATGGAACCATGTCAGGGCTGCAAGTGAAGCCATTCAACCTTTTTCCCCCCATCAAAAAAACTGGAGAACTATAATGTGCATAAAGTGCACATAACATAAATGTTGTTTATATTTAATTTAATTTAATTTTTGAGACAGGGTCTCACTCTGTTCCCAGACTGGTCTCAAACTCCTGGCTCAAGTGATCCTCCTGTGTCTGCTTCCCAAAGTGCTGTGACTGCAGACATGAGCCACCTCACCTGGCCAAAATATTCAGTTTAATAATTATGAAGCAGATACCCATGTAAACATCGTTACAAAAGATCATTGCTAGCATGCCAGAAGCCCCAGTGTGCCCCTTTCCAATCATATCCCTCTCTCTAACCCTAATAGGTAACCACTATCCTGACCTTTGTAATAATTTTCTTGTTTTTAAAATGTAGTTCTGGCCTGGCGTGGTGGCTCATGCCTGTAATCCCAGCACTCTGGAAAGCCAAGGTGGGTGAATCACCCACGGTCATGAGTTTGAGACCAGCCTGGCCAACATGGTGAAACCCTGTCTCTACTAAAAATATAAAAATTAGCTGGGTGTGATGGAGGGCACCTGTAATTCCAGCTACCCAGGAGGCTGAGGCAGGAGAATCCCTTGAACCCGGGAGGTGGAGGTTGCAGTGAGCCAAGATCGCACCATTGCACTCCAGCCTGGGCAACAAGAACAAAATTCCATCTGAAAAAATAAATAAAGCAATTCTCCTGCCTCAGCTTCCCAAGTAGATGGGATTACAGGCACCCACCACCACGCCTGGCTACTTTTTGTATTTTTAGTAGAGATGGGGTTTCGCCCTATCGGCCAGGCTGGTCTCAAACTCCTGACCTCAGGTGATCCGCCTACCTCCCAAGGTGCTGGGATTAAAGGCGTGAGCCACCGCGCCTAGCATATGTTTATTTTTAATTTAGAACTCATCGTGGCTTGTCTATATACATTGAAATAATGATGTGACACACAAACTGTTGTGAAAAATGTCAGTTACTTTGAATGTAAGCATTTTTTCCAAAATCACTTATGTGTCTAAACCAATTCCTTCTATAAATCAGTAAGAAAATGATAAAACAATTCAACAGGAAAATGAACAAAGGCCAGAAAACTCAGAGAAGAAACACAAATGTTCAATAAACATATAAAGATACTAAATTAAATTCATGAGTAATCAGAAAAATTCACATTTAGATGGAATCCCTTTTATTCATCCATAACTTCAGCAAAAAGTTGGAGAATACCCAGCGGTGAAAAGGTGTTGGGAAATGAATGCTGTCATATTCTGCTGACAATAGAGTAAGTTGGCACAAAATTTTTGAAGGCAATTAAAATTTTATATCTACATAGTCTTCACCCCAAGAATTCCATTTCCAGATATCTATGCTACAGGAATACTTGCACATGTTCACAAAGAAGCATGTACAGGGATTTCATTGCAGCAATGCATGTAACAAGAAAACTAAGCATAATCTAAACATTCATCAATGGGGGAATTATTAAATAAACCATGATGCATCCATACTATGGATTATGCAGGAGTTTAAATGAATGGGGTGACCCTCTCAGTACTGGGAAGGAAAGAAATCTAAGGCATATCATGAAGTGAAAGAATCAAGTTGCAAGATGTTACCCTTTATGCGAAGAAAAAATTTTAAAACCACAAAACAAATCTATTTTGCTTTATGTAAATATGTATGTAGGTAAATGAGGAAAAGTCTGGAAGCATGTATACTAAATGCAGAGTAGCATTACTTCAGGGATGAGGGAGTAGGGCACAAGGAGAGTTTTTGTTATATCTGTTATTGCATTTTTATATATTAAAAATGGAATCATGGGCTGCGGGTGGTGGCTCATGCCTGTCATATGAACACTTTAAGAGGCCAAGGTGGGAGGATCACTTGAGCCCAGGAGTTCAAGACCAGCCTAAGCAGCATAGGAAGACCCTGTCTCTACAAAAAATACAAAATTAGGTGGGTGTGGTGGCATGCACCTGTGGTCCCAGCTACTGGGGAGGCTGAGGTGAGAGGATCACTTGGGCCTGGGAGGTGAAGGCTGCAGTGAGCTGTGATTGTGCCACTGCACTGCAGCCCAGAGGACAAAGTAAGACCCTGTCTCTGAAAAAAAAAAAAAAAAAAAAAAAAAGAGAACAAAAAGGAATATAACCATGTACTATTTGTATGATAAAAAATAAATTTAAATTGCCTCCTATTTTAAAGAGAGCCTACCAAATTTAATTTTAAAATAACCATACAATTGCAATCAACAGTGGTTGATTTGGGGCATGGAGGAGAAATATCTTTCCTCAGAGGTACCGACCTCAAAATTCTGGACCAAGAAGGATCTTACAATGCAGTTAGCTTTTTGTCATATTTGGAGAGAATATACTCACAGTTTCTCGGTCCAACTGTATGCTTTCCATACATTTCCATCAATGTAAGAAATATAGTTTCCTTGGAAATTTCTGTGAAGAAACACAGTTTATATCCTTGAATAGGTAGGAAAACAATGAACACGATAAGTAAAAGAATCATTGCAACCTTGTTGGGGATATTCAGAAACAGAAAATAACACCTGCTTTCTCATTTCCAGAGCTATCAGCTTCCCAGTTTGCACAATTCATCAAGAAATTATGCGGGGTCACTGGCACAAATGATGAGGCATCTCCTGGAAGCTTAACTTCTTATCCATCCCATCTCTTGGACAGATGATGCCAGTTAATTACTTTGAATGTAAGTATTTTATCTAAAAGCACTTATGTGTCTAAACAGACTTCTACAAATCAGTACCAAAATGGTAAATAATTCCACAGAAATATGGGCAAAAGCTTATCATTATCAACAAATGAGAAGAAAGAAACCCTATGCCAGGTAACACCAAAGCTTTGGCCCAGTGCCCTCTGTTGAAACATCCTAGGCTTTTTCTTTCCACTCCTATTACAACTGATCTGATTTGGCCCCTTCACACCTCACTCCTAGATTTTGCTAGACCTTTCTATTTTGTCTCCCTGAATTAAGCTTTTCCTTTTGGACACTTTACATATGGATTCTAAAACAATCCTCTGCATGTCTACACTTGCACATAATGCAAAAAACAAAATAAAATAATCTTCCTGTTTTGATCATGTAATCTCTCTTGCTTGGAAACTTTCAATGGCTTTCCATACCTCATTGTGTAACTTTCAAACTCCTGTAGCTGATAATCAAGGTTTTACAGAATCGTATCTTCATTGCTCCCTCACCTAATTCTTTGTAGCCACATTGGTCTACTAAATTCCAACCATACCTGTAGCCATGCGTTTGCCTAGACTGTACTCCCATTTTTCTCCTATTTAACAAATTATGGCTACTCTTTAAGACCCAAGTAAAGTTTTAGCTTACCCATGTAGCATCTCCACACCTCAAGGATCACAGATTCTGGCAAATTCTAGCACCAATGGTCTGCATTATCTTTTAGTACTTAATTATATATACCTCCCTTTTTATGCCTATTCTCTTTCTTCCCTCCTATCATTTTTTTTTTTTTTTTTTTTTTGAGATGGAGTCTTGCTCTGTCGCCCAGGCTGGAGTGCAGTGGTGCAATCTCGGCTCACTGCAAGCTCTGCCTCCCAGGTTCACGCCATTCTCCTGCCTCAGCCTCCCGAGTAGCTGGGACTCCAGGCACCCACCACCATGCCTGGCTAATTTTTTTCTGTATTTTTAGTAGAGATGGGGTTTCACCATGTTAGCCAGGATGGTCTTGATCTCCTGACCTCATGATCCGCCCGCCTCGGCCTCCCAAAGTGCTGGGATTACAGGCGTGAGCCACCACACCCAGCCTCTTCCCTCCTATCATTTTCGTGTTCTGGAGACAGTAGCATACTTGGCCCTGGGTTTGACATAAAACTAGTTCTACATATAGAAAGCTAGGGACAAAAATGAGTTCTGGACAAAACTAAAGGACTGAATAATCATGTGAACAGCCAACTCTCCTACATATGCTAAGCACTGATGAAGTGTTTCATATATTCACTCACCTAAATTTCACAACAATCCTATGAAATGCTAACTAGCATGATCCCCAGTTTAAAGGTGAGGAAATTGAGTCACAGGCAGAATAACTTGCTCTGGGTCACCAAGCTAATAAATAGATCTGGGTTCAAACCCAGGCAGCCTGGCTCCGGAATCAACTCTTAACCACTTAGAGCATCATCAC
The DNA here is from genome assembly GCF_000001405.40 of Homo sapiens. Lineage (NCBI taxonomy): Eukaryota > Metazoa > Chordata > Mammalia > Primates > Hominidae > Homo > Homo sapiens. The sequence goes on along the minus strand of NT_167251.2, from coordinate 1,501,726 downwards.
TGAGATCGGGAGAGGGACAGGCTGCTGTAAAGAGGGTGAAGCGAAAATGGGAGGAGAGCAGCGGTTAAGCAATGATGTGATGGGGCTAAATAAAAATGGATACAAAAACGAGTAAAAGACCAGAGTAAAAGGAAAAGACTGGAGAAGGGGACTAACATTAAAAGAGAATGAGGAGAAGGGAGAGTTGACAAGCAAAGGTGAAAGCAGAAAGTCAGCTGTCCATATGGCTTGGGGAGATAAAGAAGGCCCAGGAAGGCCTCCAGGAAAAGGCTGCCATGTCAGGCAGGACACAGAGGACAATTGAGGAAAAGTGATTCTTACAAGATGGTGAAGGTGCCATTGTGGGTGTTGGGCTCTGGCACAGGCACTTGGCGGAGCCTCTGCTCTGGGTTGAGATCAATACATGACAACATCTCATCTCCGCAGGTACAGAGCTCACATATGTTGGTGCTTGTGGAGGCCTTGTGTTCCTCTGGTGCAGTTAAAGCCTTATTTTGGGTGTAACTTTCAGACTGCACCAGTGAATCCTGAGCAGGTTCTAGTTCAGTAGGTGGACCTGTGACTTCAGTCAGGCTTCGATGCAGAGTCTGAACCCGGTCTGGACGAGGAGCTGTAGTCTTCTCCAGGGCTGTAGAATGTCCAGTCTCTGTAGTGGGTTCTGGAATGATGGCAAGTCCCAGGTCTGGAGGCTGAGTTGAGGTCTCCTCCGTGGTTGGAGATGGTTTAACCTCTGTAGTAGGTTTTGTAGTTATGGTAAGCTCCAGGTCCAGAGGTTGAACGGTGGCTTGAGTCAGGTGTGAATGCTGAGCCTGACCCTTGTCTGAAGGTGGAAGTGTCACCTCAGGGTGTCCTGGAGGAGGAGCTGTAGTCATCAGGGCTGTAGAAGGTTCAACCTCTGTCATGGATTTTGGAGTGATGGTAAACCCCAGGTCCAAAGGTTGAACTGTGGCTCGAGTCAGGTGTGAATGCTGAGTCTGAACCTGGTCTGGATGTGGAAGTGTCACCTCAGGATGCTTTGGAGAAACTATAGTCCTCTTCGGGGGTGTAGAATGTCCAACCTCCGTAGTAGGTTCTGGAGTGATGGTAAGTCCCAGGTCCAAAAGTTGAACTGTAACGCTGGGTGACACTGGATGCTGAGCTTGATCCTGACCTGGTGTTGGATTTGTTACCCCTTGATATACTCGAAGTTGGGGTACAACTTTCTTAGGAGGCTGAGTTGGGGTCTCCTTCATGGTTGGAGAAAGTTCAACCTCTGTCTTGGATTCTGGAGTGATGGTAAACCCCAGATCCAAAGGTTGAACTGTGGCTTGAGTCAGGTGTGAATGCTCTGGAGGTTGAGCTACAACTACATTAGGGAACTCTGGAGTCTGAGCTGGGGCCTCCTGATGGGTTAGGGAAGACTCACCCTCCTCAGCGGTCTGTGGATGCTCAGCTGCAGCCTCCTGCTGGGTTGGAGAGGGGTTCTCATTATTAATAGGTTCCGGAGATTGAAATGAAGTCTCCTGTTGAACTGCTAAAGGTCCAGCTTCTTCTGATGACTCTGGAAGCAGAGGTGGGCCCCCGTGCTGGATGGCGGGAGGTTCTACATCATTACCTGACCCTGAGAGCCGAGTTGTAGCCTCCTGGTGGACTAGAGAAGTTCCCACCTCTGCACTAGGCTCTGCTGCTATGGTGAGCTGCACGTCTGGAGGCTTCACAGAGACACTGGGTGAAGCTAAATGATGAGTTTGATGGTGACCTGGAGGTGAAACTGTGACTTCATGATGTTCTGGAGGCTGACCTGGGGTCTCCTGCTGGGTCGGAGAAGATTCGACCTCCCTAGGAGACTCAGAAGGCTGAACTGGCTGCTGCTGCTCACTGATGGAAAGTTCATGCTCCATAGGAGGAACTGGAGGCTCAATTGGGGCCTCCTGTTGGGTTGCAGAAGGTTCCACCTCCTCTGGAAACTGAATTGGGGTCTCCTGCTGGGCTTGGGAAGATTCTGTCTCATTGGTAGGCTCTGAAGTTATGGTAACCTCCACATCTGCAGGTTTAACTGTAATGTTGGGCAAGTGATAATAAGCTTGATCCTCACCTGGAGGTTGAACTGACACCTCATGATTCGGTAGAGTTAGACTCTCCATAGAGGACTCTGGAGGCAGAGCTGGGGCCTCCTGCTGCATTGAAGAAGGTTCTTCCTCAAGGAGCTGTGGAAGCTGTGCTGGGGCTTCTTGCTGGAGTGAAGAGGACTGGATGTCTTCAAGGGTCTCTGGATTTTGAGTTTCGGGCTCTAGATGGAATTGAGAAGGTCCAACTTGCTCAGAGGGCCCTGGAGGCTCATCTGACTTCACCCGGAGTTCTGGAGGCAGGCTACCGGGATACGGTGTATCTGTACTGGAATATTCATTCTGCAAAGTCTGTTTCTGACTCTGAGGTGTGGATAATTGGCGTATAATTCCAATAATCTCAGCAAGGCTCCAACGCTGAGCTGGATCTTTCTTCAGCTTCTTGGGCGAAACAGGGAGCCTTTCCTGTGGACTCAGCTTGTCCTTTAAATCCTGCTGTGAAGCCAAGAACTGCTCTGGCTCCAGGGGCAGCTCTCCAGCTGAATCCCAGGTGTCCAGGAATGGAACCAAATTTTCAGTCGATTCCTGGGGTGGGGCTGGCATCTCTGAGGAAGCAGAGGGCCCCAGGTGATCAAAGTCCCACGGGTCTGCTGGGAGAGTAGGCGCATGGGGAGATTCCCGTGGGAAATGGGAGGAGTGGGAAGACCAGGGCTCAGGCGGCCCCAGGGGGTTAGAGGTCAGCTGGAGCGGGTCCTTGACCCACTCCAGAGGCTGAGCCTCCTTGACTAGTAGCCACAATAGTTGCCACATAAGGAGGGGCCATGGGCCCCAGAAACGCAGCGGGGACATGACACACGCTAGTGCCGGGCACTGAGCGGAAGTCATTCTGGCAGCTCCGAGACGCTCGTGCCCCTTGTAAGCGTGAGTCCCGCCCTGTCTTTATGACACCTTTATTTATGCCACAGATCTGCTCCATGTCACCAGGGCACTCATGTCACAATCCCGCCCAAGCACGCCTTCCCATCCTGCCCTGCCGGAGCACCCCTCTCCTCCCCTTAGTGAGGAAGGATTTGGGCCTCAGATCCTGGTGGTCCCAGGACTCCAGCGCCTGCTGTGGTGGGGTAGGGTGGGGTAGGGTGGGATGGGGGCGCGGCAGAGCTTCCCAAGGAAGTCACCGGACCTCGCCTCAGGATATTCAGAAGTGCTAGTTCAGTTCTGGCAGCCTTCCTCCTTTAAGGTGAAATCCGAGAACACTCTTCCTTCCAGGGAGAGCAACTGACCTGCAAAATGGGCGCCAGGATGTACATTACAGTCATTTATTCCAAAGTGTTGCCATTTTCGCTAAACTGTCGCATGTTTGATAATTAATTCACCACCCTATTAGGTAGGGGCTGCCAGGGAATAAGCGAGGACTCCAAATTTTCTGTAGGAGGGGTGTTGGGAGTTGGCAATTCGGTCTGGGAGAGAAGGTTTTAATCCGAGTGAAGAGCCCTTTGCACTAGCCTGGGAGGAGGCTGAACTGTCATCCTGCCTTGACTCAACACAGCCATTCCCCTAGAAGTTACAGCACTTCTAGGGTCACCTGTGTTCAGAGATCTACCCTGTGTGCACACATGGAGAAGAGGCTTAGGTTGTTAAAGTCAGCATGTTAAATCATTTCCTGAAATGCGACTGTAACTAGAACCCAGCTGACTTCCCCCACAGCCGTTCTTACCTATTTTATTACTGTCTGGCATAATTACCAGCATGTAAACTCCAAGAAGGTGCTTCATCTTATTTTAGTGCCTGGCATAGACATAGGGTGCATAGTGATGGCTTTAAAATTGAAGGGGGGCCGGGTGTGGTGGCTCACACCCATAATCCCAGAACTTTGGGAGGCCGAGGTGGGGGGATCACTGAGGTCAGAAGTTCGAGACCAGCCTGACCAACATGGTGAAACTCCGTCTCTACTAAAAATACAAAATTAGCCAGGTGTGGTGGTGCATACCTGCAATCCCAGCTACTCAGGAGGCCAAAGCAGGAGAATCGCTTGAACCTGGGAGGCAGAGGTTGCAGTGAGCCGAGATCACAACATTGCACTTCAGCCTGGGCAACAAGAGAGAAACTCCATCTCAAAAAAATAAAATAAAATAAAATGGAAGAGATTCCAAGATTCACCTCATTTAGGGATGGAGCTATTGTTATAATCAGATTTCTGAAATGAGTGCTGACTTCCTCTCACATTTCACAGGAAGCTAGACTTCTTAAAGCTTGAAGTCTCCTTGGTGGGTTTTATTTAAATTGAATTAAAATAATTATTTTACAGGGAAAAATTTCAAAACACTTTGCAACTTTGGGGTAAAAGTTAAATAAAACACTGTAGCCCCAAGTTAAGTTCCCACTGAAATGATACTTTTGCTCCTTTTTTTAAAAAAAATTCCATAAATAGTAAATAATGACTGTTTTGAGATTAATTTAGAAACAATCCCTATTTAAGAGCTTTCATATGCAGTCATGCATTGCTTCCCACGTGAGGAGCTTGAGAAATGGGTCACTAGGTGATTTCACCATTGTGCTAATATCATAGCGTATACTTACACAAACCTAGGTGGTGTAGCCACCATACCTAGGGTACACGGTATGGCTTAGGACTCCTAGGCTACAAACCTGTACTGTATGTTACTGTACTGAATACTAAAGGCAACTGTCACAGAATGGCAGGTATTTGTGTATGTAAACATGGAAAATATATAGTTAAAATACTGTGTAAAAGATAAAAATGGGGCCTGGGCACAGTGGCTCATGCCTGTAATCCCAGCACTTTGGGACGCCAAGGTGGGTGGATCACTTGAGCTCAGGAGTTCAAGACCAGCCTGGCCAACATGATGAAACCCCATCTCTACTAAAAATACAAAAATTAGCTGAGTGTGGTGACGCGTGTCTATAATCCCAGCTACTCAGGAGGCTGAGGTAGGAGAATCACTTGAACCTGGGAGGTGGAGGTTGCAATGAGCTGGGATCATACCACTGCACTCCAGCCTGGACAACAGAGTGAGACTCCATCTCAAAAAAAAAAAAAAAAAAAAGATAAAAATGGTATACCTATATAGGGATAGCTCCATTATACGCTTACGGAACCACCATCATATATGTGGTCTACTGTTGACCCAAACTTCATTTTGCAGCACATGATTGTAAATGATTGACAGAAAGATCTTCAGCAAAATATTCCACCCAAGATACGTGGGAGATATTGAGATCCAAGCAATAAGCCATATTTGAAAGGCATTATAGTTTTCAAAAGCTGTAGCGCAATCATTCTTAAGGCCAGTTACCTTCTCCCCACATCTCTGGGATCCTGTTTGAAGGGAGTTCTAACAAGGCCTGTGTTCGAGCAGCCCAGCATCCCTTACTCCTGGAGCGGGGGGAGACTAACCCCTCTCCTGTGTCCACAACTGTAGTAATACAATCCTCGGTTCTGCTCTCCAAACTTCAAATAAGGGGTCAGAGCCAAGGGTTAAGACTTTAGGAAAAGCCCCGGAAATACCCTGCACTCAAAAAGCAGTTTCAGAGTTTCACATTTTCCTGAGAATTAAACAAATTATCCTCCAAATTCTGCTGCTTGTTTTGAATTATGGTTATACTGGCAATGTTATCCAACCCTTGAGTTGTTTTTCTTTTCTTTTTTTTTTTTTCCTCGAGAGAGTGTCTTGCTCTGTCACCCAGGCTGGAATGCAGTGGCATGATCTCGGCTCACTGCAACCTCCGCCTCCTGGGTTCAAGTGGTTTTCATGCCTCAGTTTCCCAAGTAGCTGGGATTACAGGTGCCCACCACCACACCCAGCCAATTTTTGTATTTTTAGTAGAGACAGGGTTTCACCATATTGGCCAGGCTGGTCTTGAACTCCTGACCTCATGATCCACCCACCTCGGCCTCCCAAAGTGCTGGGATTACAGGTGTGAGCCACAGCGCCTGGCCTGTTTGTTTTTTGAGATAGAGTTTCACTCTTGTTGCCCAGGCTGGAGTGCAATGGTGTGATCTTGGCTTACCGGAACCTCCGCTTCCCGGGTCCAAGCGATTCTCCTGCCTCAGCCTCCCGAGTAGCTGGGATTACAGGCATGTGCCACCATTTCTCCATGTTGGTCAGTCTGATCTTGAACTCCTGACCTCAGGTGATCCACCCGCCTCAGCCTCCCAAAGCACTGGCATTACAGGTGTGAGCCACTGTGCCCGGCCCTGTTACCTTTGAGTTTTTATCTCCACATACTTATATTAAACCGTGTAGTTCTTCTTCCCATCTGACATCTACAATCTCTTCACTGGGTCTGTACTCCATAGCTATTTTACCACTTTCTGAAATAAAGTTAGCAAGGATGAATTCAGAATCTTTTTCATTCCAAAACTTCCTGCATATAATGGTAGCAACCCACAATGAGACATTCTTTTAGTTTCTAAAAGCAGGAAATAAGCATTTTCCTGAAAGTTTCCTCATCTCTTCATCATACACTTCGATTTTTGTTTTTCTTTTTTCTTTTAGACAGGGTCTCACTCTGTCACCCAGGCTGGAGTACAGTGGCACTATCATAGCTCACTGTAGCCTGGAATTCCTGGGCTCAAGTCATCCTCCTGCTTCAGCCTCCAGAGTAGCAGGCACTATATCACTGTGCCCGTCTAATTCTCTTTTTTAGAGACATGGTCCCGCTTTGTTTTCCAGGCTGGTCTCGAACTCCTGGCTTGAAGTGATCCTTCTGTCTTGGCCTCCCGAAATGCTGAGATTTCAAGCGTGAGTCATCATGTCTGGTCTCACAGCTCAGTTTTTAACATATGTATGAAATATCAACTGTGTTTGGTTCAAAGGACTTTATGATCTTACAGATAGGAACTAAGGAATAATAACGTAAGAAATAAAAAATGTGGAAATAAAAATGTTCAGTCATAACATGATTAAAAGGTAAGGCACCAGGTGGGGGGTCGAAGTAAGTTCAAATCCAAAATAGAGACCACTGGGCTAGTAGACACTTCACATTAGAAGCATGGCTAGGTGTCTACTCCCTGAGAACCAAAATTCCACCAGATACAATGAACAAAGCTTTAGAGAGAGAAAACATTTGAACATTTTACGGGCAGAAAATGGCCCACATACTCTATAGACAATACAATTTCCTTCAAGGCAAACTAGAACTATAAGGCTTTTGGTCTAAGAAGTGAGTGTGTGCAAGGGATACCTTTGCATACTAGGGAGGGGTAGACAACCCACACATTTAGCTTGGTTATTAAATGTCATTACTCAGACTTGACAGTTGATGACCAAGGAAGTAAGACTTTCACTAGAAGGGCTGCCCAGGTTGGAAAGCTGAGAGCAATCAGGGCCACCTCTTACAAGCAAATAAAGGTCTGTAGTAACTTAATTACAATCTCAGTCTCTAAGCCTTCAGGGTTGTGAAGCAGAAAGGCAACTCTGTTCAGGGACTCGTTAAACACCAGGTTTCCTTTGGGCACAGGCTATGACATTTGTGCCACTGTAGAACTGAATAGGAAATACAAGCAGTGCCATTCAACAGCATGACCACTTCCAAGGCTCACAGCAAAGCAGCTGATTATTGTATAAGAATCATATTTGGCCAATATGTCAGTGCCAGAAATGAGAGCTGGAACTGAATTCTCGATTCGAGAAACATAATCTAATAAATTCTTCAGCAGAGTTTATTTATTCAGAGAGAAAACAATCACAACAATAGCATATTTTGTCTGCTTACCTTGTAAGTATAGTTCTGAGTTTTTACACTTGTCATCTCATTTTTTCTTACAATATCCGCAATAAGGTTGATTGGATTACTAACCCCAGTTTGCAGATAAAGATTGCAGCTTAGAGATATTAAATATCTTCAAATCTCTCTGGCCATAAGACCTAAAACTGCATACAAAAATCTAAGAGACAGAGTTAGGACTCAAATCCATGTGTCCAGGGCTTATAATCACTATTCTGTACGATAGGCATGCAATTAAAGAAGACCTGCCTCAAACATTTTCTGTGTGACCTGAGGCAAGTCCTTTTATAGCTATAAACTAGGGACAATATTTGCTGTCATTTTTTCTACAAATGTCACAAAGAACAAATTTGAGCCTGTCGCTGTGAAAGAACTTAGCAAATGAAAGCATCCTAGGGAGTGTTTTAGATATCGATATTTTTATCCAATTAACTTTTCAAAATGAGTTTATTTGCTCACTGAAACTGAAGTACTTCAACGACGATTAAGGAAGTTTTACCTAGAACCACAATCAACAGTTTCTGGAATGCATCTGACAAAGCCTTCTCAATAGCAATCTGGGCTATCTTCCCTTTCATAGGAATGACAACGGTCTTAAATCCAACCCAAACTAATGGATTTAAGATGCCTATCTGAGTGATCATTGCTACATGTTGGTTAAAAAATAAAAATGCATCCACGAATCTTAGCTCATAATCTTCGTGATTAAAGGCAGACAGCACAAGGGTATGGTTGAACGTCTCTGTTATAGGTACATCCTGGCAGGGCCCATTTTTACTGCCTCCATCTAGTTGGGAAGTTCCTAAAGTACTAGAGGGAGACACAAGCCAAGAACCTGGCACATATCTCACATCACCCAGAGATTTAATTCATCAGTTAAGGCTACACTCCTATGGACCCCACCCTCCTATGCATCAAGGGCTGGAATCACTCACTGAAAAAAAGCTTTGTTGGCTGGACACGGTGGCCCATGCCTGTAATCCCAGCACTTTAGGATGCCAAGGCGGGTTGAGGCCAGGAGTTCAAGAACAGCCTAGCCAACGTGGTGAAACCCCATCTCTCCTAAAAATACAAAAATTAGCCGAGTGTGGTGGCACACACCTGTAATCCCAGCTACCTGGGAGTCTGAGGCACAAGAATAGCTTGAACCGGGAGGCGGAGGTTGCAGTGAGCCGAGATCATTCCACTGCACTCCAGCCTGGGTGACAGAGTAAGACTATTTTCAAAAAGAGGCCAGGCACAGTGGCTCATATCTGTAATCCCAGTACTTTGAGAGGCCAAGATGGGCAGATCACTTGAGGTCAGGAGTTTGAGACCAGCCTGAGCAACATGATGAAACCCTGTCTCTACTAAAAAATTTTTTAAAAATTAAAAATTGGCTGAGTGTGGTGGTGGGCAGGAGGGAGGTGAACTGCTTGAACCTGGGAGGTGGAGGTTGCAGTGAGCCGAGATCACACCGGTGCACTCCAGCCTGGGCGACAGAGCAAGACTCTGTCTCAAAAAAACAAAAAAGGTTTGGTACAGATAATCTGGCTCCTCCCTGGGCATCATCCATGAAAGCCTACTCCCCTCCATTAGCCTACAGCCCTGCCTCTGACTTCAAACCCTAAGCCTGAGGGCCATGAATACTAGAAAAAAATCTCAACGTCAGTTATCAATTGAGTACCCTTTCTAGTATCTCTAGTAGACTCTTGTTCCACTGAAGCCCTTCTACGAGTAAAAAAAAGGCTGAATGGGCCGGGCGCGGTTGCTCATGCCTGTAATCCTAGCACTTTCAGAGGCCAAGGCAGATGGATCACGAGGTCAGGAGTTTGAGACCGGCCTGACCAACACAATGAAACCCCATCTCTACTAAAAATACAAAGATTAGCCAGGCATGGTGGTGCATGCCTGTAATCCCAGCTACCCAGGAGTGTCAGGCAGGAGAATCACTTGAACCTGGGAGGTGGAGGTTGCAGTGAGCCGAGATCACACCACTGCACTCCAGCGTGCGCGACAGGGCAAGACTCTGCTTCAAAAAAAAAAAAAAGACAATGTTTACACAAAACTTTCTGTAAATCTTTACATGATGACTTGGCATGGTGGGTGGCTCATGCCTATAACTCCAGCACCTTGGGATCCTGGGGCAAGAGGATCACTTGAGGCCAGGAGTTTGAGACCAGGCAGGACAACACAGCAAGACCCCATCTCCAGAAAAAATAATTAGCCACATGTGGTGGCGCACGCCTGTAGTCCTGGCTAGTCAGGAGGCTAAGGTGGGAGGATCCCTTGAGCCCAGCAGTTTGAGGTTGCAATGAGCTATGAGCATGCTACTGCACTCTAGCCTGGGCAACAGAGCAAGACCCTGTCTCTAAAAAATAATAATAAATAGATAAACAAATCTTTAGATAATTTTGTTGGGATAACTGAAGGCTATAAGAGATACATATTTGAAGGACTATTTTAGACGAGATTGGGCGCGTTCAGGGTGGTATGGCTGTAGACTTGAAGGACTATTTTAATACAAAGCAAGTTCTTAACCGAAAACTGGAAAAACATTACTTCCTTCTTCCTCCTACGCTTCTTGGCAGGAAGTACACTGTACAATTTTAAATTTAAAGGTTCTGGCCGGGTGGGGTGGCTCACACTTGTAATCCCAGCACTTTGGGAGGCCAAGGCAGGCAGATCACGAGGTCAGGAGATCGAGACCATCCTGGCCAACATGGTGAAACCCCATCTCTACTAAAAATACAAAAATTAGCTGGGTGTGGTGGTGGGCGCCTGTAATCCCAGCTACTCAGGAGGCTGAGGCAGGAGAATGCCTTGAACCCGGGAGGCGGAGGTTGCAGTGAGCCGAGATCACGCCACTGCACTCCAGCCTGGTGACAGAGCAAGACTCTCTCTCAAAATTAGTTAATTAATAAATCAATTTATTAAATCAATTTATTAATTAATAAATCAATGTATTAAATCAATTTATTAATTAATAAATCAATGTATTAAATCAATTTATTAAAGCAATTTATTTACTTATTTAAAGGCTCTGTCAGGTATTGCCTAAGGTAAAAGTCTGTATTGTAAGACAGAAAACCTCTGCCCAGGACTTCAGTAGCTCAGAGAGGGAAAGGCTTGATATGTGTCTGAAAAGACAAGTTTTAGACAGCAAGAAAAAAGAGATCCTTCCCATTTCAACTCCTTACCCTCCTCTACCCCCAATGAAAACAGACCTTCCTTCGCCTTATCCACAGGCTCCTCCACCAAGCCAAGGCCAGACTCCTGCAATCATAGGATGGCAACACCACCTCTAAAGCACAGAACTTCAGGCTTTGCTTCGGAAGTGGCACCATGGTCTCTTCATTTTCCCTTTCTTCAAGGTCAGAAAACTGAAGCTGTTAGGAGTTTTAGTGTTAAGTTCCTTCCGAGGATGTTAATTAGGCTTCAAACTGTTTTGTTCTGAGAAATAAAAACTAAACTCCAGTCATTCAAGCTAACAGTTGAGGTGTTCTATGGCTTCAAAATCAAGTAAGATTTGTAAATGAATTGCTAGGTGCAACCATTACTTATTATATGCCACACAAACAGTGGAGAAAATTATGGACACCACCATCCAAGTGATTGAGATTATTAATTTTAGGTAGCAGGCCAATTCAGACATGTCCACTTATCCTCAATGGCAGGGGGCCTCTCACATCCCCTCCCTGTAACCCAGTTCAATACTTCTGTCTAAAGTCTAGAATTTCAATGTTGAAAGGAGAGCGTGGTCAGTGAGAGAAAATCCACAAAGTTTATCCTGATGATCCTTTCTGACCATCCATTGAAACCAAAGTAGTAATTCACCAGTTCTTGGCATCAGGAGCTGTTTCAGGCAAGGGCCTGATGTGCAACTGCCTTATGTCTGCTGCCAAGAGGAACCTAAAGTCACAAGAGACAGACCCACAAATATCACAGCCTGCCAGAGATTTTATTTTGGATACACCTGAGATTTATCAATACCAACTGTGCAAAGAAAAGAAATTGTTTCAGTCTTCCCATTCAGTAGCTCCTTCTTGAGAACATGACCTGAAGAATAGATAAGATGAACCCACCCATCCCCCACCCCAAGTTACCCCTGCTTAAAGAGGAAATACACATACCTCTATACATTTTACAAGCAACTAAAACAACTAGAGGTTCATCTGCATGTATAAGCTTCTTTGACAATGCAAATATCTACTGAGTGTTAATTCTTGAAATATTTTACACATTTCTGTGAATTTCTTACATCACCAGTTCTTTCTTATGTCTATTTCATTTTGTAAGTGTAGAATATGATTATATTCATGAAACTCAAATGATACAAATAGTCAAATTTATTGTATTAGAAATTAATAAGAATAGTAAAGTTAATTCTTTGTTGATTTGTTTATGCACCTTCCTCTGTCACTGGTTTATAAGCTCCATAAGTGCCAGAGGAAAACATATCTTATTCTTTTTTCATTCCCAGAACAAAGCACAGTTCTTGGCATACAATACAGGATAGATGGTCTGTTGATTGAGTGAATGAATAAAACAATGAGCAAGTAAAAAATGAAATTACTTTTTCCCACTGAAGAGAAAGAGAAACGCTTGTTGGGAAGGAGAAATGAAGACTATTTTTTTTTTTTTTTTTGAGACGGAGTCTCCCTCTGTCGCCCAGGCTGGAGTGCAGTGGCATGATCTCGGCTCACTGCAAGCTCCGCCTCCCGGGTTCACGCCATTCTCCTGCCTCAGCCTCCAGAGTAGCTGGGACTACAGGCGCCCCCCACCACTGCCGGCTAATTTTCTGTATTTTTAGTAGAGATGGGGTTTCACCGTGTTAGCCAGGATGGTCTCCATCTCCTGACATCGGGATCCACCCACCTCAGCCTCCCAAAGTGCTGGGATTACAGGCGTGAGCCACCACGCCTGGCAATGAAGACTAATTTTTAAACGTTGAGTGCTACCACGGAGACCAGCCTGTAACATGAGTCACAGTGGAGACTTTCGGAACATCTAGGAAACTTCAGAAGGGCTCTGAGCCCCTGGGTGGTACAGACAGTTGTCACCTTGGATAACATTGCCACAGTTCTTGCTGGTGACCATTTCCCTTCATTTCACTGAAACAAAAACAAAAACAAAAAACCCTCACAGGTGCCTTAGGCCTTTCCTTGATTTTAAAACATTATTCTCTTTTCTGTATTTATAAAAAGCAAAAAAGACAGCAACTAGGTGTATGTGCTAAAGTAGAAAAGAACACTTAAGGCCAGGAGCAGTGGCTCATGCCTGTAATCCCAGCACTTTGGGAGGCTGAGGTGGGCAGACTGCCTGAGGTCAGGAGTTCGAGACCAGCCTGACCAATATGGTGAAACCCTGTCTCTACTAAAAATACAAAAACTAGCAGGGCGTGGTGGTGGGTACCTATAATCCCAGCTACTTGGGAGGCTGAGACAGGAGAATCTGGGAGGCAGAGATTGCAGTGAGCAGAGACCGGGCCATTGCACTCTAGCCTGGGGAACAAGAGTGAAACTCCACCTCGAAAAAACAAAAAATAAAAGGACCCTTAAACTAGATAACAGTGGGGGTCAAGTAGTAACCCAAGGCTCTGAGTTCAGTAAGTAAATAAATCTAATATGAATGCCCTCTCCTCTCACTCATCTATTAACTTGTAGAACATTTCCTTCATTACTGCATCGGCGATGAGCTTTATGCTGTGAAATTCTCAAAATCTAAAGCTTATGAAGTGGTCTCAAGGTCCAAAGCGCACTAAAAACTCATTACTTACAAAATGATGCCAAGTAACTGTTTCATCATCTTTACCATACCTTTACCATATTTGAGTGGCTATGTGAAATGGTCACAGGTTAGAAACACATCATCGTCCAAAAGTTAAATAATATTTCACAGGTAATCATTTCAGTCACAGGAAGTGGAACCAGGATTGAAGAGGGTGTTGAATAAGCTACAAAAGTGGGTATAGTATACCTGGAGTCATTACTAAGCAGAGTTCTCAGATTTGATCAAGGTTAATTCAATGAGAAATGGAATATAGACAATAGGCAACAAGATTAGCAGGAAGCAGTCAGATCAAGTAGCCAATCAGGAATTGAAATCGGTCCTTGAAAATGGAAAGGTGATTGAATTGAGGCATACAATGAGATATCATTCTGTGGCTCTGGGAAAGTAAAATTGGTTGGCATGTTAACATGGAATAGGATTTCTACAAGGCCGCTTAAAGAATGTTTCCATCCTCTGAGAACTGAAGGGAGTTCCAAATAGGCAGTTTGTGACTGATGATGAGCATGTTGATGATAAAGTCTCCTTTATATAACAGCCGGCAGACGACTTGGTCACGCCCACACATTTTAAATTCACATAAAGGTAAATATATGGTCAGGCGTGGTGGCCCACACCTGTAGTCTCAGCACTTTGGGAGGCGAAGGCGGGTGGATCATTTGAGGTCAGGAGTTCAAGACCAGTCTGGCCAACATGGTGAAACTCTATCTCTACTAAAATACAAAAATTAGCCAGGCATGGTGGTGCATGCCTGTGGTCCCAGCTACTCAGGAGGCTGAGGCAGGAGAATCGCGTGAACCCGGGAGGCGGAGGTCGCAGTGAGCCAAGATCGCACCACTGCCCTCCAGCCTAGGCAACAGAGACTCCGTCTCAAAAACAAGTCAATATAGCTGGGCATGGTGGCTTGTACCTAGCTACTTAAGAGGCTGAGGCAGGAGGATTGCTTGAGGTCAGGATTTACAGACCAGCCTGGGCAACACAGGGATATTCTGTCTCTAAAAAAATTTTAAAAAGTACCACCACCATGCCCAGCTAATTTTTTTTGTATTTTTAGTAGAGACGGGGTCTCACCATGTTAGCCAGGCTGGTCTCAAACTCCTCACCTCAGGTGATCCACCCGCTTCAGCCTCCCAAAGTGCTGGGATTACAGGCATGAGCCACAGTGCCCGGCCCAGAACTTGCATTTCTAACAATTCCCAGGTTGTGCTGTTTGGGGAACCATACTTTGAGAAACACTTCCCTATAATCTGATAGGTTATTTCCCCTAAGATCCAGATGAGTAAAAATTAATACACATTAGATGAAATTCCAGAAGTTATCTTCAAACTTTGCTACTCATTGAATGTCATGAAGATATTGGAAAAAAAAGAAAAAAACAAAAAACAACCTTGCTACTCAACAAGGGATTTGCTATTATCACATTTCAGAGAAATTCAGAACCTCAGGCCTAAACCCAGGCCTACTAAATCAGGATCTGCAGTTTCTCACAATCTTCAGGTGATTTCTATGGTCATTAAAGTTTGAAAAGCTGCCTCGAAACAGTCCTTCCTAAAACTGAAGTGGAGGTGCCACAAAAATCATCTGGTAAATTGTTTAAAGTAATCCCAAATGCAACTCAAATCTACAGAATCCCAGGTGAAGCTCAGTAATCTGTATTTTTATCCTTCTCCCCAAATAATTCTGATGTGCAGGCAAGTTTGAAAACCACTGCTTTAAAGAAAATGGATACTCCCCTTACCAAGCAGAAAGTAGGATTTTGGAAACTGATGCAAGGGAAGCAAAAAAGATGCCTCAGGAGGCACGATTACAACAGGATTGATGCAAACGGAAGCTGAAGCTTAACCAAAGACATTAATATACGCCCACAAAAGAAAATGCTAAGGAAGTCAAGTGGTCTGCATGAATTCTGAAGAAAAATGGAGAACCAAAGAACAAAATTTGTCAATGAACTTCCAGCACAGTCTAGGTTAAGGGAGTGAATTTCTTGACTGAATGGCACAGACTCTGTACCACCTGATTGGCTGTTACCTTAATGGAGGAATTATATTACAATGTATAGGTACTTTAATTAGAATGACCTGGCAGTTACTGAGGCAAAATTTTCCGCTCCTTTGTATTCTGTAATACAAGAAGGATCTACATGGATGTTCTGTTCTCTGAACTGTCTGGATGAACCGGTCAACGGCACTCATCATACCTTAGTTTTTAAATCTGCATTGTGGTCATAATCTGTTATTTAATTAATTTCTCGTATTTTTAATAAAAACTTTGCCTATATATTTTAGACAGAAATTGCCTTACTTTGCTGAAATGCTGAGAAATCCTAGACAGTTTTCAAGGCTGGGCTCAAATGTCACCTCTACTACCCTTTGCTGTGCCTCCTGGCACTGTGCTTCTGACACTTTGTACGGTCCTCCATGACAGCGTGAGCACAATTAAATTACAGGCAATTACTCATGCCCCCCTGGCTCATCTGTTGACTCCTTTAGAGCACAGATCATGTTTTATTTATTGTAGCAACTAAAACAATTATTTGTTCAACCAATGACACCCATAAACAAAACTACCTGCTGAGGGCAGAGATGCAGGGGTAAAGTCATGCCAAGATTGAACCCCAGAAACCACTGTAGATTTTTCAGAGTTGACTCCTGCGTTTTCAGACTTCTAGACTTCAAAAAACAACTTCTATAAAATGTATGTTTCTAGAAGGAAGAAGAGTAACATTGTCCCCCCCCCCTTTTTTTTTTTTTTTTTTTTTTTTGAGCTGGAGTCTTGCTCTGTCGACCAGGCTGGAGTGCAGTGGTGCAATCTTGGCTCCCTGCAACCTCCACCTCCCAGGTTCAAGCCACTCGCCTGCCTCACTTCAAGTAGCTGGGATTACAGGAGCCCACCACCACACCCGGCTAATTTTTATATTTTTAGTAGAGACGGGGTCTCACCATGTTGGCCAGGCTGGTCTCAAATACCTGACCTCAAGTGATCCACCTGCCTAGGCCTCCCAAAGTGCTGGGATTACAGGCGTGAGCCACCATGCCTGGCCTATAGAGTGCTTTCTATTTGCCAGACATTGTGCTAAGCACTTTAAAATGCATTCTTTCATTTTATCCTCAGATCAGCTCCATAAAATAGCTACCATTATTACCTCTACATGTATATACATATATATGTATATATATGTAGATATATATACGTATATCTACATACATTGAAAGTCTCAGCAGTGTTTTAACTTTTGCTTTCAACCACTATACATATTTTAAAGAGCTTAAGAGGAGAAACAACCGTTTGCATTTTTAAATTTTCCCAGATACCATTTCTGCTGCTCTTTATCTCTGAAGTTCTAGTATTACCACTGGTATAATTTTCCTTTGGCCTAAAGACCTTCTTTTACTTTTATTTTAGAGCAGAACTTCCGCCAACACATTCTCTTAGATTTTCTTCATCCAAAATGTCTTTCTTCTTTTTCTTTTTGCCTTAATTGTTGAAGGGTATTTTTGCTGGATATAGAATTCTGGATTGACATTTCTCTCAGTACTTTAACGATGTTCTGTAGTTACTTGAATCGCTGAAAGGCTTAAAGTTGGGGACCAGCTCTATCACCTATACATTTTATAGAAAGGTTCATTACTTTCATATCTTCATTGTGGACCATAGCCTTTATCATCACAAAATTTGGTCTCATTTATGAGTTTTTAAATTTTGCTTTGAACCTAAACTTTTATAACTCCTTTCTATTTCCTACAATGTGGAGTTTATGGCGGACAGCACAGGCAGTTGGAAATATATATCTGGAGTTTAGAAAAGAGGTCTAGGTAGGAAAATGGATCTAGAAGTCATTGATATTTTGGCCGGGCGCGGTGGCTCATGCCTGTAATCCCAGCACTTTGGGAGGTTGAGGCAGGCTGATCACAAGGTCAAGAGATTGAAACCATCCTGGCCAACATGGTGAAACCCCGTCTCTACTAAAAATACAAAAATTAGCTGGGTGTGTTGGCACACACCTGTATTCCCAGCTACTCGGGAGGCTGAGGGAGGAGAATCACTTGGACTCAGGAGGCAGAGGTTGCACTGAGCCAAGATCGTGCCACTGCACTCCAGCCTGGTGACAGAGTGAGACTCTGTCTCAAAAAAGTCATTGATATTTTGGTGGTAATTGAGTCAACTGATAATTAGGGGAAAGTTGGGGAAACTAAATGCTGAGGACTATCACATGTAAGAGGGATGTTTGAAGGAGGAATAACTGGTCAAGGAAATCAGGTCATAAGTGGCAACAGGAAATTTAAGAAGGATGTAGTAGCCAAAGGTATCATACATGCATTGTATAGTATGTAGATATATATCTTTCAATGTATGTAGATATACATCTACATACATACACAATGTATGCATGTAGATATAATATACACTGAAAGTATAGATACATATCTACATACATTGAAAGTGTATATAGATATATACACACATACACACACACATATATACAATTATAAGGGGGGGCTAGAATAAAGAAACCTATATGTTTGCAATACTTTTACATTTTATTTAGAGGTAAAATGCTAACTCTAAGTAGGTAGGTTAGGTATATATTTTGTAATTCCTACAGCAAAAACATAGCACAGATATAACCAAAAGCCAATTAATAAAACATAACACTAAAAAATATTCAGTTAATCCAAAAATAGGCAGAAAAAAGAAACAGAAGAAACCCCCCAAAAAAGAAATAACCAGAAAATAATAAAAAGGAAACCTAAATCCAATCATCATCAATCATATTAAATGTAAATGGTCCAAAACACATTAATTAAAAGACGCTGTCAGATTACATTTAAAAGAAAAACGAAAAAACAAGAAACCATTTGAAAATATAATGATATGGCCAAGTATGGTGGCTCACGCCTATAATCCCAGCGTTTTGGGAGGTTGAGGTGGGCAGGTGGCTTGAGCCCAGGAATTCAAGACCAGCCTGGGCAACATGGCAAAACCCCATCTCTATTTTTACAAATTAAAAAATAAATGAATATCATGATATCTAGATTAAAAGCAAAAGGGTAGAGAAAGATATGTCATTTTAACACTAGTCAAAAACAGTATTATACTACTAATATAAAACACTAATTTTATATTAATATTAAGTAATTTTTTTTTTTTCCCCCGAGATGGAGTCTTGCTCTGTTACCCAGGCTAGAGTGCAATGGCATGATCTTGGCTTACTGCAGCCTCTGCCTCCCGGCTTCAAGCAATTCTCTGGCCTCAGCCTCCCAAGTACTTGGGATTACAGGCAGCTGCCACCGTGCCTGGCTAATTTTTGTATTTTTAGTAGAGACGGGGTTTCACCATCTTAGCCAGGCTGGTCTCGAACTCCCGACCTCAGGTGATTCACCTGCCTCGGCCTTCCAAAGTGCTGGGTTTACAGGCATGAGCCACGGCACCTGGCCTGTTTTGGTTTTTTTTTTTTTTTTTTCTTTTGAGATGGAGTCTTGCTCTGCTTCCCAGGCTGGGGTGCAGTGGCGTGATCTCGGCTCACTGCAATATCCAACTCCCGGATTCAAGTGATTATCTTGCCTTAACCTTCTGAGTAGCTGGGACTACAGACGTGTGCCACCACACTAGGCTATTTTTCTCTTTTTAGTAGAGATGGGGTTTCGCCATGTTGTCCAGTCTGGACTCGAACTCCTGACCTCAGGTGATCCACCCGCCTCGGCCTCCCAAAGTGCTGGGATTACAGGCATGAGCCACCATGTCTGGCCAAATAATGGTTTTTAATATAATGATTATTACCAGAAATAAAGGTTATTTCAGAATGATAAAGGGGTCAAATAATCAAGAGGACAAAACTGTAAATGTTTCTGCATCTAATAACAGTGCCTCAAAATACAGGAAGCATAAACAGACAGAATTTTAAGGAGAAAGAGAACAAACCCATAACAATCATTGCAGACTTCAACACTCCTTTCTCAGTAATCACTAGAACAAGCAGACAGGAAATCAGCAAGGATAGGGAAGACCTTAACACGATCAACCAACTTGACCTAATTATTATTTATGAAACACTTTACCTAAAGGCAGCAGAACACATCTTTCCTATTACAAACTGAACATTGACCTAAACAAACAATGTTTCAGGCCATATACAAACCTCTACATTTTTTTTTAATTCATCATAACGAGTATGTTCCCTAACCATAATGGAATTAATTTAGAAACCAACAGCAAAGATGTCTGGGAAATCCCTAAATGTTTGAAAATTAAACAATACGTTTTAAAACAAATCATGGGTCAAAGAGTAAGTCATAGTAGAAATTTTACAATATTGTGAACCAAATGAAAATGAAAATAAAACATGTATCACAAATTCTAAGATATGTTTTTAAAAGTGCACAAAGGGGCTGGGCGCAGTGGCTCATGCCTGTAGTCCCATCACTTTGGGAGGCCAAGGCAGACGAATTACCTGAGGTCAGGAGTTCGAGACCAGCCTGGCCAACATGGTGAAACCTCATCTCTACTAAAAATACAAAAATTAGCTGGGCGTGGTGGTGGGTGCCTGTAATCCCAGCTACTTGGGAGGCTGAGGCACGAGAATAATTTCAACCTGGGAGGTGGAGGCTTCAGTGAGCCAAGATCGCACCACTGCACTCCAGCCTGGGCAACAGAGCAAGATTTTGTCTTTAAAAACAAAAACAAAAACAAAAAAACGCATAAAGGAGCACAGTGGTTTAGCCTGGAATCCCAGCACTTTGGGAGGCCAAGGCAGGAGGATTGCTTGAGCAAAAAAATTCAAGACCAGCCTGGGCAGTATAGTGAGAACTCATCTCTATTTAAAAAGAAAGAAAGAAAAATCAAAGAAAATGAGGTATACATGCACAAGAGGATATTATTCAGCCATTTAAAAAGTGAAGTCATCTATAAAGCTTAAGGTTTGGAAAATAAAATCTGCTTGCAGCAACATGGATAGAACTGGAGGACATTATGTTAAGTGAAATAGGCCAAGGGCAGAAAGACAAGTATCACATATTCTCATTCATATATGAGAGATTAAGAAGTTGATTTCATGGAGATAGGCATTAGAATGATGGTTACCGGGGGCTGGGAAGCAGGTAGGGATGAAGACAAGTTGATTCATGGGCATAAAAACTCAGCAAGATAGAAGGAATACGTTTCAGTTTTTATTTGCACAGTAGGGTGACTAGAGTCAACAATAACTTAGTGTATATTTTAAAATAGCTAGAACATTTGTTATCTTCCCAATACAAAAAAAAGGATAAACATCTGAGATGATGGATACCCTAATTAACCTGATTTGATCATTACACACTGTATCAATCTATCAAAATATTACATGTACCCTTATAAATATGTACACTCTACCTTAAGGAAACAGTGAAAAAAGAAGGTGTGGAACAACGACCACAACAAAATCAAAGAGGAAAATCTTTGTGAACTTGGGTTTGTCAGGCCAGGAATCAGCAAACCATGGCCAATCCACTACCTGTTTTTCTAATAATCGAAACAATATAATTGATAATTTGTAAATTATGTGAAATTCAAACTGCAGTGTTCATAAAGTTTTATTGGAAGAGCTATTATCGTTCATTTACATATTGTCTATGACTGCTTTCATTGCTACAATGGCAGAGCTGCAACAGGGACAGCAAGGCTGAAATATTTACTATCTGACCTTTTACAGAAAAAGTCTGGCAAGGTCTGGGTTAGGTAGAGCTGTTAGATGAACACCAAATGTGTAAAAGAAAAAATGTGGTAAATCAGACTTCATCAAAATTTAAAACTTATGCTCTGGGAAAAAGACACCGCTAAGACAATGAAACACAAGACACAGATGGGGAAAATGTATGAACATCACACAGCCTAACAAAGCACTTATATCCAAAATATATAAAGAACTCTTACTACCCAACAGTAAGAAATTGGCCAGGCATGGTGGCTCATGCCTGTAATCCCAGCACTTTGGGAGGCTAAAGTAGGCAGATTGCTTGAGCTCAGGAGTTCAAGACCAGCCTGGGCAACATAGCGAAACCCCATCTCTATTAAAAATACAAAAATTAGCCACACATGGTGGCATGCATCTGTGGTCCTAACTACTTCGGAGGCTGAGGTGGTGGGAGGATCACCTTGAACCTGGAGTCGAGGGGAATGACAGGCTGCAGTGAGCCAAGATCATGCCACTGCACTCCAGCGTGGGTGAAAGAACGAGACTCTGTCTAAAAAAATAAAAGAGGCCTGGCGTGGTGGCTCACGCCTGTAATCCCAGCACTTTGGGAGGCCGAGGCAGGAGGATCACAAGGTCAGGAGATCAAGACCATCCTGGCTAACATGGTGAAATCCCGTCTCTACTAAAAATACAAAAAATTAGCTGGGCGTGGTGGCGGGTGCCTGTAGTCCCAGCTACTTGGGAGGCTGAGGCAGGAGAATGGTGTGAACCCGGGAGGGGGAGCTTGCAGTGAGTCAAGATCGCGCCACTGCACTCCAGCCTGGCGACACAGCGAGACTCCGTCTCAAATAAATAAATAAATAAAATAAAATAAAAGAAGAATAACAATAAAGAAAGCAACCCAATTAAACATCTTAAATAAAGATTTTGGTATCTTGGCCAGGCATGGTGGCTCATGCCTGTAATCTCAGCACTTTGGGAGGCCGAGGCAGGCAGATCGCTTGAGCCCAGGATTCGAAATCAGTCTGGGCAACATATCAAAACCCCATCTCTATTAAAAAAAAAAAAAAAAAACTAGCCAGGTGTGGTGGTGCGCACTTGCAATCCCAGTTACTTGGGAGGCCGAGAGGTGGGAGGATGGCTTCAACCCAGAAGGTGGCGGATGCAGTGAGTGGTGACTGTGCCACTGCTCTCCAGCCTGGGCAACAGAGCAAGACTCTGTCTCAAAAAAAAAAAAAAGATTTTAGTATTTTTCCATAAACAATGATATACAGATGGCAAATCAAAAGATGCACATAAAAAGAGGCTCAGAACCATTAGTCATTAGGGACAAGGAAATTAAAACCAGAAGAAGCTACCACCATATACTTATTAAGGTGGCCAAAAAAAAAAAAAACTTGAGGCCGGGCGCAGTGGCTCACGTCTGTAATCCCAGCACTTTGGGAGGCCGAGGCGGGCGGATCACGAGGTCAGGATATCGAGACCATCCTCGCTAACATGGTGAAACCCCGTCTCTACTAAATATACAAAAAAATTAGCCGGGCGTGGTGGTAGGCGCCTGTAGTCCCAGCTACACGGGAGGCTGAGGCAGGAGAATGGCATGAACCTGGGAGGCGGAGCTTGCAGTGAGCCGAGATCGCGCCACTGCACTCCAGCCTGGGTGACAGAGCCAGACTCCATCTCAAAAACAAAACAAAACAAAAAAAAACCCTGAAAATATCAAGTGCTAGGGAGGATACAGAGCAACCGGAACTCTTCATACATTTGCAGGTAAGAATGCAAAATGGTACAGCTACTTTGGAAAACAGTTTTGGCAGTTTCTTATAAACATACAACCCAGAAATCATACTCCTAGGTATTTACTCAAGAGAAACAAGAATTGTGTTCAGACAAAAAACATTATGGAAATGTTTACGGCAGCTTTATTCATAGCTGCCACAAACTAGAAATAATTGAAATATTCAACTATTGAACAGATAAATGCACTGTGATACACTCATATAAAGGACTGCTACTCAGCAATAAAGAAACTACTGATACAACAACACAGATGAATCTTAAATACATTATGCACTGTACACGTATAAACTAAAAAATTAAAATACCTATTTAAAAGTCAAACAGGCCGGGCGCGATGGCTCACACCTGTAATCCCGGCACCATGGGAGGCCAAGGCCGGCGGATTACCTGAGGTCAGGAGTTCAAGACCAGCCTGGCCAACATGGTGAAACCCTGTCTCTACTGAAAATACCAAAAATTAGCCAGGCGTAGTGGCGGGCGCCTGTAATCCCAGCCACTCAGGAGGCTGAGACAGGAGAATCGCTTGAACCTGGGAAGCGGAGGTTGTGGTGAGCTGAGATCGCGCCACTGCACTCCACCCTGGGCAACAAGAGCGAAACTCTGTCTCAAAACTAAATAAATAAAGTCAAACAGTACATGAAAAAATAATATGATCAAGAGAGGTTCACTGCAAGAATGTAAGGGTGAATCAATATAAGATCTACTAATATAATTCTATGAATATACACTACTGTAATTAATATGTAGCATGCAGGAGGAAAACTATATGATCATCTTAAAAGATGCTAAGATGTCATTTAACAAAATATAATAGCCATATCTGATTTAAAAAAAAAAAAACTTAAACAGAAAAAAAATTGAAATAGGTGAATATACTCAACACATTAAAGGTCTCAAACCAGCAGTAAACCATTAAATATCTGCAACAGTTCCATTAAATTGGGATAGCATACTAAGATGCCTATCATTATAACTAACATTTGACATTGTTTTGGAGGAGGTGGTAGGGAATGCAATTTTTTTCTTTTTTCTTTATTACCCAGGTTCCCATCAATGGTAAAGGCAATGTAATTTGAAGAGAAAAAGGAGACATAAATATAAGAAAATCAGATGTGTACATGATTCATGTTTGCAGATGACACAACTTTATTCCTAGAATAAAGTTATTCCAATCAAAGCAAAAGCTACAAGAAACAATTAGAAAAAAGAATAGGTGGCTGAATTCAAAATTAATTTTTTAAATTAGTGAGTTTTCAACTAGAAGTCCCCTAGCAGAGCAGGTATTTTCATAGACAAATTAAAGATTAAATAAGATATCATGGCATAAGTGAAAATATTTAGCAAATAAATTATACTCGGGAGTCTGAGGCAGGAGAATCACTTGAACGCAGGAGGTGGATGTTGCAGCGAGCTGAGATCGTGCCATTGCACTCCAGCCTGGGCAACAGAGCAAGACTCCATCTCAAGAAAAAAAAATTACAAATATAGTTTGTAGTAACCATCCTCCAAATAGCCAGTCCCCAATGGCCCCCACTTTCTGGTATTCACATACCATGTAGTCTCCTCTACCCTGTAGCAGGGTTGGTCTGGGAGACTGATAGCCTATGGAAGAAGTGATAATATACACTTCCAAGATTAGGTTACAGAAAGACCGAACTCTTTTTTTAAAAAAAATTTTTTATTTCCATAGGATATTGGGGAACAGCTGGTGTTTGGTTACGTGAATAAGTTCTTTAGTGGTGATTTGTGAAATTTTTGTGCACCCATCACCCAAGCAATATAGACTGCACCCAATTAATAGTCTTTTATCCCTCACCCCCTTCCCTTCCTTTCCCCTTGATTCCCCAAAGTCCATTGTGTCATTCTTATGCCTTTGCATCCTCCTAGCTTAGCTCCCATTTATGAGTGAGAACGTACGATGTTTGGTTTTCCATTCCTGAGTTACTTCGCTGAGAATAATAGTCTCCATAGACAGGGCTGGGTGGCTCATGCCTGTAATCCCAGCACTATGCGAGGCCGAGGTGGGTGGATCACCTGAGGTCGGGAGTTTGAGACCAGCCTGACCAACAGGGAGAAACCCCGTCTCTACTAAAAATACAAAATTAGCCAGGCATGGTGGCGCATGCCTGTAATCCCAGCTACTTGGGAGGCTGAGGCAGGAGAGTCGCTTGAACCCGGGAGGCGGAGGTTGCGGTGAGCCAAGATCCCGCCATTGCACTCCAGCCTGGAGAACAAGAGTGAAACTACATCTCAAAAAAAAAAAAAAAAGAGAATAGAGAGCCATGCAGTCCAAGCGGGATTGTGAGCTGTGGTGTGAGAGGGTGAAGCCAGAGAACAAGGCGGCGCTGGAGGCGTGGGTCAGGCAGACAGGCATCGCCTGGTGCAGGTGAACGGGCAGAGGAAGTATGGCGGGCCACCCCCAGGCTGGGTGGGCAGCCCGCCGCCGGCTGGGTCAGAGGTGTTCATCGGGCGGCTGCCTCAGGAAGTGTATGAGCACCAGCTTATCCTGCTGTTCCAGCGCGTGGGCCGCCTCTACGAGTTCCGCCTGATGATGACCTTCAGCGGCCTGAACCGCGGCTTCGCATATGCCTGCTGCAGCTCGCGGCGCGGCGCGCAGGCCGCCATCGCCCGCTGCACAACCACCCGCTGCGGCCGTCCTGCCCGCTGCTCGTGTGCCGCAGCACCGGGAAGTGTGAGCTGAGCGTTGACTGCCTGCCGCCGAATCTGACCCGCACCGCGCTGCTGCCCGCGCTGCTGCCCGCGCTGCAGCCGCTGGGTCCCGGCCTGCAGGAGGCGCGGCTGCTGCCCAGCCCCGGACCGGCGCCCGGGCAGATCGCTGTGCTCAAATTCAGCTCGCACTGGACCGCTGCCATGGCCAAAAAGGCCCTGGAGGAAGGGCAGTCACACCTCTGTGGAGGGCAGGTGGCTGTGGAGTGGCTCAAGCCAGAACTGAAGCAGCGACTTCGCCAGCAGCTTATGGGTCCCTCCTTGCGGTCCCCACAGCCAGAGGGCAGCCAGTTGGCCTTGGCAAGGGACAAGTTAGGGTCCCAAGGGGCTCAGGCTACCCTGCAGTTGCTGTGCCAACGAATGAAGCTGGGCAGCCCTGTGTTCCTCACCAAGTGTTTGGGCATAGGACCTGCTGGCTGGCACCGCTTCTGGTACCAGGTGGTGATTCCTGGGCATCCGGTGCCCTTCAGCGGCCTCATCTGGGTTGTGCTGATCCTAGATGGCCGGGATGGGCATGAGGTGGCCAAGGATGCTGTGTCTGTACGGCTGCTGCAGGCACTCAGTGAGTCTGGGGCCAACCTCCTGTGGTCTGCTGGGACTGAGGCAGGTAGCATGGTTAAACAGTGACTCCATTCTCTCTCCACAGGCAGCCCGAATGGGCATGCAGAGCCTGTGTCAGGCCCCAACCCAGCAGACCTGGGTGGCCACTATCTGACCCCCAAAGGTGGGGAGGGGCATGGGCCCAGGCCCATCAGCCTCCCTGCTGGGACAGGAACCTATGGCACCTGGGGGCAGCTTAGGTTTGGCTTAAGTTGTGGTGAGGGGCCTTGCCCTCCCCCTCCCAGCCCAGGGTCCAACCTGACCCAGTTATCTTCCATGGCCATTCCTTGTCCCACCCCCACCCGATCATACCTTCCCCCCTCTGCCACAGCTTAGCATGAATCTTCTTTATTGTCCTGATTTGTCCTGTTTGTTGGTTTTTATTTGTGGGGAAGGGCAGCTGAGCCAAAGGGGTCAGAAATTCTGCCCTTTGCCTCCACCACATGGCATTCTGGTTTTAGTTTCTGTATAGTTTTGGGTCTTTCTATGCTGGTTGTATTTATATTAAACCCCTGGTTAGTAAAAGAAAAAAAAAAAAAAAAAAGCCGGGTGCGGTGGCTCACGCCTGTAATCCCAGCACTTTGGGAGGCTGAGGCGGGTGGATCACGAGGTCAGGAGATCGAGACCAACCTGGCTAACATGGTGAAACCCGGTCTCTACTAAAAATACAAAAAAAAAAAAAAAAATTAGCCAGGCATGGTGGCAGGCGCCTGTAGTCTCAGCTACTTGGGAGGCTGAGGCAGGAGAATGGTGTGAACCCAGGAGGCAGAGCTTGCAGTGAGCCAAGATTGCGCAACTGCACTCCAGCCTGGGTGACCGAGTGAGACTCTATCTCAAAAAAAAAAAAAAAAAAAAAAAAAAAAAAAAAACAAGAATAATAGTCTCCAATCCCGTCCAGGTTGCTGCAAATGCCATTAATTCATTCCTTTTTATGACTGAGTAGTATTCCACTGTATATCTATACCACAGTTTCTTTAGCCACTCATTGATTGATGGGCATTTGGGCTGGTTCCACATTTTTACAATTGTGAATAGTGCTACTATAAACATGTGTGTGCAAGAATCTTTTTTGGCCAGGAGCGGTGGCTCACGCCTGTAATCCCAGCACTTTGGGAGGCCAAGGTGGGCGGATCACAAGGTCAAGAGATCAAGACCATCCTGGCCAACATGGTGAAACCCCGTCTCTATTAAAAGTACAGAAATTAGCTGGGCATAGGGGCACACGCCTGTAATCCCAGCTACTTGGGAGGCTGAGGCAGGAGAATCACTTGAACCCGGGAGGCAGAGGTTGCAGTGAGCTGGGATCGTGCTGCTGCACTCCAGCCTGGCGACAGAGCGAGACTCCATCTCAAAAAAAAAAAAATCTTTTTCATATAATGACTTAGAAAGACTGAACTCTTACCTGGGCTGTGTGTGTTCTCTCTCTTTTTTAGTTCATTCACTCTAGCTATGTGGGGAGGACATTCAGGCAGTGTGTGGAGAAGTCCAGGTAGTAAGCCAATGAAGTCTTCAACCAATATTCAGTGAGGAACTACAGCCTGCCAACAACCAATGAGTGACCTTGAATGCATATTTTCTCCCGATTGAGTCTTCAGATAAGAGTGCAGCCCCAGGCCACTGCTTGACTGAAACATCCCAAGAGAACTGAGGAGAACCACCCAGCTAAGTCCCTCCCAGATTCCTGACCCACAGAAAGTGTGATATAATAAATGTTTTTTGTTTTAAGCTGCTAAATGTTGGGGATCATTTTTTTTTTTGACATGGGCCTCACTCTGTCGCCTAGGCTGGAGTGCAGTGGTATGATCATGGCTCATTGCAGCCTCAACCTCCAAGGCTCAAGGGATCCTCCCATCTCAGCCTCCCAAGTAGCTGGGATCACAGGTGTGTACCACCACACCTGACTTTGTTTTTTTTTTTTTTTAAAGTAGAAACAAAGTCTTGCTTTGTTGTCCAGGCTGGTCTGGAACTCCTGGGTTCAAGTAATCCTCCGTCTTCAGGCTCCCAAAGTGCTGGTATTACAGGCATGAGCCACCATGCCTGGCCCAATTGTTAAATCTTTTTTAAATTTTATTATTTTTTTCTTTTTTGTTCAAAGTGTTAATTTTTTTTTTTTTTTTTTTTTTTTTTTTTGAGATAGAGTCTAACTCTGTTGCCTGGGCTAGAGTGCAGTGGCACGATCTCGGCTCACTGCAACCTCCGCCTCCCAGGTTTAGTTCAAGCAATTCTCCTGCCTCAGCCTCCTGAGTAACTGGGATTACAATCACGTGCCACCACACCCAGCTAATTTTTTGTATTTTTAGTAGAGACAGGGTTTTGCCATGTTGGCCAGTCTGGTCTTGAACTCCTGACCTCAGGTGATCCACCCTCCTTGGCCTCCCAAAGTGCTGGGATTACAGGTGTGAGCCACCATGCCCAGCCTAGTGTTAAATCTTTATAACAACATAAGTACGAGGTTGAGACTTATTACCCTGTTTTACAGATGAGTAACTGAGGCACAGAAAGGTTGAGTTACTTGGCCAAGGTTATACAACTAATAATTACAGGATACCAAAACCGCTAGCTTCTGCCAGTGCTCTTAATATAAGGTTGAAAGAAAAAAGAAGAGAAAAGAGCCAATTAACATAAAACATAGCTGTTAGAAGCCTCCTTCTACAAATGGCCATGAAGTCTAAGTTGATAATCATAGCCGCCTTCTTCCACCACTTCTTCCAATCCCCTTTCGAAGGGTTCTGTGCCTCATAGGGACACTCAATACTTTATTCCATAAGACCTGACTTCTTGGTGGTCTTGTTTTTATTGGGTTGCTCTACTTTTCCATTAACCAGGTCTTAGGGTCAAGAGCCTGCTAAGATGTGTCCCCAGTGAATTTTTGGCTTTCAGACATAGCCTCCTTCCTCTACTAAGTAACAGAGCCATTTTCCTCTTGCTAATCATAGGTAAAGAGGCTAGTTCGGTGATGGTTTTAGTTAGCTCAGGCTGCTATTACATACTGGGTGGCTTAAACAACAGACATTGATTTCTCACAGTTCTGGAGGCTGGGAAGTCCCATATCAGGGTGATAGCATGATTGGGTGCTGGCAAGGGCTCTTTTCCTAGCTTGCAGATGGCTGCCTTCTTGCCATATCTTCACTTGGTGGACAAAGAGAAGAAAGGCTCTCTGGTCTCTTCTTTTTTTTTTTTCTTTTTGTTTTGAGACAGAGACTCTCAGATGCTCTCTCTGTCCAGGCTGGAGGCTGGAGTGCAATGACATGATCTGGGCTCACTGCAACCTCCACCTCCCGGGTTCAAGCGATTCTCCCACCTCAGCCTCCCAAGTAGCTGGGATTACAGACTTGCGCCACCACGCCCAGCTAATTTTTGTATTTTTAGTAGAGATGGCTTTTCACCGTATTGCCCAGGCTGGTCTCAAACGCCTGATCTCAAGTGATCCACCCACCTTGGCCTCCCAAAGTGCTGAGATTTCAGGGGTGAGCCACTAGCCAGACCACCTGGTCTTTTCTCCCAAAGTGCTGAGATTTCAGGGGTGAGCCACTAGCCAGACCACTTGGTCTTTTCTTTTAAGACACTCATCCCATCATGGGGCACTGTAAGCCTAATTACGTCCCAAAGACCCCACCTTCTAATACCATCACATGGAGGTGAGGGCTTCAACATAAGAATTTGGGGGCCGAGGCCGGGCGCGGTGGGTCACGCCTGTAATCCCAGCACTTTGGGAGGCCGAGGCGGGCAGATCACGAGGTCAGGAGATCGAGACCATCCTGGCTAACACAGTGAAACCCCGTGTCCACTAAAAATACAAAAAATTAGCCAGGCGTGGTGGCGGGCGCCTGTAGTCCCAGCTACTCGGGAGGCTGAGGCAGGAGAATGGCGTGAACCCGGGAAGCAGAGCTTGCAGTGAGCCAAGATCATGCCACTGCACTCCAGCCTGGGTGACAGAGCGAGACTCCGTCTCAAAAAAAAAAAAAAAAAAAAAAATTGGGGGGCTGGGCGCGGTGGCTCATGCCGGTAATCCCAGCACTTTGGGAGGCTGAAGTCAGCAGATCACCTGAGGTCGGGAGTTTGAGACCAGCCTGACCAACATGGAGAAACCCCATCTCTACTAAAAATACAAAATTAGCCGGGTGTGGTGGCGTATGCCTGTAATCCCAGCTAACTCGGGAGGCTGAGGCAGGAGAATCACTTGAACCTGGGAGGTGGAGGTTGCAGGGAGCAGAGATCGCGCCACTGCACTCTAGCCTGGGCAACAAGAGCAAAACTCCATCTCAAAAAAAAAAAAAAAGAATTTGGGGAGGAGGCAAACACTTAGCCCATAATAGTAGCCGCCTTCCATCCTTATTGATTCAGCAGCATGAGGAACTTTAAATGGCCAGCTTCGGCTGGGCAAGGTGGCTCATGCTTGTAATCCAAGCACATTGGGAGGCCGAGGAAGGAAGATCACTTGAGCCCAGGAGTTCCAGAGCACTCTTGGGCAGCATACTTGCCCATAGTGTAAAAATTAGCTGGGCAGGGCTGGGCTTGATGGCTCACACCTATAATCCCAGCACTTTGGGAGGCCGAGGTGGGTGGATCGCCTGAAGTCAGGAGTTTGAGACCAGCCTGGCCAACATGGTGAAACCCCACCTCTACTAAAAATACAAAAATTAGCTGGGTATAGTGGCGTGCGCCTATAATCCCAGCTACTTGGGAGGCTAAGGCAGGAGAATCGCTTGAACCCAGGAGGCAGAGGTTGCAGTGAGCTGAGATCACACCACTGCACTCCAGCCTGGGTGACAGAGACTCTGTCAGAAAACAAAACAAAACAAAAAAACAGGCGCGGTGGCTTATGTCTGCAATCCCAGCGCTTTGGGAGGCTGAGGCAGGCGGATCACAAGGTCAGGAGTTGAGACCAGCCTGGCCAACATGGTGAAACCCCGCCTCTACTAAAAAAAAAAATTGCCAGGCGCGGTGGCACATGCCTGTAATCCCAGCTACTCCGGAGGCTGAGACAGGAGAATCGCTTCGACCCAGGAGGTGGAGGTTGCAGTGAGCCAAGACCGCGCCACTGCACTCTAGCCTGGGCAACAAAATGAGACTGCGTCTCAAAAAAAAAAAAAAGAAAGAAAAGAAAAAAATTAGCTGGGCAAGGTGGCATGCGACTGTAGTACCAGCTACTCAGGAGGCTAAGGTAGGAGGATCTCTTGAGCCTGGGAGCCTGGGAAACAAGAGTGAGATTCTGTCTCAAAATAAATAAATAAATAAATAGATAGATAAATAAATAAATAAATACAATAAATGGCCAGCCTCGGCTTCCAGTTGAATAAAACCATAATAGTATTTCCTGATCTACACATTTCTTCCTTTGGCACTAGGACCTCTGGACCCACTGAGTCCCGGGTCCCTGGCAAGGAAAGCAAAAATTCTTCATGTGAATTATTAGGGGCCACAGTGGGAGGAGCCACTCCCATCTCCTCTCCTAGGTTCCTGGACTCATTCTAGCATGGTCTAAGTCTAGGAACGGCAGTGCTAGCAGAAGTCCCGCAGGCAAGGGAGGCAAATCCACACCCAGAACACGGGTCTGTCGTTGTGAGGATGAGGCACTGTCCTTACACCCCAGTCTGGTCCTACAAAAAAGGATGACCTCTCAGGGTGCGACCTTCACCTTGGAGCAGCGCCCTCTGCTGGCCGCCTCTAAGGCCTGTGGCCACTTGCATCCCCCTTCTAATCTTTCCCTACCTCTGTTGGTTCAAATCATCTCTCAGTTTATTAATCCTTGGAAAGAATTACATAGCAGTTATTCACAGCTTGTAAATTACAATAGAAAGGTTCCTTTCAAATGGTAAAGTTTCACTAAAGAGGAAATTGGGTTTATAAGAAAATGGAGGCAAAGAACTTAAGTTTTAAGAAAAAGCACTTCAAAACAGAAGGGCAAATGGAAAAGGGGGATATAAAACAAACCAATAAAAATACCATCTGAGGGTGTTACTGTCCAAAATTAAGGAATAAGATGCATCACTAAGCCCTTTGCACTCGTGTTGACCTCGTAAGTAAAAATTATTACTTAGAATAATAATAAGTGGTGCACACTACATTCCCTGTCCCTCTTCTAGACTTTTTTTTTTGTAGAAGAATCAGAAAACAATTTACTAACCTCCCTGTTTGATATTAAAAACTCAATAGGAAGGTTTTTAATATTTTCTGTCAGTACAAGTTGAACTTGATTGTGTCAACTGAAACCCTAGAGGTTTGTGTATCAGTAGAATGCAAGAACATTGTTAAAGTTGCTTACAATCTTTTTTGTTTTCCTTTCCGTTCCATTGTATCAATTTTTTGAGTAACTTTCAAATGGCTAGAAAATGGTCTTTTTGCTTTGCCCTTTTATAGCTGAAATAACCAGCTCCATTCTTTTCATGAGTAGTAAGTTGATATATTTATTTATCAGGTATCTTTCAGTTGTCACTAAATACTGTACTTTTCTTGTGTTGTATGGAAATTATAGTTCAATTATTCTAATGTGATGGAGTGCAACAAGTCATTGTAGAACTTTTCACCTGTTAATGTTGAAGTTATACCTCTGAACTTCTGCTGTGGATATCAAGGAAATAATAAAGCGAAAACCCTAAGACATTTGAAAAAAAAAAACCCAGCCTGGGAAACATGATGAAAACCCATCTCTACAAAAAATACAAAAATTAGCCGGGCATGGTGGCACACGCCTGTATTTCCAGCTACTTGGGAGGCTGAGGCGGGAGAATCACTTAAGCCCAGGAAGTGGAGGTTGCGGTGAACTGAGATTATGCCACTGCACTCCAACGTGGGTGACAGAGCAAGATCCTGTCTGAAAAAAAAAAATCAATGAATCAAAGAATGGTGAACCTAGTAAATACCTGATACTTTATTTATTTGGCTCAATGAAAATAAAAAAGAGAATTTTATGCAAAAATTTCAGGCAACTGAATTTTGCCAAATGATTCCATTTACTAAGGATTCCATCTTTGGTTCTAATGTAGTATATATTCCCTGTGGAGGAAATGGATTTCTCCAAATAACTGGATCCATAGTCATGTAATGCTAGTGGGGACAATCACCCCAGCTTAGATACCATCAAATGAATTCCAACATATGTGGGCTCTCCCATTATTTGTCTTCTCACCTGCCAGCCTGCCTCTCTTGGCAATGCTAGGATTCCAGAATCAGGCCCTAAGCTCAGCAAGGGCCTCCATGAGGGCCATATTACACCCTAAGACTCCCAGATGTCTATTTGGAACCACCTTTGACTTACTCCCTTATTTTGCCCTTGAAACTGCATGGGGACAAAGAAGAAATCATAAAAACAGGGATAATGGATATGGCCCTAAGTATTTTAATGTGGCCTATCAATAGTGTCGTCATACCATCCCTGTTTACCAAGCCTTTATGGCAATTTCTTCACCTTGATACTGTTGACATTTTTGGCTGGTCATCATTTTTTTATGGGGGAACTGTCCTGTGTGTTTTAAGACGTTAAGCAGGCCGGGTGAGGTGGCTCACACCTGTAATCCCAGCACTTTGGGAGGCTGAGGCGGGCTGATCACCTAAGGTTGGGAGTTTGAGACCAGCCTGACCAACATGGAGAAACCCCATCTCTACTAAAAATACAAAATTAGCCAGGCGTGATGGTGCATGCCCATAATCCCAGCTACTCGGGAGGCTGAGGCAGGAGAATCGCTTGAACCCGGGAGACAGAGGTTGCAGTGAGGCGAGATCGTGCCATTTCACTCCAGCCCGGGCAACAAGAGCAAAACTGTGTCTCAAAAAAAAAAAAAAAAAAGATGTTAAGCAGCGTCCTTGACCTCTGCCCAGATATTGCCAAATGTCACTTGGGGAGCAAAATTGGCCCAGTTGAGAACCACGGGACTAAGGTAAGCAGAATTATCAGGATAAAACAGACAATTCACCTCTATCATACCAGAGTTTTTTGTTTGTTTTTTGAGACAGGGTCTTGCTCTGTCACCCAGGCAGGAGTGTGGTAGTGTGATCATAGCTCACTGCAGCCTCAAACTCCTGGGCTCTCAGGAGGCTGAGAAGCAGTGAGTCACAATTGTGCCACTACAATCCAGCCTTGGCAACAGAGGGAGAACCTTTCTCAAACAAACAAGAGGAAGAAGAGGAAGAGGAAGAGGAAGAGAAGGAAGAGGAAGAGGAGAAAGGGGAAGGGAAGAGAAGGACAAGGAGAAGGAGAAGAAGAAGACTCTGGGGCTCAAGCCATCCTCCTGCCTGAGCCTCCCAAAGTACTGGGATTACAGGTGTGAGTCACCGAGCGTATTAGTCAGGGTTCTCTAGAGGGACAGAATTAATGGAATATATACAGGAGTTTATTAAGTATTAACTCACAGGATCACAAGGTCCCACAATAGGCCGTCTGCAGGCTGAGGAGCAAGGAGAGCCAGTCTGAGTTCCAAAACTGAAGAACTTGGAGTCCCATGTTGGAGGGTAAGAAGCATCCAGCACGGGAGGAAGATGTTGGCTGGGAGGCTAAGCCAGTCTCTCACATTTTTCTGCCTGCTTATATTCTAGCCTTGCTGGCAGCTGATTAGCTTGTGCCCACCCAGATTAAGGGTGGGTCTGCCTTTCTCAGCCCGCTGACTCAAATGTTAATCTCCTTTGGGAACACCCTCACGGACACACCCAAGATCAATATTTTGTATCCTTCAATCCAATCAAGTTGACACTCAGTATTAACCATCACACTGAGCCTGGCCAAAGCTGGACTACTTGTAAGCTTTTGTCTGGAACCTGATTTGGGAGCCAGTGGCCCGAGGACGATGAAAACTATCAGAGGTGGCTGGGCACAGTGGTTCATGCCTATAATCCCAGCACTTTGGGAGGCGGAGGTGGATGGATCACTTGAGGTCAGGAGTTTGAGACCAACCTGGCCAACATGGCAAAACCAGTCTTTACTAAATATACAAAAACTGGCCAGGCATGGTGGCTCACGCCTCTAATCCCAGCACTTTGGGAGGCCGAGGCAAGTGGATCGCCTGGGGTCAGGAGTTTGAGACGAACATGTTGAAACCCCATCTCTATTAAAAATATAAAGAACTAGTCGGGCATGGTGGCAGGCTCCTGTAGTCCCAGTTACTCGGGAGGCTGAGGCAGGAGAATTGCTTGAACCCGGGAGGTGGAGGTTGCAGTGAGCCGAGATCATGCCACTGCACTCCAGCCTGGGCAACAGAGCGAGACTCCATCTCAAAAACAAACAATCAGAGGCGCTGACTGCAGTGACAGCCATCTGGCTCTGACAGTTCCTGTGCTTCCAGCTTCTTGCTATTTCAGGGGCTCTGGTCTTGATTCTTGAAGGTTCCCAAATCTGGTCCTACAGCTCCCCACCTCCTGTCTCTTTAGTGGTTTAGTGGGCGCCCCCTCCCCTGTATCTTTCTAGTGAGTTTTAATGTGCTTTGCTTAGGTAGGGCTGGTTTGTTTCCATTGTTGGCAACAAGAAGGAATTGGTCAAGGAGTCTAAGAAGTTGTCTGGAGAACCAAGAAAAAGATTTCCTGGAAGCATAGAAAGAGTGCGTTTCCGGAAGAAAGATTCATCAAGAATTTCAAACATCAGGGCCAAGTCAAGCAGGACAAGGACTAAAAGGTGCTCCTTAAATTTGCCTATGAAGAGGCCACTGCTGGGGAGGAGTGTGTCAGGCGGCAGTGGAGGGAGGACAGCAAGTGTGAAGGAGACTCTGCAACCTCCACCTCCCAGCTTCAAGCACTTCTTGTGCCTCAGCCTCCTGAGTAGCTGAGATTACAGGTGTGTGCCACCACACCTGGCTAATTTGTGTATTTTTAGTAGAGATGGGGTTTCCACACAACTGGAATACTACTGAGCAATAAAAAGGAGTGAACAGTTGTCCCTCGGTGTCTGCAGGGGATTGGTTCCAGGACCCCCTGCCGACACCAAAGTCCACAGATGCTGAAGTCTTTTCTATGAAATGACATAATGTTTGTATATAGCCTCAGGTATACTTTAAATACCTAATACAGTGTAAGTGGTATGTAAATAATTATACTGTATTTTAAATTTTCTACTGTTTTTATTGTCTTATAGTTATTTTATATATTTCATTTTTTTCAAGTATTCTCCATCCATGTTCAGTTGAATCCATGGATGAGGAACCTGCAGATATGGAGGGCCAGCTGCAGTGATGGGTGCAGCAACATGGATGGCAGCATAATTTCAAAAAATAATATGATAAGTGAGGCCAGGTGAGGTGGCTCACACGTGTAATCCTAGCACTTTGGGAAGCCAAGGCGGGCGGATCACTTGAGGTCAGGACTTCGAAACCAGCCTGGCCAACATGGTGAAACCTCGTCTCTACTAACAATACAAAAATTAGCCAGGCGTGGTGGCATGTGCCTGTAATCCCAGCTACTTAGGAGGCTGAGGCAGGAGAATCACTTGAACCTGGGAGGTGGAGGTTGCAGGGAGTCTAGGTCATGCCGCTGCACTGCAGCCTGGGCAACAGTGAGACTCCATCTCAAAAAAGAAAAAATTATGCTAAGTGAAAGAAGTCAAATACAAGAGGCTACATGCTATATGATTTCATTTATAAGATATTCTGGAAAAGGCAAAACTATAGGAAATCAGATTAGTAGCTAACGGGCTGACGGTGGGAGGAGGTGATTGACTACAAAGGGACACGAGGGACCTTTTTGAGGCGACAGAAATGCTTTATATTGGGAATGTGGTGGTGGTTATGTAACTATACATTTGTCAAAACTCATCAAATTGTACACTTAAAAAGGGTGAATGTTAGTATATGAAAATTATATCTCAATAAACCTGACAAGAAAATAATAAAACAAACCTAAAAACGCAACAGGGTGAAAATAAGTCTAAGAAAAAAATAACTTACAGTTTTTCCAGTTCAACGGTCATCATGAGAATGTTCTTAAGTGTTGTAAGTGGGACTTGCGTTGTTCCCACGTCTCTGAAGAAGAAAGCCGAAACATTCATGATATGAACCCCAGTAAAAAATTCTGTACTTAAAAAGATAATTCAAGGACATGTGATTACTTCAATTTTGGCTTCCCTATAAAACAAGCCAGTTCAACAGTTTATTTGCCGCAAAATTCCAGAGAGCTCTTATTAAAGAAATTAAAGTTGATTTGCATCATCAAATTAATGATATTCAAGAGTAGGTCTTACACTGTTTTATTTTTTTTTTTTACCATTATCTTACTTCTCATTTTCATATTGCATTCACCCATCTTGATTATTTACTCTTTTCTTCCTTTTTAGAATAATGAACACCTTTTCCCCTTTGCTTTCTTGGTTAAGTAATATTCCTCCATGTGTCTACATGTTCCAAATCTATATGGGTTCTTCAACACTGTTCTCTTTCCCCTGCTGGCTATCTTGACCATTACACATCCTTTCCTTTGCCAATAATGTTTTTCAATAACTCAGTTAAAATTTAAATTATGACATTTTAGCCTAAATGCAAAATACTTAATCTTTGATGAAAAATTTAAAAAGAGTATAAATCATCTCATGACTCCCAAGAGTACTATAGTACTTACAGATATTTTAATGCCAGTAATTTAAAGAGATACGGATCTTCAACAGTTGTCAGAGGATTGCGATTGAGAATTCTGAAAAATGCAATGGAATTAAAATAACCTGCATTTTCAATGTGTGAAACTGCATAAGAAGTTTACATTCATTTTTTGGTATGGAACTTGTGGGTAAAAAAAAAAGTCATTTTCTGTTTTTACCTAATAAATCAACATTAGACTCCGTAAAGCATTATTCCTTTGGGAACTACCTAGATCTCTAGGAGATAAAGTAGAGGAGAGAAAGAGGGGGAAAAACAGGGAAAAAAAAGTGGATAGCAAAGAAACAATATGCCACAGAACTTTTCAGGTCGAAAACCCTAGAAGTGACTATGTTGGTAGGAAGCCCTGATTCTGTAGGAAACACTATTTCTAGTGTCCTCCATAATTCAAGTTGCTCATCTTTTTGTTTTGTTTTGTTTTGTTTTGAGACAGAGTCTTGCTCTGTAGCCCAGGCTGGAGAGCAATGGCTCCATCTCATCTCACTGCAAACTCCGCCTCCCAGGTTCAAGCGATTCTCCTGCCTCAGCCTCCTGAGTAGCTGGGATTACAGGTGCCTGCCACCACAACTAGCTAATTTTTGTATTTTTAGTAGAGACAGGGTTTCACGATGTTGGCCAGGCTGGTCTCGAACTCCTGACCTCAGGTTATCCACCTGCCTCGGCCTCCCAAAGTGTTGGGATTATAGGTGTGAGCCACTGAATCTGACCGCTTGCCTTTTATCTTTATAAAGTTATTAAAATTTATGGTTTAATTTGCAAAGTTAAGAAAAAAAAACAGGACCAATTCTTTTGCTTTATAGCCAAAGAAAAAGGGATAAATCTAAGAGGAGGAACTGGTCAAAACCATACTCCCATCACATACTCCCACTTGTCTTCTTGTATGACATCATAGCCTTTGTTACATTGCATGTAATCACCTGTCTACTTGTCAGTCTCCTGGACTATCAGCTCCCTGAGGGCAGAGACCACATCTTATTGTCATTGTCATCCCTGTGCCTGGCATGATGTCTGAAATTTACCAGACATTTAATAAATGTTTATTGAATAAACAAATGACATTTTATTTGTATGTCAATAAAATGAATAAATTCTTTTTGATGCAAATTTTTATTCCAAAATGCTGGAATCAATTTTCTTTTTAATTCTTTAAAGTGAACAAGGAAAAGAAAAGAAACAGGAAGAAATAAAAGAAAATCTGCCTTTAGGTTAACCCAAGAATCATCACCATACTTTTGCAGAAATTATAAAAATAATAATTATTACAGTGAGTATCTATTGGGCTGCTAGGTATTTGTGATCAGCATTTCACATTTAATCCTCACAATGCCTTATGGGCTAGATATTATTATTGCCCTATTTTATAAATGAGGAAACTGAGGCACAGAGAGGTTACATAACATCCTACATCACCAAGCTATTAAGAAGCAAAGCTGTAATTTGAAGTCATGTGTTTTAATCTGTATGAAGAAAAAGGGTTTACTTTAACCTTATGGTTTTTTAATTTTTATTTTATTTCTCTTTCTTTCTTTTTCTTTCCTTCTTTCTTTCTATTTCCCTCCCTCCCTTCTTTCCCTTTCTTCCTCCCTTCCCTCCCTCCCTCTCTTCCTTCCTTCCTGCCTCCCTCCCTCCCTCCCTCCCTTTTCTTTTTTTTTTTTTTTTTTTGACAGGAAATGGCACTTTAATAGTTGGGGCCAGGGTGACAGGACCAAGATGGGGCTAGCCTGTGTCAGTCAGGAAGCCTCCCTCTCCTGCTGAGATAGGGCCTTGCGGCAGCTCCTCCTCCCCGCTGAGGTCCTAGGCCTGCCACAGGCTAGCATGCCAGTGAGGTCGGTGGCAGGAGCCACCCAGAAGCCCCGCAGATGACAGAGCTGAGAACAGGGACTTCACTTCCACGTGTTGCCATTTCCTCACTGGAAAGTCCTTGGGAGGTGGCTGGGCTCAGCCTGAGCTCAGGGCTCTTCGGTGGGTGTTGGGACAGGGGCAGGGCGGGCACTTGCAGGTAGCACAGGCTTCATCAAGGCAGGACATGGGCTTCATCAAGGCAGGAGCCAGAGCACCCGAGCCCTGGCAGGGGAGGTATGGCCCAGGATGGGGCAGGGCCGTGTGCTCCTGGAACGGACATCCTTCTCTGCCAGAGACCTGCTCCCCAAGCCCTGTCCCTCCCAATCCCCAGGCAGCCCACTCTGCCCTCCATAGATGAATCTAATCCCATATATTACAATAAACTGCATTTGCCTGTCCCCATTGCCCCACCCTCCCCTACCCTGAGCCAGCGGCCCCCACTTCCTCATCCCCTGGCGGTGGCAGGTGCCCCTCCTCAAGCAGTGCCACATCCTGTCAGCAGCCAGCTGTCCTGGCACTGGCCTGAGGGCCGGGGGACGCAGAGGGCGGGGCTGCGCGGCTACTCCAGGTAGATATCTTCTGTGGGGCAGGTGTACTCCACAAACTGCTTGTGAAACTGCTGGAATGCTCTCCCCACGGACTCTGCCAGGGCTTTGGTGGAGTCTTCAGACACAAAGACGTGGCAGGCAAACCGGTGGTCGGCGAGGTGCTTGGTGATGAACCCAAAGTACTTGTTGTTCTTTGGATGATATCCGCGGAAAGAGATGTTTTTTAACTGGAAAAAGTGGCTACATTTATTCCCCTTGGCCTCCTGGGAGTCATCGGCCTTGACACCTATCTTCACACCCCGCACGCTGATCTCCAGGACACAGCTGGAGGGCGGGTTAAAGTGCACGGTTAGCCGGCGGGTGGTGGCAATCTTTTGCATAGCGGCAGAGAGGACGACATCGCCCTTGTGATAGGGAACCTGGACTGAGCCCAGGAACTT
Organism: Homo sapiens; assembly: GCF_000001405.40. Classification (NCBI taxonomy): domain Eukaryota; kingdom Metazoa; phylum Chordata; class Mammalia; order Primates; family Hominidae; genus Homo; species Homo sapiens. Next base: position 1,460,974 of record NT_167251.2, on the reverse strand, counting down.
CACCCGGAACTGGTCCACCCAGTCACTGTTTTTAGCCAGGGCTGCCATGTGCTCGGGCTCCTTGGTGACTTCGATGGCGTAATAGGCAGTAAAGAAGCCCCGGGCACCAGTGCGCATGTTGTAGGCCTCGTACCAGTAGTCTTCAGCCTGGAGCTCCACTAGCAGAGGGTCATCCACTTCCAGCTCAGGTTCGTCTTCGTGTCGAGGCACAAACCTGAATATGGTCCGGTGGGTCTGCTCCTGCTCCTCCCGGTTGATGATGCAGGAGAACAGCCCGAAGGACTCGGCACTGGAGGAGCGGGAGCGGCCACTCATGAAGATGTTCAGGAACTTCTTGGAGAAATGGACGTCGGGTTCGTCAGGCGTGGAGTCCTTGGAGAGGCAGGCAGGAGGCTGGGGCCGGGAGGCCTCCTCATATTCCTCTCCGATGGCTGACTCATAGGGCGAGGAGACGGAGACACAGTTGTCGTAGACGATGGCCGAGTCACTCTCGTCACTGTAGTCTCCGAAGCACGGCCGCAGGCTCACCAGCTCCAGCTGCGCGTGCTCATCTACCAGCAGCGTGGGCTGTTGGTGGAGGTGCCTCGATCTGTGGTGGGGGCGGGGCTGCTCTGGGGGGGCAGCTCATCGCTCAGGCAAATGGGTTCATGCGGTGGTGTCTGCTCCCCTGTCTTCAGGGGTGAGGATGATCGAGACACCCGATCCTGCCAACTGTACTTTTTGCCCAGAGAATTATTATTCAGTGTGTCCTGAGACAACTGCACCTGCGGAAAGAGGTTGAGCGTGGTGGGCCGCTTGGGCCGGTACGTGTCCCCGCTGCCCGGGCCCTGGCTCTGGCCTTGGCTCTGGCCCTGGCCGCGGGACGCCGGCTCCTGGCCGGACTCGGCCTTGGGCGGCCCCGCTCCCGGCCGCCGGGCCGCGCGCTCCTCGTCGTCGTCCTCCTCGTCGTCCTCGGCCCCGGGAGTGTCCCCCGTCGCGTCGATCAGGTCCATCTGCAGCATCTCGGCCTGCAACCGGCTCCCCGCGCCGCCGCCACCCGCAGAGCCCTCCCTTTTCTTTTCTTTTTTCTTTTCTTTTCTTCTTTCTTTCTTTATTCTCTTCATGTCCCTTCCTCCCTCCTTCTTTCCCTTTCTTCCATCCTTCCCTCCCTCCTTCCTTCCTCCCTCCTTTTCTTCTTTCTTTTTTCTTTCTTTCTTTTTTCTTTCTTTCCTTCATTTCCCTCCCTCCCTCCTTCTTTCCCTTTCTTCGTTCCTTCCTCCCTCCTTTTCTTCTTTCTTTCTTTCCTTCCTTCTTCTTTCTTTTCTTCCTCTCCCTCCCTTTCCCTTCTTCCCTCCTTCTTTTCCTTCCTTCCCTCCCCTTCCTTCTTTCTCTCTCTTTTTCTCTCTCTTTTCTGTCTTTCTCTCTTTTCGCCTTCCTTCCTTTTTTCCTTCCTTCCCTCCCTCCCTCCTCTTTCTCTCTCTCGCAAAAAAAGAGTAAGCAGACATAATATCAATATATTCATTTACCTCAAGGACTGAGAATAATGAATTTAGTTCATGCAACTATGATTCTTCTTGTCATTTATTCAAGAAACTTTGAGATTCATTCCCATTATAGCTAAACACTCTTGACACTGGGAATATAAAGATAAATAACTCACAGTCCCCACCCTCAAAGGTTTATAATAGAGTAGGAGAAGGGAAACAGTAAACAAAAGTTTGAAGTGTGATATAGTGAAATATATATATTTGGTCTTTGACCTCATTTCCTCGTATACACTTAGAATCTCCAAAGTGATATCTTCTTGTATGCAAACAAATTGACTGGTAGCTTCAGGATGGGGGCTGGCAGCAAAAGACCAAAGCAGGATTAGAGGGTTGGGACTTTTCTTCCCCACCCCCCAACCTCCCAGGAGGTGAGAGGAGCTGAAGATTAAGTTCAGGGACAGAAAAAGCTGCCCTTGAAAATTCAAGGCCTTGAAAATGCAGAATTAAGTTTGAATATGAAAGGGAATAATAGACCCAGTGCTTTGGGAGGCTGAAGCAGGAGGATCCTTTGAAACCAGGAGTTCAAGACCAGCCTGGGCAAGGTAGGGATGCCCTGTCTCTACAAAAAAAATAGAAAAATTAGCTGGGCATGGTGGCATATGCCTTTAATCCCAGCTACTTGAGAGGCTAAGGTGGGAGAATCATCTGAGCCCAGGGAGGTTGACGCTGCAGTGAGCCATGATTGCACCATTGCACTCCAGCCTGGGTGACAGACCCAGCACTTTGGGAAGCCAAGGCGGGTAGAACGCAAGGTCAGGAGTTCAAGACCAGCCTGGCCAAGATGGTGAAACCCCATCTCTACTAAAAATACAAAAACTAGCCAGGCGTGGTGGCAGGCGCCTGTAATCCCAGCTACTTGGGAGGCTGAGGCAGAGAATTGCTTGAACCCGGGAGGCAGAGGTTGCAGTGAGCCAAGATCATGCTGCTGCACTCCAGCCTGGGTGACAGAGTGAGACTTCGTCTCAAAAAAAAAAAAAAAAAAGAATAGATTTCCTGTGACCAATTTCGATATTATTTATTTTTAGCCAAACTTATTGATCCAGAATGACCAGTTTAGATAAATCGTGGTCCTGGGATGGAACACAAAAAAGTGGAATTTTATTAGAAAAGGAGAAGGGGAATGGCTATTGAACATTGATGTTGTGTTCAATATAGTGAGGGTTTTTTATTTTGTTTTTTGAGACAGGGTCTCAGGGTCTTGCTCTGTCTCCCAGGCTGGAGTGCAGTGCAGTGGCATGATCATAACACTGTAGCCTTGAACTCTTCAGGCTCAAGTGACCTTCCCACCTCAGCCTCCTGAGTAGCCAGGACTACTGGCATGCACTGCCACACCTGGCTCATTTTTCAATTTTTTGTAGAGATGCGATCTCATTATGTTGACCCGGCTTGTCTCAAACTCCTGGGCTCAAGCAATCCTCCGACCTTAGCCTCCCAATGCACTGGGATTACAGGCACAAGCCACTACACCTGGCCTGAACTTTCTTATTCTAAGGATTTGCAGAGTTTCTGTTTAAGCCATTATCTTCAAATAATGGTTTTAATTTCTTTTTAATCTTTATGTAAAATACCTTATTTCTTTCTTTCTTTTTTTTTTTTTTTAGATGGAATTTCACTCTTGTTGCCCAGGCTGGAGTGCAATGGCACGATCTTGGCTCACCACAACCTCCACCTCCCAGGTTCAAGCGATTCTCCTGCCTCAGCCTTCCGAGTAGCTGGGATTACAGGTATGTGCCACCACGACCTGCTAATATTGTATTTTTAGTGGAGATGGGGTTTCTCCATGTTGGTCAGGCTGGTCGCAAACTCCCAACCTCAGGTGATCCGTTCATCTTGGCCTCCCAAAGTGCTGGGATTACAGGCATGAGCCATCGTGCCCAGCCCTATTATTCTTTTTTAAATTTTTTTTAAAATTGCGATGGGATTTTGCCATGTTACCTAGGCTGGTATCAAACTCCTGGGCTCAAGCAATCCTGCCACCTCTTTCTCCCGAAGTGTGGGATTACAGGTGTGAGCCAGCGTGCTCGGCTCTTTATTTTATTTTATTTTATTTTATTTTATTTTATTTTATTTTTTGAGAGAGAGTCTTGCTCTGTCACCCAGGCTGGAGTGCAGTGGTGTGATCTCGGCTCACTGCAACCTCCACCTCCCAGGTTCAAGTGATTCTCCTGCCTCCCTCTCAAATACCTGGCATTACAGGTGCCCACCACCACGCCTGGCGAATTTTTGTAGTTTTAGTAGAGATGTGGTTTCATCATGTTGACCAGGCTGGTCTTGAACTGCTGACCTCAAGTTATCTGCCCACCTTTGCCTCCCAACGTGCTGGGAGGGCGTGAGCCACGGTGCCCAGCCTTTTATTTTTTATTTTTATTTTTAATCTGTCTTGATTTTGCTTCCTTCCTAAACAGTTTTGGCTTCGTGATCACGTAAACCAAGAGTCACAAACTGAAATGCCATCAAGGGGCCAAGCAGGTAACAAAATTCAAGTCATACAGGTTCAATGTCTTAGTCACCCCAGGCTACAACAGAATATCATAGACTGGGTAGCCTAATAATACAGATCATTTTCTCATGGTTCTAGAGGCTAGAAAGTCCAAGATCGAGATTCCCAAAGGGTTAAGTTTCTGGTGTTGATGCAGGGCAGGTAAGCCACAAAACTGGGGCTTAGACTGAGAGGGTTCTTGGCTTCACCCAGGAAATAATTCAAGGGCAAACCGAAGGTGTTAGAGGCCAACTTTTTTTTTTTTCGGGACAGGGTCTCACTCTGTCACCCAGGCTGGAGTGCAGTGGCTCACTGCAGACTCTGCCTCCTGGGTTCAAGTAATTCTCCCGCCTCAACCTCCTGAGTAGCTGGGAGTGCAGGTGTGCGCCAAAACACCCAACTAATTTTTTTGTATTTTTAGTAGAGATGGGGTTTCACCATGTTGACCAGGCTGGTCTCAAACTCCTGGCCTCAAATGATCCACCCGCCTCAGCCTCCTAGAGTGCTGGGATTACAGGCATTACCCACTGCACCTGGCCTAGATGCCAACTTTTATTGAAGCAGTGGCCTATAGCAACAGCAGAGGGACTGCTCCTTGCAGAGCAGGGCTACCCTGTAGGTAGTGTGACCAGAGTAACAGCTCAGGGCAGTTCTGCAGTCATATTTACATTGACCTTTAATTACATGCAAATTAAGGGGCAGACTATACAGACGTTTCTAGAAAAAGGCTGATAACTTCTGGGTTGTCAAGTTGTTGCCATTGAAAGGGGTGGTAGGCTGAGCACAGTGGCTCATGCCTGTAATTCCAGCACTTTGGGAGGCCAAGGCAGGTGGATCATGAGGTCAAAAGTTCAAGACCAGCCTGGCCAAGATGGTGAAACACTGTCTCTACTAAAAATACGAAAATCAGTTTGGCGCGGTGGCAGGCGCCTGTAATCCCAGCTACTCGGGAGGCTAAGGCAGGAGAATCGCTTGAACCCGGGAGGTGGAGCTTGCAGTGAGCCAAGACTGTGCCACTGCACTCCAGCCTGGGCGACAGAGTGAGACTCCGTCTCAAAAAAAAGGCGGTGGGGTGGTAACTCTGGGTTCTGCCATGGAAATGGTAAGCTGACATGGCGCACTGGTGAGCGTGTCTTATGGAAAGCTGCTTTCACCCTGTCCCTGTTTCAGCTAGTCATCAATTTGGTCTGGTGTCCAAGCCCCATCTCTGGAGTCCAGTTCCACCTCCTACCTCAGCGTGGGCTTTATTACCTGGCTTGCCTTCTTGAAGTGGCCTCATGTGGCAGAGAGAAAGCTAGGGAGCTCTCTGGGTTCTCGTCTCATAAAGACACTAATTCTATTAGATCAGTGCCCACCTTTATGACCTCATTTGACCTTAATTACTTCCCATAAATCCTTTTTTTTTTTTTTTTTTTGAGACAGAGTCTTACTCTGTCACCCTGGCTGGAGTGCAGTGGCATGCTCTCGACTCACTGCAACCTCTGCCTCCCAGGTTCAAGCAATTCTCCTTCCTCAGCGTCCTGAGTAGCTAGGACTACAGGTGCGCACCACCATGCCTGGCTAATTTACGTTTATTTTTTTTTTTTGAGATGGAGTCTTGCTCTGTCGCCCAGGCTGGAGTGCAGTGGTGTGATCTCGGCTCACTGCAACCTCTGTCTCCCGGGTTCAAGCGATTCTCCTGCCTCAGCCTCCCAAGTAGCTGGGACTACAGGCGTCTGCCACGACACCTGGCTAATTTTCTTTTTTTTTTTTTGTATTTTTAGTAGAGATGGGTTTCACTGTGTTAGCCGGGATGGTCTTGATCTCCTGACCTCGTGATCTGCCCGCCTCGGCCTCCTAAAGTGGTGAGATTACAGGTGTGAGCCACTGCACCCCGCCAAGTTTTTATATTTTTAGTAGAGATGTTTTTAGTAGAGATGGGGGTTTCACCATATTGGCCAGGCTGGTCTTGAACACCTGACCTCAAATGATCCACCCGCCTTGGCCTCCCAAAGTGCTGTGATTATAGGCTTGAGCCATCGTATCCAGCCCCACAGGTAATACTTAATGATGAAAGACTAAGTTTTTCTCCTAAGATCAGGAAGAAGACAAGGATATTCACTCTTGCCACCTCTATTCAACATTATACTTAAATTTCTAGCCAGGAAATTAGCAAGAAAAAGAAATAAAAGCCACACAAATTAGAAAGGAAGAAATAAAACCAGATGTATTTGCATATGACATGATCTTGTATGTAGGAAATTCTAAGGAATCCACAAAACCGTCAGAACAAGTAAACAAATTCAGCAAAGTTGCAGGTGTAAGAGTGATATAAAAAAAATTGGCCTGGCGCAGTGGCTCATGCCTATAATCCCAGCACTTTGGGAGGCCTAGGTGAGCAGATCATGAGGTCAGGAGTTCGAGACTAACCTGACCAACATGGTGAAAACCCATCTCTACTAAAAATACAAAAATTAGCTGGGGGTTGCGGCACGCACCTGTAATCACAGCTGTTCGGGAGACTGAGGCAAGAGAATTGCTTGAACCCAGGAGGCAGAGGTTGCAGTGAGCCGAGATCACACCACTGCACTCCAGCCTGGGTAACAGAGCGAGACTGTCTCAAAAAAAAAAAAAAAAAAAAAAAAGTAAATAAATAAATAAATTGTATTTCTATACAGTAACAATTAGCAAGCTGAAAATGAAACTAAGAAAATTCATTTACAATATCGTTTACAAACACACACTTAGGAATAAATTTGACCAAAGTGCTAGACCTTGTTCTTATTTACTTATCTTTTGGTTCCTAAAGTATCCACACCAAACACAAAATAAAGCAAAATCTTTTTTTTTTTTTTTTTTTTTTTTTGAGGCGGAGTCTCACTCTTTTGCCCAGGCCGGACTGCAGTGGCGCTATCTTGGCTCACTGCAAGCTCTGCCACCCGGGTTCACACCATTCTCCTGCCTCAGCCTCCCGAGTAGCTGGGACTACAGGTGCCTGCCACCGCGCCTGGCTAATTTTTTGTATTTTTAGTAGAGACGGGGTTTCACCGTGTTAGCCAGGATGGTCTCGATCTCCTGACCTCGTGATCTGCCCGCCTCGGCCTCCCAAAGTGCTGGGATTACAGGCATGAGCCACTGTGCCCAGCCACAAAGTCTTAATAGTAATATATTAATTTTGCAAAGTTGGAGGATACAAGATCAACGTACAAAAATCAGTTGTTTATTTATTTATTTTTTAAGAGACAAGACCGCACTATGTTGCCGAGGCTAGAATGCAGTGATCACTTACAGGCACAATTATAATGCACTATAGCCTCAAACATGGCCACAAGCAATCCTCCTGACTCAGCCTCCCAAGTAGCTGGTACTACAGGTGGTGCACCACTACACCTGGCTCAGTTGAATTTCTATACACTAGAAATGAACAATCCAAAAATGAAATTAATAAAACAATTCCATTTGTAATGGCACCAAAAAAAAACTTAGGAATGAATTTAACCAAGGAAGTGCAAACTACAAAACATTATTGAAAGAAATTAAACTTAAATACATGAAAAGATATTGTGTGTTCATGGATTGAAACACTTACTACTCTTCACATAGCAATGCCTCCCAAATTGATCTACAGACTCAACACAATCTCTATCAAAATCCCAACTACCTTTTTTGCAAAAATGGACAAGCTGATTTTAAAATTCACATTAAATTGTAAGGAACTTCAAATAGACAAAACAATCTTGAAAAATAAGAACAAAATTGGAAGACTCACGCTTCTTGATTCAAAATCTAATTCAAAGTACCAGTAGTTGAGCCCCTGGGCACTGGCATAAGGACTGACATACAGATCAATGGAATAGAATTGAAAGTCCAGAAATGAGTGCTCACATTACGGTCAACTGATTTTTTTTCTTTTTTGAGACAGGGTCTCACTCTGTCACCCAGGCTGGAGTGCAGTGATCAAGGCTCACTGCAGCCTCCGTCTCCCGATCCCCCTGCCTCAGCCTCCTAAGTCACTGGGACCACAGGCATGTGCCACCACGCCCAGCTGATCTTTTTTTTTTTTGAGACAGAGTTTCATTCTTGTTGCCCAGGCCGGAGTGCAATGGCGCAATCTCGGCTCACCACAACCTCCGCCTTCTGGGTTCAAGCAATTCTTCTGCCTCAGCCTCCCTAGTAGCTGGGATTACAGGCATGAGTCACCACGCCAGACTAATTTTGTATTTTTAGCAGAAATGGGGTTTCTCCATGTTGGTCAGGCTGGTCTTGAACTTCTGACCTCAGGTGATCCACCTGCATTGGCCTCCCAAAGTGCTGGGATTACAGGCGTGAGCCACCATGTCTGGCCTGCCCAGCTAATCTTTTTAATAATTATTTTTAGAAATGGAGTGTGCCTATATTGCCCAGGCGGGTTTTGAACTTCTGGGCTCAAATGGTCTTCTTGCCTTGGCCTCCCAAAATACTGAGATTACAGGTGTGAACCATGGTGCCCAGCCAAGGTCAACTGATTTTTAACAAATATGCCAAGACAATTCAATGAGAGAAAGTGTAGAAAAAAAAGTCTTTTCAAACAATGGTCCTGGGACAACTGGATACCCACACACAATAGAATGAAGTTGAAACCTCACCTCATATTATCTATAAAAATTAACTCAAAATATAACAAAGCCTTTGTTTATAAAACATTTGTTAGACTGAAAAGTAGAAAACTCTTTTTTTGTTTTTAGATGGAGTCTTGCTCTGTTGCTCTGTTGCCAGGCTGGAGTGCAGTGGCATGATCTCAGCTCACTGCAACCTCCACCTCCTGGGTTCAAGCCATTCTCCTGCCTCAGCCTCTGGAGTAGCTGGGACTACAGGTGCGCGCCACCACGCCCAACTAATTTTTTTTTTTTTTTTTTTTTTTTGAGACCGAGTTTTGCTCTTGTTGCCCAGGCTGGAGTGCAATGGCACGATCTTGGCTCACCGCAACCTCTGCCTCCTGCGTTCAAGCGATTCTCCTGCCTCAGCTCCCAAGTAGCTGAGATTACAGGCATGCGCCACCATGCCCCGCTAATTTTTTTGTATTTTTAGTAGAGACGGGGTTTCTGCATGTTGATCAGGCTGGCCTCGAACTCCCGACCACAGGTGATCCACCCACCTTGGCCTCCCAAAGTGCTGGGATTACAGGCATGAGCAACCATGCCCGGCCCAGTTTTTATTTTTTTAATAGAGACAGTGTTTCACCATGTTGGCCTTAGAGGAAAACATAGACATACATCTTTATGACCTTTGGATTAGCAAGTTTTCTTAGATATGACACAAGTGTTTAACACAGAGCTCCCATATGACCCAGTAATTCCATTCCTAGGTATATATGCCAAGAGAAATGAAAACAGAAAAACTTAAAACACACACACATATGGCGAAACCCTATCTCTACTAAAAATACAAAAATTTTGCTGGTGTGGTGGCTCATGCATGTAATCCCAGCACTTTGGCGGGCTGAAGAAGGTGGATCATTTGAGGTCAGGAGTTTGAGATCAGCCTGGACAACATGGTGAAACCCCATCTCTACTAAAAATACAAAAATTAGCTGGGTGTGGTGGCACACGCTTGTAATCCCAGCTACTTGGGAGGCTGAGGCAGGAGAATCTCTTGAACCCAGGAGGTGGAGCTTGAAGTGAGCCGAGATCACACCACTGCACTCCGTCCTGGGCAACAGAGACTCTATCTCAAAAAAAAAAAAAAAAAAAAAAAAAAAGAAACAAAGAAAGAAAAATTAGCCGGGCATGGTGACAGGTGCCTGTAATCCCAGCTAGTTGGGAGATTGAGGTGGGAGGATCAGTTGAACCTGGGAAGCAGAGGTTGCAGCCAGCTGGGATTGTGCCACTGCACTCCAGCCTGGGCAACAGAGTGAGACTCCGTCTCAAATAATAAAAATAAAAATAGTACACACACACATATACACATACACCTCTTTATTTCTTCAGCGAGACCTGAAGATATATATCCATAACATAAGAACAGGATGCTATAAAAAATGAACAATAAGAAAGCAAGAAAAACTATCATAAATTAGAAATATGATAGCCAAGGCTGGGTGCAGTGGCTCACACCTGTAATCTCAGCACCTTGGGAGGCTGAGGCGTGTGGATCACTTGAGGCCAGGAGTTTGAGACCAACCTGGCCAATATGGTGAAACCCCGTCTCTACTGAAAATACAAAAATAAGCTGGGCATGGTGGACCATGCCTGCAATCCCAGCTACTCAGGAGGCTGAGGCAGGAGAATCACTTGAACCCAGGAGGCGGAGGTTGCAGTGAGCTGAGATCAAGCCACCGCATTCCAACCTGGGTGACAGAGTGAGAACCTGTCTCAAAAAAAAAAATAAATAAATAAAAGCCAAAATTAAAAATTCAATACAAAATTTGAAGGTTGAAGAAATCTCCTAGAATGTAGTATTTAAATTCTTTTTCTTTTGAGACAAGGTCTTGCTCTGTCTCCCAAGCTGCTGTGCCGTGGCGCCATTCTAGCTTACTGCAAGCCTCAAACTCCTGGCCTCAAGCAAGTCTCATATCTCAACCTCTCAAAGTGCTGGATTATAGGCATGAGCCACTGCAGCTGGCCAGAATGTAGAATTTAAAAGGTGTTGAAAAATATAAAAAATAAGAAAATTGGAGGATTGAGGCTGGTTGAAGGCAGAGGCAGGAGAATAGCTTGAGCCCAGGAGCTTGAGTATAGCCTGGGAAACACAGAAAGCCCATCTCTATATTTAAAAAAAAAAATTCTTTTTTTTTTTTTTTTTTTTTTTAAGAGAGAGTCTTGCTCTGTCACCCAGGCTGGAGTGCAGTGGTGCGATCTTGGCTCACTGCAACCTCCACCTTCCGGGCTCAAGCAATTCTTATGCCTCAGCCTCCCATGTAGCTGAGATTATAGGTGTGTGCCACCACACCCGGCTAATTTTTGTATTTTTAGTAGAGACAGGGTGGGAGAGTGTTGGGGGAGATGGGGCATGGCAGGGAGGGGATGGCGGGTTTTACCATGTTGGCCAGGCTGGTCTTGAGCTCCTGGCTTCAGGTGATCCTCCCACCTCAGCCTCTAAAAGTGGGATTACAGACGTAAGCCACCGCGCCCAGCATTTTTTTTTTTTTTTTTAGACAGTGTTGCTGTGTTGCCCAGGCTGGAGTGCAGTGGCACAATCTCGGCTCACTGCAACGTCTGCCTCCTGGGCTCCAGCGATTGTCGTGCCTCAGCCCCCCAAGTAGCTGGGATTACAGGTGCACACCATCATGCCTGGCTAACTGTATTTTTAGTAGAGATGGGGTTTCACCATGTTGGCCAGCCTGCTCTCAAACTCCTGGCCTCAAGCAATCCACCTGCCTCAGCCTCCCACAGTGCTGGGATTACAGGCCTGAGCCACTGCACCAAGCCCCAGCTCCAGATTGTGAGTTTCAGAGCCAGGCTAGATAGGATTCAGACTCAGAACTGTGAGATTTCTGCTGCTCAGGCTGTTAACCAGTGACTCATGGTTTTTTTTTTTTTTTAGGCAGAGTTTTACTCTTGTTGCCCAGGCTGGAGTGCGATGGCTCGATCCCAGCTCATTGCAACCTCCGCCTCCCAGGTTCAAGTGATTCTCCTGCCTCAGCCTCCCAAGTAGCTGGGATTAGAGGTGCCCGCCACCATGCCCAGCTAATTTCTGAATTTTTAGTAGAGACGGGGTTTCACCATGTTGGCCAGGCTGGTCTCGAGCTCCTGACTTCGTGATCTGCCCACCTCGGCCTCCCAAAGTGCTGGAATTACAAGCGTGAGCCACCGCGCCCTGCCTGACTTGTGGTCTTTTGAGATTATTTCTGATGTCCCATAGACATTTCAAAAGCAAAATGTCAAAAGCTACACTTGCCTCTCAAACCTTCATTCTCTCTGTGTGATAGGCACCCTCCTTCCCATCTTCCTTCGCTTCCATGGGTCACTCAAAGCTGAAGACCTGCAAGCCATCTCAGGATCCTGTCCTGTATCCCATCAACACTCATCACACCCTCTCAATTCTGACTCCTAAATTCCCCTTGGATTTGGCCTCTCTTCCCCGTTCCCCAGGCTGGTCTCAAACTCCTGGGCTCAAGTGAGCTGCCTGCCTTGGCTTCTCAAAGTGTTGAGATCACAGGTGTGAGCCACTGCACACAGCCTAATTTGTTTATTTAAGCAGAATTGAGCAAACGTCTCCATTCAGCTCCCATGTGCTTTATTGAAAATTATGTCAACTTGAGTATATTAAAAAGCTACATAAATAACCAGGTGGCAGGAAGACATCCTAAGTGGCCCCTACACTATGCGGGCCCAGCCTAGGTCTCCTTTGCTCCTTTACCAAATTCCCTTTGTCTTGCCACAGGCCCCAGGACCTCCAGGCAACTTCCTCTCCTTCATCAGCAGTTGCCAGCAGTCATCCTCTGGGCTCTGCCAGCAAGTTGGCAGCAGGGTAGGATTCACACCCCTTGGCTTCTACCTCACAGTTACCACCAAAGGCTTTTCCAATTTAAAAAAGCAATTTTAGAAATTGAACCAGAGGAATAACCACCATGTACAAATCAAAAAGCATAGAGGGGCTTACAATGAGAAGTTGTGCTCCTCTGTCCTACCTTAACTCCCTCTGAAATCCAGGCTCCCTATGATCAATCCCCTTGACCTTTCAGTTCTCTGGGTAGATTTCTTTTCTTTTCTCTTCCTTCCTTCCTTCCTTCCTTTCTTTTCTTTCTTTTTTTGAGACAGAGTCTTGCTGTTGCCCAGGTTGGAGTGCAGTGGTGGGATCTCAGCTCACTGCAATCTCCTCCTCCTGGGTTCAAAATGATTTTCCTGCCTCAGCCTCCCAAAGTAGCTGGGATTACAGGTGCCCGCCCTTACGCCCAGCTAATTTTTGTATTTTTAGTAGAGACAAGGTTTTACCATATTGGCCAGGCTGGTCTGGAACTCCTGACCTAACCGCCCACCTCAGCCTCCCAAAAGTGCTAGGATTACAGACATGAGCCACCATGCCCGGTCTGGGTAGATTTTTTTCTTTTGAGATGGAGTCTCGCTCTTGTCGCCCAGGCTGAAGTGTAGTGGTGTGATCTCCACTCACTGCAACCTCCGCCTCCCACGTTCAAGTGATTCTTCTGCCTCAGCCTCCAGAGTAGCTGGGACTTACAGGCGTGCACCACCATGCCTGGCTAATTTTTGTATTATTAGTGGAGATGGGGTTTCACCATGCTGGCCAGCTGGTCTCAAACTCCTGACCTCAGATGATCCACCCGCCTTGGCCTTCCCAAGTGCTGGGATTACAGGCATAAGCCACCGTGCCCAGCCTGGGTAGCTTTCTTATACTGCTATTTCTTGTTTTATCAACTTTCATTTAAGCCCTGTGATGGCAAATGAGAACCAAGCTCACTTAACCATTTTCCCACCTCCCTTTTTGAGTCCAAGTCTTTTTTGTTTTGTTTTGTTTTGTTTTATTTTGTTTTTTTTGTTTTGAGATGGAGTCTTGCTCTGTCACCCAGGCTAGAGTGCAGTGGTGTGATCTCAGCTCACTGCAACCTCCACCTCCTGGGTTCAAGCGATTTTCCACCTCAGCCTCCTGAGTAGCTGGGATTACAGGCGCTCACCACTGCGACCGGCTAATTTTTGTATTTTTAGTAGAGATGAGGTTTCACCATCTTGGCCAGGCTGGTCTCAAACTCCTGACCTCGTGATACACCCGCCTCGGCCTCCCAAAGTGCTGAGATTACAGGTGTGGGCCACCGCACCTGGCTGAGTCCAAGTTTTATTTCCCTATAATTTAAAAATTATATCATTCCATGCTTTGTCTGTAGGCTGATTCTAAAAGTTGAAAACCAATGTCATTATTTTTATTATTTTTATTTTTATTTTTTTTGACACAGAATTTTGCTCTTGTGGCCCAGGCTGGAGTGCAATGGCATGGTTTTGGCTCACTGCAACCTCTGCCTCCTGGGTTCAAGTGATTCTCCTGCCTCAGCCTCCTGAGTAGCTGGGATTACAGGTGCCTGCCACCACGCCTAGCTAATTTTTGTATTTTTAGTACAGATGGGCTTTCACCATGTTGGTCAGGCTGGTCTCGAACTCCTGAGCTCAGGTGATCCACACGCCTTGGCCTCCCAAAGTGTTGGGACTATAGGCATAAGCCACTGTTCCTGGCCCAATGTCATTATTTACATTATTACGACAATGTAAATATTTTTCTCTATACCACCTAGTCCTTTGCTAATAAGGCATTCTTTTTTTTCTTTTTTTTTTTTTGAGACAGAGTCTCGCTCTGTCGCCTAGGCTGGAGTGCAGTGGCACAATCTTGGCTCACTGCAACCTCCACGTCTCAGGTTTGAGCAATTCACTTGCCTCAGCCTCCCAAGTAGCGAGGATTACAGGCGCCTACCACAATGCCTGGCTAATTTTTGTATTTTTAATAGAGACGAGGTTTCGCCATGTTGTCCAGGCTGGTCTTGAACTCCCGACCTCAGGTGATCCGTCCACCTTGGCCTTCCAAAGTGCTGGGATTACAGGCGTGAGCCACCGCACCTGGCCTTTTTTTTCTTTCTTTCTTTCTTTTTTTTTTTTTGAGACAGGGTCTTGTTGTGTCGTCCAGGCTGGAGTGTAGTTGCATGAACATGGCTCACTGCAGCATCTGTCTCCTGGGCTTAATCCTCCCACCTCAGCCTCTGGAGTAGCTGGGATCATGGGTGCACATCACCATGCCTGGCTAATTTTTGTATTTTGTAAAGATGGGGTTTCCTCATGTTGCCCGGGCTGGTCTAGAATTCCTGGGCTCAAGCATCCTCCTGCCTCAGCCTCTCAATGTGTTGGGATTACAGGCATGAACCACCATTCCCGGCCAACAGGCCCTCTTACACAACTTTTTGTTTTTAGTGGCATTTCTAATTGCCTTTCATTTTTATCCCTGACATTCTTTGGCTTAATCATAGCCTTATGTTTTTCTGTCTTAAACAAATTATCTAACGCATGAGTCATTTTCTTGCTCTACTGACCCTCTGGGGAGTGCTCCATTCTCCTGCTAGGATTTGGACTGCTTACCACACAGCCTGCTGTACAAATGTCACCTTGAGTCAGAGTAATTCTCATTGCTTTCCTGAACCTCTTGTTTTTGTGAACCCAAATAAATAAACATTTCTGGCCAGGCGCGGTGGCTCATATCTGTAATCCCAGCACTTTGGGAGGCCAGGGCAGGTGGATCACTTGCCTTGAGACCAGCTTGGCCAACATGGCAAAACCCCATCTCTACTAAAAACACAAAAATTAGCCAGGTGTGGTGGCAGGCGCCTGTAATCCCAGCTACTTGGGAGGCTGAGGCAGGAGAATCGCTTGAACGTCGGAAGCAGAGGTTGCAGTGAGGTGAGATTGCACCACTGCACTCCAGCCTGGGCAACAGAGTGAGACTCTGTCTCAAAAACACAAAACAACAGAAAAATTTCTAGCCCAGTG
This sequence comes from Homo sapiens, assembly GCF_000001405.40. Lineage (NCBI taxonomy): Eukaryota > Metazoa > Chordata > Mammalia > Primates > Hominidae > Homo > Homo sapiens. The sequence continues at coordinate 1,445,534 of NT_167251.2, read as the reverse complement.
CAGTGGCTCATGGCTGTAATCCCAGCACTTTGGGAGGCCAAGGTTGGCGGGAGGATCGCTTGAGCTCAGTTCAAGACTAGCTTGGGTCATATAGCAAGACCCCGTCCCTAATTAAAAATATATATTATTAAAAAGAAAAAAATTTGTTTCCTTATTTTTGATAGCACACTTTTTTTTTTTTTTTTTTTTTTTTTCCTGAGCAGAGTCTCACTCTGACACCCAGGCTGGAGTGCAGTGGTGTGATCTTGGCTCACTGCAGCCTCTGCCTCCCTGTTTCAAGTGATTCTCATGCCTCAGCCTCCTGTGTGGCTGGGACTACAGGCATGCGCCACTATGCCCGCCTAATTTTTGTATTTTTAGTAGGGATGAGGTTTTGCCGTGTTGGCCAGGATGGTCTCGAAATGCTGACCTCAAATGTTCCATCCGTCTTTGCCTTCCAAAGTGCTAGGATTACAGGCATAAGCCATTTCGTGCCTGGCCAATAGCACATGCTTTTAAAAAATACCTGCCAAGAAAGGGTACCCTGAGTCCTTACATGACTGAAAATGTATTTATTCTGACTTTACTTGACTGTTTGGCTGCACATACTTCTAGGTTGAAAATCATTTTTTCTTAAACTTCTTTTAGATTGATTCTTCCATAATCTTCTAGCACTAAATGTTGTAGCAGAAAAATCTGACACCAATCTAATTCTTGTTTTATAGATTGTCTGTTTTATCTAAAAGTTTCTTTTATTCTTAATGTTTGGAAATTTTATAGTGATGTATGTAGGAGTGAGTCTTTTTCCATTTGTCCACCTGGTTTATAATGTTTATCAACTGACCCCTTGCTCCCCCCACCCCTCATAGAGTGCAGGGGCTTTAATTTATTCACTGCTAAATTCCCTGTATCTGGCACACATCAGGTTCTCAATAGTCATTTGCTGAGTGAATGAATTTATTCTGCTAGAATTTAAAGTCCTGTGACTCGCATCAGCTCAGAAAATTTTTCTTTTATTCTTGTCTTTTTTTTTTTGAGACAGGGTCTCAATCTGTGATTCAGGCTGGAGAGCAATGGTGTAATCACAGCTCACTGCAGCCTTGAACTCCTGGGCACAAGTGATCACAGCTCACTGCAGCCTTGAACTTCTGGGCACAAGTGATCTTCCTGTCATAGCCTCCTGAGTAGCTAGGACTACAGGTGCACGCCACTATGCCTGGTTAATTTTTAAAATTTTTGTAGAGACATGGTCTTGTTATGTTGGCAAGGTTGGGAATTTTTTTTTCTTCTTTTGTGAGAGTCTCACTGTCACCCAGGCTGGAGTGCAGTGGTGTGATCTTGGCACACTGCAACCTCTGCCTCCTGAGTTCAAGCAATTCTCGTGCCTCAGCCACCTGAGTAGCTGGGATTACAGGTGTGTATCACCACACCTGGCTAATTTTTGTATTTTTAGTAGAGATGGGGTTTTGCCATGTTGGCCAGGCTGGTCTCAAACTCCTGACCTCAGGTGATCCACCCGCCTCGGCCTCCCAAAGTGCTGGAATTACAGGCATGAGCCATCACGCCTAGCCTAGTTTTACAGATTTTGTAGTTTCTTGTTTTTGGTCTATATCCTGCTGCCTACTTTTCTTGCTTCCTTGCCTGTATATATATTCATTTATTTTTTAATTCCTCTGCTGAGAATAAAAATTGGATACTTTACCTGGGCTTGTCCTTCAGTTTTTTTGTTTTTGTTTTTGTTTTTTTTTGAGACGGAGTCTTGCTCTGTCTCCCAGGCTGGAGTGCAGTGGCGCAATCTCGGCTCACTGCAAGCTCTGTCTCCCGGGTGCATGCCATTCTCCTGCCTCGGCCTCCCGAGTAGCTGGGACTACAGGCGTCTGCCACCACGCCCGCCTAATGTTTTGTTATTTTTAGTAGAGGCGGGGTTTCACCGTGTTAGCCAGGATGGTCTCGATCTCCTGACTTCATGATCTGCCCCACTCGGCCTCCCAAAGTGCTGGGAATACAGGCGTGATCCACCGCACCTGGCCTCAGTTTTTTTTTTTTTTTTAAACAGGCAAGTTCTTGCTGTGTCACCCAGGCTGGGGTGGAGTGGCTCGATCATAGTTCACTGCAGCCTCAAACTCCTGTACTCAAGTGATTCTCCTGCCTCAGCCTCCCAAGTAGCTGGGACTACAGGCACTCATCACCAAGCCTGGTTAATTTTTTTTTTTTTGGTAGTAGAGACAAGGTCTCATATTGTGGCCCAGGCTGGTCTTGAACTCCTGGCTTCAAGCTATTCTCCCCACTCGGCGTCCCAAAGTACTGGGATTACAGGCATACGTCACCTTGCCTGGCCTTTCACTTTTATTTTAGGTAAACTGCTTTTAAAATACCCTCTTAGAAACCATCTTCCTTGCTACAGAAGAGAAAGCACCCCATGGCTTTTCCTCAAAGGAAGATCACTGTGGGGGCTGGGCGCGGTGGCTCATGCCTGTTATCCCAGCATTTTGGGAGGCCGAAGCGAGCGGATCACCTGAGGTCAGGAGTTTGAGACCATCCTGGCCAACATAGTGAAACCTCGTCTCTACTAAAACTACAAAAATTAGTCGGGTGTGGTGGCACGTGCCTGTAGTCCCAACTACGCGGGAGGCTGAGGCAGGAGAATCGCTTGAACCTGGGAGGCAGAGGTTGTATTGAGGTGAGATCACACCACTGCACTCCAGCCTGGCAACAGGGTGAGACTCCATCTCAAAAAAATAAAATAAAATAACCGAGTATTCACAATTCAAATGTAATAGATACTATCAATTTACCCTCCAAAGTGACCATACCAATTTATACCCCCACCAGCCTTGCTAAAAGTATTCTAAGATATTAATTTTATGGTTAATAAAATATCCACTGAGACTTCTGAAAAAACTTCAAATTCAACTCATGTGTACCCATAGGTTCCTTAATAACACCATAATAATCTGGTGCATCATTAGGGTCTACTGGTTCAAGGAAAGGCTGGGCCATCTTATGGGTCTATAATGAAAAAGTAGGCATTCTTATTGTCAGTGAAAACACTAATTCCATTTAAGATTCCCAGTTGAGTCACTACATCAATGAACCCAAAAGTCAGTTTTAAATGCGATACATGAAATACTTTATATTAGGTGATTTCTGCTCTAGTAATAAGTTACCTAAGATGAGCTTCCTCTGCAATAATGGTACTCAAAGCCTGGTCGGAAGACCTTGGTGTGGTGAAGGGGTGGGTTGCCCCTCCACACCTGTGAGTGTTTCTCGTTAAGTGGAACGAGAGACTTGGAAAAGAAAAAGACACAAAGTATAGAGAAAGAAATAAGGGGGCCCAGAGTACCTGCGTTCAGCATATGGAGGATGCTGCCGGACTCTGAGTTCCCTTCATATTTATTGATCATTCTTGGGTGTTTCTCGGAGAGGGGGATGTGTCAGGGTCATAGGATAATAGTGGAGAGAAGGTCAGCAGATAAACACATGAACAAAGGTCTCTGCATCATAGACAAGGTAAAGAATTAAGTGCTGTGCTTTAGATACACATACACATAAACATCTCAATGCCTTACAAAGCAGTATTGCTGCCTGCGTGTCCCACCTCCACCCCTAAGGCGGTTTTTCCCTATCTCAGTAGATGGAACATACAATCGGGTTTTATACCGAGACATTCCATTGCCCAGGGACGGGCAGGAGACAGATGCCTTCCTCTTGTCTCAACTGCAAAGAGGCATTCCTTCCTCTTATACTAATCCTCCTCAGCACAGACCCTTTAAGGGTGTCGGGCTGGGGGACGGTCAGGTCTTTCCCTTCCCACGAGGCCATATTTCAGACTATCACATGGGGAGAAACCTTGGACAATACCTGGCTTTCCTAGGCAGCGGTCCCTGTGGCCTTCCGCAGTGTTTGTGTCCCTGGGTACTTAAGATTAGGGAGTGGTGATGACTCTTAAGGAGCATGCTGCCTTCAAGCATCTGTTTAACCAAGCACATCTTGCACAGCCCTTAATTCATTTAACCCTGAGTTGACACAGCACATGACTCAGAGAGCACGGGGTTGGGGGTAAGGTTATAAATTAACAGCATCTCAAGGCAGAAGAACTTTTCGTAGTACACAACAAAATGGAGTCTCCTATGTCTACTTCTTTCTACACAGACACAGCAACAATCTGATCTCTCTTTCTTTTCCCCACAGTGTGGGGGGTGGAACACAAGCTTAGAAGTCACAAAATCAGTATTCTGGGCCCTACATGATGAGCTGTCACTGAGTGATGCTGGCATTGCAACTGCTTCTGTAAACAGGTGGGATGGGTTCAAAGTGTGGAATCATTACCACAGCTGATTAATGATGAGGTGGCAGAGATGTGATGTTAGATAACATTCAACCACACATTGAGACTACGATTCCCTTTTTAGTTTCTTCAATTCTTGTGATTATGATAAAAACAGGAGAAAGTTTCAATCCAATGCACTATATTCTTTTATTTCCCCCCATTGTTTTGAGACAGGGTCTCGCTCTGTCATCCAGGCTGGAGTGGAGTGGCACGATCATAGCTCACTGTAGCCTCCTGTGCTCAAGTGATCCTCTCACCTCAGTCTCCCGAGTAGCTGGATAAACAAGTGTGTGCCAACATGCCCAGCTAATTTTTTATTTTTAGTTTTTGTAGAGATGGGGTCTCACTTTGTTGCCCAGATTGGTCTCTAACTAATTGACTCAAGTGATCCTCCTGCCTTGGCCTCCCAAAGTGCTGGGATTATAGGTGTGAGCAACCACACTGGCCTTCTGTGTCTTCAATACATCTGTATCACTTGCTAATCCTGCAAACCATACCTATCCTGGTTTTCTTTTCTTTCCTTTTTTTTTTTTTTTTGAGACAGATTCTCACACTGTCACCCGAGCTGGAGTGCCATGGCTCGATCTTGGCTCACTGCAACCTCTGCTTCCTGTGTTCAAGCGATTCTCCTGCCTCAGCCTCCCTAGTAGCTGGGATTACAGGCTCACGCCACCACACCCGACTAGTTTTTTGTATTTTTAGTAGAGACGGGGTTTCACCATGTTGGCCAGTCTGGTCTCAAACTCCTGACCTCATGATTTGCCCACCTCAGCCCCCCAAAGTGCTGGGATTACAGGTGTGAGCCTCCGTACCCAGCCCCCTTTCTGTCTTTCATAAGGAAAATAATAACTATAATCTAATCATACTGTTTCTCAATCCATGGGAGTGAGAGGAAGTTTCTTTAAAAATAAAATGTATAAAGAAGTGAGTCACGTTAGATTATCTGAGTGTTAGATAAGCTGAGGTGGTGTGGGGATATGGTAAAGCTCATGACACTGGTATGTGAAGGACTGAAGTTTGTCAAGCCCTTCACTAGACTAGCTGAGACTCAGTAAATAATCACTCTAAGATTGGAAACTTGAAATCCTAACACTGGAAACTTGAAATCCTAGAAATGCTTCCAAAATTATGCCAGCTGATTTCATTTTCAAATGCTGCACACAGAGGGGCTCTCATCTGTAAGGAACAGAGCACCCTCTTCAACTCCTCATCATCCTTCTCTGTTAGTGGTGTGAGCACTGCCATGGCATCCTCTGTTGACTGGCACTGTGGACAGACATACTCATCAATGAGCTCTGCCTCACTCTGCAAGATGCCAATGCAGCACCCATGGTACCAATTCTGACACCGATCATGGCCAATAAAAAATCTGCAAGATCCAAAATGGAAATGTGAGTTCAAAACAGATGGGATGATGTTACTTATAATAAAGCATGCACCTGAAAATTTGCTAAACCCTGGGATATAAAATAGTTTTAGTATTATGGTTTTAATGCTTTCAAGATCGACATTCCAGTACATTAATTTAGTATTTTTGATGTTAAGAACAAGCAGTAAAAAAATTTATAAGAACACTGTAATTTTGGAGAACCAATTTAAAGATAAATATGAAACATTCAATTGATTTTAAAGCTGAAAACAAGTCACAAATCTTTCAACTAGTACTGTACCATGTGGGAGTTCAAAATCCTATAAGGTAATAACAGAGTCTCAAAGCTTATACCCAAATTAGTGTTTTTCTAACCTATAATAAAGCACCATTTCAAACACTGATAAAGTCCAAACAAGTCAGGCTAGTTTAATCTCATTAATTTCTATGTTACATATTGAAGAATCAAATTTACCATTAAACCACATTTTCCCCAATGTGTCTCAAACATTCACTATGAAGCAAGATAAATTTTGAAGGGTAGGTAAAAAGGGAAAAAGAGAAAAAAAATGAAAAGGAATTTGTAATGTAAGTGTATAACAAATGTAGAAAAAATCTGCTTTTTATTTTAAAGTAAATAAGTAACCAGTCAGAGCAATTTGGCTTCCTAAATTATTAAATGTGATGCTCTTATTAGAACTCACTGTGACTGCAGGTGTTCTGCAGATACAGTACAATTCCTCACTGCTGCCCTCTTGTGCCCATTTACAATCATTACAGATGTACACATCCATTTTCTTAGCCTCCTTTTCTGCGATGCCAACACATTCTCCATAATAGCAGTTAGTACAAAGATCACAGCCAATATAGAACCTAAAAGTATTCACAACGAAAATGACAATGTAATTGTCGTTTTGAGCTGCATGGTACTTAAATCTGTCTTCCCTGCCTTGCTTCATTTTTTTACAGGATAACTTCCTGCTATGAGTCAGCTAAACATTCCTGAATCCAACCATTCTACCGCCGGCAAACTCCAGTATCTGATGCTCTATCACATGTGGAAACAAAGTCACTCACATGGGTTTCAACAAGTACACTGCTTAGTGAAATATGGATCTTTAAAAACATACTGGAATTTGAAAAAATAAACCACACACTGATGGTAATGTCTTCCTCTGAATGAATGTGTGTAAAGCTGTAACAGGCACAAAAACCAAAGCCAAAGAATCAAAGACTTACATCTGTCAAACCTATTCCACAGAAGCCATTTCAATATCAGGGCTATTTCTTAGATAGGTTTAAAAATGTATCTCACAATTTAAATTTGAAAACAAAGCAAAGCGCAAACACCAAGTAGAAGTTACACTACACGGACCATGCAGGTCAGCCAGGTGTAGAAGATAAATGGTCAAAATATGCTAAGAAGAAGAAAACTAAGAAAGGTACATAGAGCAATTCAATCTCTACCAGGTTTTCTGAATAAACATTGGAATTTAATCGAATTAAAAATAATTTCTCATAATGGAATATGGCATGGGCCAGTTTTTCAGTTAATATAATGTTTCTGACAATGTGGGCAGTGGCCTGGCTAATTAACGGGTAGGGAACGTGGAAGGAGCTGCTTCAGTTCAACATCGGGAACATGGTATGGGGAACGATGCAAGGATAGTTATCCAGAATCTGTCTACACTGCTTGGCAGGGTCTACACTGCTTGGCAAGGCGGAACTCTGTAAGTGTGTGATTGTGGAGTGCACAGTGGCCTCTGTAATAAAAGACGTAATGACAAAAGAAAAAGTAAATGTAACAAACGCTTATACAGTGTGTCTACAAGTGTTGATAGGCACAGTGTAGGAACTTCATGTCAAAGTCATAGTGAGAATTACCATGAATCACAGGGAAGCAGGCTGGCCTTGCTGATACCATTGGCACTCCTAGCTCTACCAAGGCATTTCTTGGTAGATTCACCTAGAGGAATGGAAATCGTCCTCAAGCTTCAAATTGACCTGCTTCATGAATGTGAAGGAATAATATATGGTTATGTAGTTTATCCTGTTACCACTAACTTTTTTCTTTTTTCTTTTGTCTCGCTGTATAACCCAGGCTGCAGGGCAGGGGCAGGATCATGGCCCCCTGCAGCCTGGACCTCCCAGGCTCACATGATCCTCCCACCTCAGCCTCCCGAGTAGCTGGGACTACAGACGTGCACCACCAGGCCCAGCTTCTTTTTTTTTTTTTTTTTTTTGACGGAGCCTTGCTCTGTCTCCCAGGCTGGAGTACAGTGGCATGATCTCGGCTCACTGCAACCTCTGTCTCCTGGCTTCAAGCAATTCTCTTGCCTCAGCTTCCCAAGTGGCTGGGATTACAGGTGTGTGCCACCACATCTGGCTAATTTTTGCATTTTTGGTTGTGCCACGTTGGCCAGGCTGGTCTCAAACTCCTGACTTCAGGCGATCCACCTGCCTTGGCCTCCCAAAGTCCTGAGATTACAGGTGTGAGCCACAGGGCCCAGCCTCTTTTCATATTTTTTTTAAAAAGTTTTAATGAGCAGTGAGGACGACCAGAGGTCACTTTCGTCACCATCTTGGTTTTGGTCGGCTTCTTTACTGCATCTTGTTTTTTCTTTTTTTTTTTTTTTTTTTTTTTTTGAGACTGGGTCTCACTCTGTCACCCAGGTTAGAGTGCAGTGGCACAATCTCGCCTCAGTGTACCCTGCACCTCCCAGGCTCAAGTGATCCTCCCACCTCAGCCTCCCAAGTACCTAGGACCACAGGCACGTGCCACCAAGCTCAGCTAATTTTTTGTATTTTTGTTAGAGACAGGGTTTCACCATGTTGGCCAGGCTGGCCTTGAACTCCTGACCTCAGGTGACCCACCTCAGCCTCCCAAAGTGCTGGGATTACAAGCGTGAGTCTCTGTGTCTGGCCAACATGCTATTGTCTCAATATGCATTTTGCCATACTTTTTAAGCGCATCTCTTCTGCTATCCTGTAGTACAACTTACTCTTGGAAATGATCAAAGCAAACTATATTACCCTAGGGACAAACCCCTTGTGACTGGCATCCACGAACAAACTTGGTGTAAAGAAATCATATCTATGACCAAGAGGATTTCTTTCTTATTTGGAGATAAGAGTCTCACTTTGTCACCCTGCCTGGACTGCAGTGACATAAACACGGCTTGCTATAGCCTTGACCTGCCAGGCTCAAGTGATCCTCCTGCCTTAACCCCTTCAAGTAGCTACAGGTGCTCACCACCATGCCCAGCTACTTTTTTTTTTTTGTAGAGATGGAGTCATGCTGTGTTGCCCAGGTAACTTACCTCCTGAGCTCAAGTGATCTGCCTGCCTTTGCCTCCCAAAGTGCTGGGATGACAGTTACGAGCCACTTGTACCCAGCCATAAGAATATTTCTTAAAATCTGACTTAAATTTTTTTAAAAAAATTCTTTTAGAGATAGGGTTTCACCATGTTGGCTAGGCTGGTCTCGAACTCCTGACCTCAGGTGGTCTGCCCACCTTGGCCTCCCAAAGTGCTTGGATTACAAGTGTGAGCCACTGTGCCCAGCCAAAATCTGACACATTTATAAATTTCTACAATAATTTTAAATACCAAAAATATTCCCAAAACGTTTCATCATGATTATTTTTCTTCCTAAATCTTATAGTCTCTCAGAAAAATAACTTAGCCCACGTTTCCTTTAAAGAGTTTTTATTTTTTTTAATGAAGGGCCGAATTAATTTTATTTTTCCTTCTTTAAAAAAATTCATCCAGCACAGTGGCTCACACCTGTAATCCCAGCAGTTTGGGAGGCCAAGGGCGGAAGATCACTTGCGTCCAGGAGCTCAAGACCAGCCTGCCACATGGTGAAACCCCATCTCTACTAAAAATACAAAAATGAGCCAGGTGTGGTGGCGCATGCCTGTAGTGCCAACTACTTGGAAGGCTGAGGTTGGAGGCTCCCTTAAGCCTGAGAGGTGAAGACTTCAGTGAGCTGTGATGGCACCACTGTGCTCCAATGTAGACGACAAAGTGAGACCCTGTCTTAAAACAAAACAAAACTTTTTTTTGGAGATAGGGCCTCACTTGATCGCCCCGGCTAGAGTACAGTGGTGCTATCATGGCTCACTGCAGGGTCGACCTCCTGGGGTCAAGCAGTCCCCTGGCCTCAGCCTCGCCAAGTAGCTGAGACTACAGGTGTGCATCACAACACCCAGCAAATTCCTTTTTGTAGAAACAGGGTTTTGCCATGTTGCCCAGGCTGGTCTCAAAATCCTGGCCTCAAGTGATCCACCCAGCCTTTTAGAATGCTGGGATTACAGGCTGTGAGCCACAACTCTCTTGGCCTATAAATGATAATTTAAGTGAATCTCTGAAGCTACAGTTTTTTGTTTCGAGATGGAGTCTCGCTCTGTCGTGCAGTGGCATGATCTCGGCTCACTGCAACCTCCGCCTTCTGGGTTCAAGTGATTCTCCTCCCTCAGCCTCCCAAGCAGCTGGAATTACAGGTGCCTGCCACCATGCCTGGCTAATTTTTGCATTTTTAGTACAGATGGGGTTTCGCCCTGTTAGCCAGGCTGGTCTCGAACTCCTGACCTCAAGTGATCCTTTCACCTCAGCCTCCCAAAGTGCTGGGATTAAAGGCATGAGCCATTGCGCCCAGCCTCTGAAGCTATAGTTTTATAGATTCTAAAGCAGAGACTTCATATAGATGTCTATGAAAAGCCAAAAACAAACAAAAAACCCACAGGAAAACCTGATTCCACACGCCAAAATTTCAAGGATTTGCCTAAAGGTAAGGTCCATCTGTACCTGAAATAAAGTTTGCTGTGCCTCTTTTTTTGCAGGGTCACCCAGCCCTATGCACCAATTATACTAGTAACAATCATTACATGAGTACCTCAGGAAGCTTTTAAATATATCACAAATATTTTACCAAATAAACCTGAATGGCCCTGGTTTAATGAATCTGTTTCTCTGTCTATAGACTATCTAGTCTTATAAAGTCAAAAGAGAAGCAATGTGACAAATTATTCAACAGCCCTTCTCTATTTATAGAGAGAGACTGAACTTCTTCTTTGGTTAGAAAGAAAACCTTGAGTTTCATTTCCTAGTTCATATATTTTTATAACATCGTGGGACGGATTTTGGGAGAACCAAGATGGTATAGCGGGTGCACACTTTGATCCTCCCTCTCCTTTCAAGAACATACAAGTGAGAGTAAAATATAAAAAAGAGAAATTGAAAAGACATAGTCATGCTTAAATAAGTTACAACAATCTCAATGGAACAGACACAAAACTGTGAGCAGGACTAAAACTGCAGGCCTTCTAGACTCCAGATGCAGAAGGAGGAAGTGGTGGCTGAACACTAACAGTAAGAGTTTCTCGGGGGTAAGGGAGGCTAACATGCTGTGTGTGAGGCAGTGATAGGCTCCCTGCTGGAAGTTAAGGGTTGACTGGGCTACACTGGGCTTCAGGAGAGAAGAAAACAAAACTCCTCTCACTCAAAATAAGCTTGCAAAATTCAAATGTTTGAAAATGAAAATGTGTAATATGAAAAAAAGACAACCAGGGCCCATACGGTGGCTCATGCCTATAATCCCAGCACTTTGGGAAGTCGAGGAAGGAGGATCACTTGCTTGAGCCCGGGAGTTTGAGACCAGCCTGGGCAACATGGCAAAACCTTGTCTCTACAAAAAAACAATGACAACAACAATAACAACAAAAAACACCCCAAAATTAGCCAGAGATGGTGGCATGGCACGCGCCTGTAGTCCCAGCTACTTGGGAGCCTGAGGCGGAAGGACTTACTGATCTGGGTAGGGGGAGGCTGCGATGGGGTGTGATTGCACCGCTGCACTCCAGCCTAGGAAAAAGAATAAGGCCTTGCTTCTCAAAAAGCAAAAAAAAAAAAAAAAAGCCAATAAAATCAATGGTCTAATCTGAATTCACTCCAAATGAAATTATAGAGCAATTTGACAGGCCGGGCCCGGTGGCTCACACCTGCAATCCCAGCACTTTGAGAGGCTGAGGAGGGAGGATCACTTGAGGTCAGGAGTTCAAGACCAGCTTGGCTAACATGGAGAAACCCCGTCTCTACTAAAAATACAAAAAAAGCTGGGCATGGTGGCAGGTGCCTGTAATCCCAGATACTCAGGAGGCTGAGGCAGGAGAAACCTCTCCATCTTACCCAGATTAACGAGAGATACAACCAAGGATCCACAGGTTTGATGCAGACATTCTAAAAGATTCAATTATACCAAGACTTTAAAGGTGACAGATTTTTTTCCCCTCAACTATACATTTTTTTTTTTTTTTTTTTGGAGACAGAGTCTCAACTCTGTTGCCCAGACTGGAGTACGGAGCCATAATCATGGCTCATTTCAGCCTTGACTTTACTGGCTCAAGCGAGCCTCCCAAGTAGCTGGGACTACAGGCATGCCCCACCATGCCTGGCTTTTTTTTTTTTTTTTTTTTTTGGTAGCGACAGGGGCCTGCTATGTTGCCCAGGCTGGTCTCAACCTCCTGGGCTCAAGCCTCAGCCTCCCAAAAGTGCTGGATTATAGGTGTGAGCCACTGCACCTGGCCTATATTGTTATCTTAAAATGTCTCAGTGACCCAACAATTTGCCAAAGAGCATGTAGAGCAAACTAGGCTCTATTCAGCATTTCCATTTCTTAATGTATCTATTTGATTTCAATAAAATTTCATCATTTTGAAGATCTCTCCCATTAGCTTGGGAAACTACAGAAACATGCACATAACTACTGAGAAGGTATCAAGTGTTCCTACACTAGTTTAAAAAAATCATTCAACACCCACATAAATTCTGATATGCACTAGGCTGAACAGCTGTTAACCACTGAGAAGCTGGGCACTGCATCCTCTCCCTGGGTCAAAACTCTATATGCTAATCAAACAGGGTCATGTATTTGGGAAAATAATAATCCATGGTAAAAGTCACAAAAAGACCTTAATTTTAAAATGAGAATTCCTAATCTATACATTCTTTAAAAAATCTAGGGTATATAGGTTGATGTACCTTCCTTGATCAAAACTCTTACTTCTCTGAAGCCTGTCAGAGTATTTTCACCACAAGGCTTAGATTAGGTTTCATTTTACATATGCATGCACATGTTCACATACCCATAATCATCCTTCTTAGTAGTATATAGAGACGGACCATATCGTTACCCTCTTCTGCTCAAATAAATGTCTTCCCCTACAAATGCTAAGGAGTAAAATGATCCAGAAAAAGTAGAAATTTGGCATAATCAGCACTGACTTCCTCAACGGTAACATACATGACATACACACATTAGGTAAACTGGATGCCCAAAGGCCAATCCAACCTCATGTCTTCCTGGCATTTCTCAGGCCTTTCTCGTCACCCACCCCACCTAGGTTCCACGTTTCCAAAAAAGTTCCATGAAGATTCAGGAAAAAACAAAAAGGGAGGAAAACTCATTTTATTAAATTTACATCGTATCCTTCTTCCCAGGGTTCAAAATTAAATAAAACCAAAAGAAGAAAACCAGAAAGACAAAAGCACTTTTGTCCAAGGTGGCAAAACACAAGAGCAATTTAACTGCCATTATGAACCAACTTATACTAAAATAGTATTTCCTGGAATGTGTATAAATTAAAAAACAAAACAAAATGTTCATGGTTACTTTTACTTTCAGGGTTGGGAACTGAATCCCACAAACAGCAGCTAAACCTCAAAAAAATTGTAATTCCCTAATTATTTCCAGATTAAAACACTTCTCTTGAACACGTGTTTCTGCTGTTCTTTGGGGTGAGTGTAGGGCACAGCTGGAGTACAGTATAACACAGAAACAGCAAGTGCACTAAGAGCATCAAATCCTTCCCCCCAAAATTGTTTATCTCTTCCAGACTCCTATTCACATTTATTCCCCTGACTTAATTTTAATTCTGCCTCTTGGCCCTCTTACCTTGTCCCTTTCTACCCTACTCACTTATTCTCTATTCATCCTCATTCTCTGAAATGATAGTCAAAATAATACTTCATGCTAAAGCATTTTCTTAAATATTTCCAGATATTCCAACTTGTTATGATCTCCCACTTCTTTAAACCAGAAGCTATTACTACTTTTAGAGTGCATACCTATTTCTGCCCCATATTTATCACATACAACTTACGTATGATTTAGTTAGCATCCTCAAACTTAGAAAATGATTCTCAGAGCCCAGCAAAAATCCTTACTATAGCAGCCAATCAATATCTATTGAAAAATACATGTACCCCCTCGATACAATTGTCATAAAAGTTTTCAGTGTGCACTTAATTTGATAATGTCACTTCCATCTTTCTGTTTTGAAAACTGTTTCGCCGGGCGCGGTAGCTCATGCCTGTAATCCCAGCACTTTGGGAGGCCAAGGCAGGCTGATCACAAGGTCAGGAGATCGAGATCACGGTGAAACCCCGTCTCTACTAAAAAAAAACACAAAAAAATTGGCCAGGCGTGGTGGCGGGCGCCTGTAGTCCCAGCTACTCAGGAGGCTGAGGCAGGAGAATGGCGTGAACCCAGGAGGTGGAGCTTGCAGTGAGCCAAAATCACGCCACTGCACTCAGGTCTGGGCGACACAGCGAGACTCTGTCTCAAAAAAAAAAAAAAAAAAGAAAATTGTTTCATAAGAATGACTCATCCTTCAAAGGAAAAATTCAGATGAAAAGGTGTCTGCACTATGTAGTGTGTTAAAATTTGTTCTCAAGCCTCTCCAGCTACCCTCAGGAGTGAACAGTGGCAAACTGCAGCTTAGGCTAGTGAAGTGATCTGCCCTACACCAGTCAAGTTAGCCAAGAATAGAAGCCACATTTCCTGACTCCTGCCTTGACTCCTGATCTCTTTCCACACATGCAAATACAAGTTCAGCATCCCAAACCCAAGATCCAAAAAGTTCCCAAAATAGGAAACTTTCTGAGTGTCAACATGACACTCAAAGGTAATGTTTATTGAAGCATTTTGGGTTTCCAGATTTGGGATGTTCAACTGGTAAGTACAGCTGACCCTCTGTATTCATGGATTCAATCAATCAAACAGCAAAAATATTTAAAAAACAATGTCTGTACTGAATATGTACAGACTTTTTCTTCTCATTATTCCCTAAGCAATACAGTGTAACAACTATTTACATAGCATTTACACTGTATTAGGTGTTATAAGTAATCTAGAGATGACAAAGCATACAGGAGGGTGTGCATAGGTTATACACAAATACTATCCCATCTTATATCAGGGATTTGAGCACTGTCAGATTTGGTATCCACGGAAGTTCGTGGAACAAGTCATCCAAGAATACTGAAGGATAACTGTATAATGCAAAGATTCCAAAATCCAAAACACCTCTGGTCCCAAACATTTCACATCAGAGAGACTCCACCTGTAATGGCTTTCAGTTCTGTAAATCAACAGCACATCTAGTTGTGTGAATACATACGTGGCTAAGGTTCAAAGTACTTTAAAAGTATTAAGTCCAAGACAAAGATGAGATAGTATTCCTCACCTGATCCAAGGGTCACACCTGACAGCAAGAACTGGAGTCAAAGGATCATCACTGTAACCCATCAACATAGGTACAGTTCACAATATTAGGAGAGGTCATGAAGTAACATACATACAGGACACACATAAATTTCACCTCTAACCAGGAATCCTGTGATAGAATTCATTAAACCTATTCTCACTCAACTACCCCCAGTGGCTTATGAATCAATCCTAAAGGCATCAGACACAAGACTATTACCATTACAAATTTCTAATCTGCTAAGAAGTCTTGAGTTTTAAGGAAGAAACTAGTGCCAATTCATTAAAAAGGAAGGCAGAAAAATGGAAAACCAGAAGTCTTTCATTGCTGCTCTATCCCCATAATCTAAAACAATACCTAGGACATCACAGGAAACCAATGTCTATTTACTAATGTCTATTTACCTCTTAGCCTTTATTAAAGTGAACTCATAGTATTGACATTATTTTCTCATCCTCACAGGGCATTTGACCACATTTTGGAACCAAGTTTAAAATCTTTCATAGGCCCCAAAAAAAAAAAAAAAGTATATAATGACTAACATGCTTTAAATACCATGACAAATATAATTAAATACTTGCTCTCACTGAATTCAAAATTTTTAGTTCCCTCAAGGTGAAGTTACTCATTTTCCATTATTTCTCTCTAACATCAATTTCTCCACCTGATTTCCTCCACCTGTGCCACTACTCACCCATCTAAATGTGCACATGTGTACTCAAGCATTCAATGAATTGCTTATTATGTACTACTCAGCACGAAGAAGCAGAGGAAACCCAGCCTTTGGAGTGATATGAACCTGACTCTACTTCTTGCTTTTAACCAATTACTAAGCCTTGTGACCTCGGGAAGTCAATCATTATGTCTAGCACTCCTGTTGCCTAACTGTAAAAATGTGAAGGATTATTACGTACATAAAAGCATAATACCAAAAATAGGCACTAACTGATTGTTAGTTTCCTTCCCTCTCCTACAACAGCACCCTGACTTTGGAAACTAACCCTCCACGAACTGAAAGCATTCTCAGAATATACTGTCCTTAAAAAAAGAGGAAGGAATGAAGGGAAAGAAAAGAGAAGAAAAAGGAGAGAGGGAAGGGAAAAGGCAAAAATTTTTAAAAATACTTTTGGTCCTGGTTTACAAGCCACCACAATAATTCAAGTAAATTAGCATAATCCAGAGAGACAAAAACTTTTTCTATTTTTTACTACACCAAAAAAGCTCATAATAAAATTTCAAAGTATTAAAAAATAAATGAAAGTAATCCCTTCCCTTCCTCCATCCCAACCCATCCCATCCCTCAGAAATAATCACTGTTAGCACTCTGGTGTGCACATATACACATACACATACATACATATATATTTTTGTTGCCAAAATTTTACTGCAGATATCTGGAAAATAAAGAGTAGCATAAAGAAGAAAAATATGTAATCTATACAACCGGAAAAAATTTTAAGCTGCAAATAAGTTTCCACAACTAAATTTACATTGTAAAACACATGATGGGGAAAAAAAGGTCTTTACAATAAATATGGTACAAGGACAACTGAATATCCACTATCCACAGGCAAAATAAAATTGGATTCCTACCTCACACCATACAGAAAACTAACTTAAAGTCGATCAAAGCCCTACTTCAATGTAAGCATTGAAACTCCTGGAAAAAAGCATAGGAGTAAATTCTTCATGAACTTGGGTTAGGCAATGATTTCTTATGCTGTGACACAAAAAGCAAAAGAAACAAAAAAAAAACCATAAATTGGACTATATCAAAATTTAAAACTTCTGTAAATAATAATCAAGAAAATGAGAATACAATCCACAGAATGGAAGAAAATATCTGAAAATCATCTATTTGACAAGAGACTGGTCTCCAGAATATATACAAAAAACACAATTCAACAATTTTTAAAAACCAAATAACTTTAGAAATGAGCAAAGGATCTCCAAAGAAGATATACAAATGACCAATTAAGCACCTGAAACGATTATCAGCATCATTAGCCATTAGAGAAATTAAAATCAAAACCACAATGAGATACCACTTCACATTGACTAGCATGGCTATAATTAAAAAGACAATTAGAAGTATTGGCAAGAATGTGGAGAGAATGGAACCCACAAATATCGCTCATGGTAATACAAAATGGTAATATAAAATGGAAAACAGGCAGTTCCTCAAAAAGTTATACACAGGGCTACTTTATGTGTTAAATGCTGAGGATGCATAAAGGATCAGAAATTCAGATAAAGCATTCCCAGAACAGTGATTGATCCTGTTTGTTTAAAAAAAAAAAAAGACAATGTACTCAACAATTAACTAAAGTACTTGTATTTCTCTTTACAAAACTAAGTTATGTAAGAACTAAACATTTTAAATTGAAAATTGTTTATCTGGTTCTTTGAACTGAAAATCCTTTTATATTCCCACCTGTGAGTGTACACAACAAGGTGAAGCAAATGCATTAAACCCAGTAGGTCTCAGGACAGGAAGCATTTACACTCAGAGGCTATCCCACAGAGCAAAATCCACACTGAAGACTAAATCATTTCACAGAACCCTAGATTTAGATAAACTTGGAGACAGGAGAGCAGCTGAAGAGCCCTTCTCTTTCCTCAAGGTTGTCTACACATCTAAATCAACTTCACTGGGGGAGCATAGGGGCTGCTTAAGGGTCTAAGACAAATAAATTCTTCTATGCAATACTTTACATTTATTTACAAACGGTCTATCTTACACTAAGCTCAAAATATTCCACTGAGCTACTGCAGAAAATCTGGGTGCGAAATAAGAAAAGACAATCAGAGAGTGTATACTCATAAAAGGAATTAAAAAGAACAAAATGCCCAAGAATACAGTATCCTCACAAAAAATACCCTAAATGAATCTAGTAAAAATTTGGCAACCCATATTCTGGAAAGATATTCTTTACAAGTTAACCTGTATGTCTTATGCAACTTCCAAAGTCCCAAAGAAAGTAATACAAAATTAAGTGGTTTTGAGATACTAGTCAGCTTTTTCGGAAAGAGGGTTAGAGAGGACTTACTTCCTTGTATTATGAAACAAAAAACGCTCTGATGAATTAAAAGGGTAGTTTCTTTCTTTATTTCTCTTTTTTTCAGACAAGTCTCACTCTGCGTGCCCAGGCTGGAGTGCAGTGGCATGACCTTGGCTCACTGCAACCTCCACCTACCAGGTTCAAGCGATTCTCCAGCCTCAGCCTCCCGAGCAGCTGGGATTACAGGTGTGTGCCATCACACCTGGCTAATTTTTTTGTATTTTAGTAGAGCCAAGGTTTCACTATATTGGTAAAAGGGTAGTTTCCAAAAATAAAAACATGTACAAGGAAATTTAAAATTCTCCTATTAGTGTCTGGAAGGATGAAGAATTTCTACTATTTTAGGTTGAGAAAGAAAGCTAAAGGCAAAAGATCAACAGACAAAAATTTAAACAATTTATAATTTCTAACTTATCCAAGTTTGACTCCAATATTTTTACCAAAGGATAAATATCTCTGCTTCAAAGAATCATAAAAACATTACAACAGCCTGGCACAGTGGCTCATGCCTGTAATCACAGCACTTTGGGAGGCCAAGGCAGGAGGACTGCTTGAGTCCAGGAGTTTGAGACCAGCCTGGGCAACAGAGCAAAACCCCATCTCTACAAAGAAAAAAAAAATTTTTAATAAGGGGGGCATAAGGGTGCACTCCTGTGGTCCCAGCTACTTGTGAGGATCACTTGAGTCCTGGAGGTTGAAGCTGCAGCAAGCTACGACTATGCCACTGCACTCTAGCCTGGGCAACAGAGCAAGACTGCAGACTGTATCAAAACAAAACAAAACATTACAACATATGAGAATGTTCAACTTCACTAATACTTTCCCAATGCAAATTTAAGTAAAGATAGTATTTTTTATTTATCAGTTTAGCAAATATTTTTAAAGGATCCTCCATGCTAATTGGAGTGTGGTTAAACAAAAAACCTGCTTGTTACACTGCTGGTATGACTACAACTGGGAACCTTTTGGAAAGCAACCTAACAAGATATATCTGTAGTCTTCTGAATTGTTCACACTCTCTTTTATTCTTAGATTCATACAATATAAATAAATACAAAAAGCAAAGCCTATGTGCACAAACAGCAAGCATCAGAAAGTCCATGAAAAGAATAGTACAAGTATATAGTAAAGGAATTAACTTATACTTTGCTTTTCAAACTATGTTCAATCCAATAGATTTCTAAATATGGCAAGTTTCTAAAAATCCAACTCCTTAAGTACACTGTAAAGACATTTAGGCACACAGCTAAAATATACTCAAACTAAGAAGTCCTCAAAGGCCGTAAGATACACTAAAAATATAATACCTCCCAGTGAAATAAAGGGAAAAGCAGAAGTCAGGTGAGAATATTTACATATATGTACCCATTCAGCAGTTCTGTAGAAGTCATTATCTTCTTTGGGAGGCCGAGGCAGGTGGATCACCTGAAGTCAGGAGTTCAAGACCAGCCTGGCCAACATGGTGAAACCCCGTCTCTACTAAATACACCAAAATTAGCCAGGTGTGGTGGCAGGCGCCTATAATCCCAGCTACTCAGAAAGCTGAGGCAGGAAAATCGCTTGAACCCACGAGGCAGAGGTTGCAGTGAGCTGAGATCACGCCATTGTGCTCCAGCCTGGGCAACAAGAGCAAAACTTCGTCTCAAAAAATAAATAAATAAATAAAAAGGCCGGGCACAGTGGCTCACGCCTGTAATCCCAGCACTTTGGGAGGCCGAGACAGGTAGATCACGAGGTCAGGAGATTGAGGCCATCCTGGTTAACACGGTGAAACCCTGTCTCTAGTAAAAATACAAAAAATTAGCCGGGCGTTGTGGCGGGTGCCTGTAGTCCCAGCTACTCAGGAGGCTGAGGCAGGAGAATGGCGTGAACCCAGGAGGCAGAGCTTGCAGTGAGCCGAGATCACGCCACTGCCCTCCAGCCTGGGCGACAGAGCGAGACTCCATCTCAAAAAAAAAAAAAAAGAAGTTGTTATCTTCCCAGTAGAAGAGATGAGAAAATTTGAGGTCCAGATTGGTTGAGTGATATCCGAGGACCACAGAGCTAGTAAAATTATGGAGCTAGAACTTGAAGTCTGATTCCAAATCACATGTTTCCTATGCTACCCCAAACAAAGGGAATATTTTCTACAGTGGCATTACAACAGACCAAGTAACAGCAGAGGTAAAACAAGTTTCACATGTCTGTGGCTCTTTGTTTTTTACAAGTTTTTATTACTTTGTCATGGGGGGGAAAACGAAAAATTATAATTAGGTCAAGGAAAGATATAACTATACTACTACTATCATTCTGAAGGAAGGGAAGGTATACCTTCTAAGTCCTGCATAGTTTAAAAATTCCCATTACTTGCGAGACCAGGTGAGACTGCACACTTCTAGACTTCCTATCGTGTGCCAAAACTCTAGGGATAATCAAAAAATGTTTGTTGAATGAACGCTAATTTAAAATAGAAAAAGAAATTCCAGATTTCCTCCTCAGTACAAGAGGCCTGCAACAACAAACTTCTGAAATACCAGCAGTCTACTAATTGCATATTCAAATTTAAACCACAGAAAGTTGAATCAACTCTGCCAATTTCTGGGACTCTCTAAATGAACTCTTAATACAAAAATACATACTCAGGCTCAGCATTTTTTCTAATCATTTACAAAAGTAAAAGGACGTCAGGACAAGTTCTGGTGAAATTTTATAAACAGCCATGAATTGCAGCTGTAGACTGCCAGATACATAACCTGTATATGACAGGGGGTACCACGTGGAAATTAGAGACATCCCCCTTCACCAAAAAGATTATATCCAGGGGATACTACATAATAAAAAAAAAAAATCTGAAAAATGGAATGGGATTAAGCTCCTTTAGAATAGGCTAGTAGTGATGATTTTGCTTTTTCAGTCCCCTCCTCACAAACGAATGATGATGACACTGCCCTTAGCTTTCTATGTGCAAAGACAGTATTAACCTTCCCAGGCCAAACTTACGACTACACCTTTTCCACACGAAATGCAAGGCATTTCTAACTCCCCAGATTACCTCACATTCGTTGGATGCCACACAATAGATTATAAAGTATCAAGATATATATTAATTTTTAAAAGTTCACCAGGAATTGGATATTCTAAACTGGGTTTCTGATTCTTAACAGTGAGAATGAAGTCAAGCTCCTTATTTGGTGGTTAGAGGAGAGGATTTGGCCACAAATAATTCTTTTAGGATTGACAGACAAGTACTACGTAAGTTCTATCATCTCATCCAAAAACTTGCTTCTTATATTCTGCTTTTAACCCGATCTACACAATGAAAAGCCACGGAGACTAGTTTTGCATGAAAGCAAAGGACTTTTCTAATATGACTTCAGAGCATGCCATGCTTTAAAGTCCATGTTCAACCACTTACTATCATTTTCCAACTCACTCTCTATGGGCCCATCCCATATTTCAACTACAGGTATACCTCCTGGCCCTTTCTATTTCATAAGCTTCTTTGGAAGACAAATCTACTGATTTATGCAATAAACTTTCTACCTCTACTTAACCAATTTGATAATTTAATAGCTGGAGATAATTCTAAATTCCCCAAACCTTAATCAAGAATTTTGGAAAAAAAGAGCTATCTAGAACAGTTATCTTCCTGAAAACACTGTTGTGCTAAACTGAAACACAGCCTTTTCTCAAGAGCTAAGCAGCTACTTGGGTCTACATTTTAATGCACTAAATAATTTTATAAGATCATGTTTGAAACCAAAAAACCCAAAAAGGATTGTCAAGCTAGGTCAGCTTACAAAACCCCTTCTGTTATGAACTAGGACATCAAACAACAAAACATAAGCTCTAAGAAATGAGCATGGAGGTGCTCCATCCATACTAGCTTTTCCTTGTTTTTTTCTTGAGAGGAGTGACTCTCTGTCACCCAGGCTGGAGTGTAGTGATGCAATCCTGGTTCACTCCAACCTCCACCTCCTGAGTTCAAGGGATTCTCCTGCCTCAGCCTCCCGAGTAGCTGGGATTACAGGCGTCAACCATGACACTCAGCTATTTTTTGTATTTTTAGTAGAGACAGGGTTTCACCATGTTGGCTAGGCTGGTCTCAAATTCCTGACCTCAAGTGATCCTCCCACCTTGGCCCCCTCAAAGTGCTGGGATTACAGGTGTGAGCCACCGCGCCAGCCCATACTAGCTTTTCTGAAGCCTCTTTACTCATTCTTTTGTTCTCTACTCTAGCAGCTAAAGACATCTCCTAAAGAAACAACTAGTGTGCCTCCATAGAACCCCTCAGTAAGCACTCAGTATTGAGACTAAACTGTGAAAAGCACTAAAATAAATGCATCATTCATCTATGACCTTCTGAGAATACCACCACCTCATATCTGAATAGACGTCTAGTTTTCATGAGAACTTTCACGCACTCATTTGATCCTCTTTAAAAACCACAGGAAACAGGGCAAGCCATCTTATCAGCTCTATTTACAGAGAGGGAAATCAATTTGAAAAGGTTACATAGCTTAATCAAGGTCACAAAGTGACTGACTGGCCAAGCTGGTACTCAGTCTTATGATAGTCCAGGGCTCTTTCCTCTACACTGATCCTAAATTGAAAAAAAAAATTTTTTTTGGACTGCTCCTGCAAGGTAGGGCTACCCCATAGGCAGAGAGTAGCTGAAAAATTCTGTATGTGTCTATCACAAGAAGTTGACAGGCCTAAAAGGTTTCACATTTAGATGTTTCTTTTTTTGAAAAAGGTGAAGATCTGGCTGGGCACAGTGGTGCACATCCTTAGGTAGTTCCAGCTACACAGGAGGCTGAGGCAGAAGAACTGCTTGAGCCCAGCCTGAGCAACACAGTGAGACTCCATCACTAAAAATAAGTAAATAAATAAATCACATAAAAAATAAAAAATTTTAAAAGGGGGTAAAGAGCCAATGAATTGACTAAGAAATGTGTTGTTTCAAATCAGAATGACCTTGAAAAGCCATAGTACTTGCATGCAAAAATATGATCCGATTTAAAAAGTCAATATGCTTAAAATACAACAGAAAAATCAACCAATATATGTATTTCGTATTACTGGTTTAAAATTTCTGAATATGCTGTAAAGAGAAGGAGGTGAAAAACGTCAACCAGACTGGGGTGGTGGCTCATGCCTGTAATCCCAGCACTTTGGAAGGCCAAGGTGGGTGGATCACTTGAGTTCAGGAGTTCACGACCAGTGTGGGCAAGGTGGCAAGATCCTGTCTCTACAAAAAATACAAAAATTAGCCAGATGTGGTAGCATGCGCCTGTAGTGCCAGCTACTCGGGAGGCTGAGATAGAAGAATTGCTTGAGACTAGGAGGCAGAGGGTGTAGTGGGCAGAGATCATACCACTAACCCCTCCAGCCTGGGTGACAGAGTGAGACTCTTTTTTAAAAAAAAAGAGAGCGAGAGAGAAAGCGGCAGAGAGAGAGAGAAAGATCTCAACTGATAAGATACTACATAATCACATTATCTCTTGCTTGACCAACTTAACAAATATTTCAAAATGTTTATAAAAATCAAAATGGGTCAGCATTGGAAGAAGTTGTAAGTAAAATTCAGGTGTTCTCCACATGAGGCAACTGCTGTTAATAGAAGACTATATGACGGTATTTTCTCGAAGTTTGGTACAAAGATCAAAAATAGAATCACAGGCAAAACCCTTGAAAGGCCTAGGAATCTGAATTTTTAAGTACTAGGTTGTTGATGAATATAAAATTTAAAGATGTGTATTTAGGGTAGAAATAACCTTGACCTTGGTAGCTGTGGAACTTGTGTGGTTACTCGTTCTGGGCCCTGGTTTTCCCAATGGTAAAACAGAGGAGGTAGGGACACAAACGTCCTACTTCATAGAAAAGTTATAAGACTTTAAAGGCGACGGTTTATAAAAAGTAATTAGCACACAGTTTTGACACACACTAAACAATAATTAGCTACTATGGTGGAAATTTTATTTCTATTTAACACTTCTGACATTAGCAAATAGTGTACCAAACAGACATGCTTTTTACATAGTTACATGATTCTTCTCAACAACCGCTCCCCTGAAAGAAAGCAGTTTTTAAGAGGGTCACTCTCATGATTTGAAGAGAACTGGGAGAGGAGGAACATAAATCAGTTCTGTCACATTTTAAGGATTAGAATTTAAACATTAAAAACAATTTTAATATGTTCACATATATAACTATCACCTGGTTGGACCATGACAAAAACCCACCCCTAACCATAAACAAGGGTAACTTATCATTTATCAAAAACAGGAAACGTTCCTATCTCTCAAGATCAGCGCTCTGAACTAATTATTTAACATAAGGTCATTTTTACGAGTTCACATGCTGAATGGCTTACAATTAAAAGCCTCTTCTAACCCAAATCACCATCCTCCTTCACTTACCTTCTTTTTTTTTTTTTTGAGATGGGAGTCTCCCTCTGTCGCCCAGGCTGAAGTATAGTGGCACAATCTCAGATCACTACAACCTCTACCTCCTGGGTTCAATTGATTCTCCTGCCTCAGCCTCCTGAACAGCTGGGTACAAGCACCCACCATGCCTTGCTAATTTTTTTTTGTCTTTTTAGTAGCGACAGGGTTTAACCATGTTGGCCAGGCTGGTCTGGAACGCCTGATCTCAAGTAATCTGCCCACCTCGGTTTCCCAAAGTGCTGGGATTACAAGCATGAACCACCGTACCTGGCCTGTTGCTTACACTTAAAAAAAAAAAAAAAAAAAATTCCTCCCCTCTCCCTAGACTCCTAACCTAATCAAGTTACCAAATTCAAAAAATTATTTTATCTCACCCATTCTTGCCTCTTTTTTTCTTTTTTTTTGAGACGGAGTCTCGCTCTATCGCCCAGGCTGGAGTGCAGTGGCATGATCTTGGCTCACTGCAAGCTCCACCTCCCGGGTTCACGCCATTCTCCTGCCTCAGCCTCCCAAGTAGCTGGGACTACAGGCGCCCACCACTGCGCCCAGCTGATTTTTTGTATTTTTAGTAGAGACGGGGTTTCACGTGTTAGCCAGGATGGTCTCGATCTCCTGACCTTGTGATCCGCCCGTCTCGGCCTCCCAAAGTGCTGGGATTACAGGCGTAAGCCACTGCGCCCAGCCTGCCTCTTTTTTTCTACTAGGGCTATCACAATTCTGGCCTTCATTTCATTTGACAGGAAGGCATGGGTTTATACCCTAACCAGAACAACAATGAACAGGATTTCTGCCTCCACTCCTCTAATCCAGGGGTTGGCAAACTTTTTCTGTAAAAGGCCAGATGGCAAATATTTAGGCTTTGCAGGCCACACAGTCTCCGTCTCAACTACACAACTCTTGCCATTATAGTACTAAAGCAGCCACAGACAATATTCAAGTGAATGAGTATGACTGTGTTCCAATAAAACTTTACTTACAAAAACTTGCCTTAGACTGCATTTGGCATACAGGGCATAGTCTGTTGATTGTGCTAATCCAACCAACTAATATCAACTTTCCTAAATTCCATCACAGATCATGTGATTTCTGATTTAAAAGTCACTTTCCTTGGCTGGGCACGGTGGCTCACGCCTGTAATGCCAGCACTTTGGGAGGCCATGGCGGGTGGATCACGAGGTCAGGAGATCGAGACCATCCTGGCTAATAGTAGAGACGATGAAACCCCGTCTCTACTAAAAATACAAAAAAAAAAAAAATTAGCCGGGTGTGGTGGCGGGCGCCTGTAATCCCAGCTACTCGGGAGGCTGAGGCAGGAGAATGGTGTGAACCCAGGAGGTGGAGCTTGCAGTGAGCTGAGATCGCACCACTGCACCCCAGCCTGGGCAACAGTGCGAGACTCCATCTCAAAAAAAAATAAATAAATAAAAAATAAAAGTCACTTTCCTTACCAAAAAAAAAAAAAAAAAATAGAACTTAACATTCCTTGGCCTGATACTCAAAGGCTTCCTCCATGAGTATAATCTTCATTATCCTTGGTCATTTCCTTTTTCCCATACTAGATTCCAAATTGTATTCCATGATTGTGGCTGCTTATACTGCTCTAATTCCAAACCTTTGCTCAATTTGTATACAGAATGTCCTTCCTTCTTTCCCTCTAAACACCTACATCTCCCTTGCTTCCCACACTACCACCTAGAACTAAAATCCATCTATCCTCTAAGAAGTCTCCTTCCCTTTACCCAGAAATTCTTCTTCAGCAGAACTTCTATGGCACTTAATCTGTATCTTTTCTGACAATGATTGCTTTGTATCTTTTACCACAGTGAATTATATCTTAGATCCCCTAAGCCTGTGGGCAGAATTTATTTACAAGTCATCTCTGTATTTCCCACAGCACTTTACAATCAAGAGATAAAAAAACAGGTATTATTGTTTCAAAGAAAATATTCCTACAACTAAATTCCTTTACATAACATAGCACTGTTAATAAGACCAAGACACACTTATTCTGTATTAAAATGTTACCTAAAAACTAATGACACTGGCTCAACAAATTAAGCCTTCAAAAATTAGTCTCCATCTTATTACCCAGAGGGCAGCATGGCAAAGTGGGAAAAGGAAAAAAGGACAAGATTGACATCCTGATTCTGCCATTGTTGTTAAATTTCTGCTTCCTTATCTTGTGAAATAGATGTTACCACTGCCTACCTGGGAAAACTAGGAATAACGACTACAGTAAATTATTATGCATTATGGCTTTTATAAACAGAAATTTAAGAACAGCCAAGTTAACTGCAAGATCCCTATTCTGTCAAAAAAAAAAAAAACACGAGTATCTTGTGTTCAGCATTATGAATATAAAGAATAAAGACATGAGCAGTCTCATAACATAGACAAGTTCAGTCTACTGTAGATCCTTTCACAGAGAAGTAATACAACATACTGAGTGCTAACCTTCCAGCTATTTCTAAAAAGATGGAAGTCCAAGGTTATTTCTAAATTATTTTAAGCATAAAGCTAAATATTTAAGAATGAGTTATAACTAAGTTTCTACCAAATTAAAACAACGATGCTTACAACAGCTTACAGGGCTCCTGATCTCACCTTCTACCACTCATTCTATAGCTGGATCAGCAAGCATGCTCCTGCCACCCCGGGCTTACTGATGAAAATCCAACAAACCGGGCTCAGTCCCATCTTAGGGCCTTTGCAAGTGTTCTCTACACCTTGAATGCTCTTCCTCAAGATCTTCACAGGTCTTGCTCACACACTTCATACAGATCTCGTTCAAACTGTCACCTCCTCAGAGAGGCTTTCCCTGACCACCCTATTAATATAGGCATCTCTCTCCCATAACCATCACTTTCAATCTCCTTAGGCTCTTTCCTTTTTATATCTCTTTATAGCACTTGTTAACTAGCCTTCGGTCATTATTTACTTATCTGTCTTCCCTAGTAGGATAAAACTCCCTGAAAACTGTAATATCTTATTGGCTGCTGTACTCCTTGTAACTAAAATCATGCCTGGAACACACTGAGTACTTGATACATATTAATTTTTAAATTGATGAATAACATTTGTGAGTGACAAGGAATATTCATCATTGCAACTTACATAATTTCTTAAACCAGCTGCTTACAATTAAATCTAGCATGTTGAGGCTACTCCTAGAACAGGGGTTCTTAATTTGGGGCTTTAGGGAATCATTAATACCCATGTTTCTGGAAGGAAAATCTACAGCTTTTCTTTAAATGGTCCCTAATCTGAAAAACATCCTAGACCAGTGATTTATGACTCTGGCTACATCATGGAATCTCCTGGTGAATTTTAAACATACAGATGCTTGGATCCCATCCCAGAGGGTGTATTTTTTCTCATCTGTGGTACAACCACAGGACTTCTAAAAAATTACCCAGGTGATTCTAGTGTATAGCAAAAGTTGAGAACCATGCAATTTGAACACAACAAATGTTAACTGGGTGAGAGTCCTCAAAGGTACTTACAGTGGGAAGAAAACAAAAATTGAAAACTATGAATTTTGAGGGAATTGGCATTGCTGGCAAACAGATCAATACACAAGTTCCTGAATAATTCTGTATCATAAAAACATTTTAAACAAAAACTAGTAGCTCTACCTCCACTTAAATACTAACCTGACATTGAGATTCTAGAGCTTACTCCCAGAACACAAATAACACCTTTCACTTAAAACAACGTATTTCAGACAAACATTCACTTCTTAATAACTTACTTATAAAAACCTAAAACTATCAAGAAAACAACAGAATACTTTTTGAAGACGAATCAGCTATATTACAACTATGAAGCTCTTTGTAGTTTTATTCCTAAAAATGCCTTTGAAGCAACACATTTCCACCAATTAATGTCCTCATTTAGCCTCAACTGTTACACAGGATGACAGGCCCTGAATTTAGGTGAAACTAATACTGACAATAGACACAAAGGGGGGGGGGGGGAATTTCAGAGATTTATTTAGATCATGCCAAAAGGGTTTGAAAAGAGCAGGTGTCAGACTGACACAGGTGGTAAATTGTTTTCTTTTTGAAGTCAAACAAGCAAACATTGAGTAATAAGCGAATTCACTGATACCAACCGAGGGTTTCATAAGTTACTGGTTTTTATACCTTCATCCAAGTAGCCCTTTTAAAAAAGGGATTAGCAAAATAGAGAGCAAAACAACAAAATGTTAAGTATTTGTAAAATAAATAAATCCAGATGCTTAAATCCACAGTGATAAATAATTTTAAATTATTCCTGGATACTTACAATCACGATGAAACTCATTCCATCTATCCCTTTCTTTCTTTATTCTTGGCTGTATGGAGATACCTGCTGACACAGAAGCACCAGGTCATGAGCACATCTGACATAAAACATTACAAACTTAAAGCAGTATTTTTTAAAATCTAAAGGGCTTAGGGAAGACAGCCATGCTCCTAGCTATGAAGCCTCTGTGGCTTGACTTCCTGGTCATATCACAAGGATTTTTTTTTAAAGTATTATTCAGTTCCCTTGTTGAGTAAGTTAATTTACTAGGAAAGTGCAAACAAAGACATACATGCAGGTACGCAGCTCATCAACGCATTTTAGTTGTGGGGAAAGATCAGGCTTAGGAGACACGAATAATTATAAAACTATTAGAGTTGGAAGAGCCCTCTTTAAATTTCCCTTCTAGAAAGATGGGCACAAGGAAATCCTTAGCTTTCTATGTCGTTTTACTCGGTAAAATAGTACACTCTTATTAGTAACTTTATCTTTTATCAAAAGCCTGTGGAAATAAATGTTCTGGGATTAACTAGTAAATATATAAATAAAGCCACAGAAACATATTCCCAAAATGTGGGCTGGAAATGAAAACAGAACAGCATGGGATACAAAACCCCACTGGCTGTTTACAAAATGTTTCGTGTACATGACTTTTATGTAATAGGAACAGAACACTAGTATAGGAAATGAAGACTACATGGAAGGGCTGGCTACTTGGAGGTGACGGAGTTAAAGATTTCATGAACCATCAAAAGACCAGGTCATTTATACACTAGATTATCAAACCAGAAAAAGTCTGAGTCCCCTCATTCCATTACATTTGAAGAAATGAGAAGCACCAAAAAAACAAAGTATCAATACAAAGAAGAGAGAGAAACTAAGACAATCTGACCCTGAAGGAATCGCAATGTGGAGGGAAAACCCAGCCCTAGGAGTTAATTGTCTAAGTCAGGTAAGAAAAGAGTGAAAAAGTTGAACAGCACAACAGACTATTTCATGAACACCAGATGCCTCGATATGTAAGGACTTTAAATAAAGAGAAAACACTCTCCTCATAAGCTGCTGCTTCAGTGCCTAGTTCTTCACTCAACTATACCCCCCTCTAAATCAGATGCAGCATTTTGAAATCGACCTCACTCCCTTAACCACACTTAATTTTTGGAGTAGAGGTTAATGAACACACCAGGATAAAACGATGTCTAGTTTGGCAGGAGTGGGAGTACAAAAGTAAGGGGAAAAAGACAAGAAAGAACAAAGCACTGGTTCGCACACCTCTCTCCACCCCAGTTAAGCTGTGGAAAGCTGACTGGCATATCCACATGCTTAAATTATACGTTACTGGCAATGTGGGAAGTGGGGAAATGCTAACATTCTGATTTGTCCCTTGACAAATGAGGGAGGATATTCCCCCCTCAGGGTTGCACTTTAAGAATTTCTACTTGCAATGCTCACTGCAGCCTCGACCTCCCAGGCTCAAGTGATCCTCCCATCTCAGCTTCCCGAGTAGCTGGGACTACAGGTGTGAACCACAACATCTAGCTCATTTCTTGTGGTTTATTGTACAGATGGGCGTCACCACGTTGCCCAGGCTGGTCTCGAACTCCTTGAGCTCAAGTGATCCCCCTGCCTCAGCATCCCAAAGCACTGGGATTACAGGCCTAAACCACCGTGCCCGGGCTCTCACCACAATTATAAAAAGAGAGAGAATGAAGGGAAGGGTAGAATTTCCTCTTTAAAAGTGGTCTGACTCACCAAACCATCTTCACTGCAAAGCCTTAAACAGTACCAGAATACAGGAAAAGGATATTGTATGCTTTTCTTAGAGCTGGGACAAAGAAATGAGAGGGTGTGGTGGGGGGAAGGAGTAAACAATCAGAGCATAAGTAACCCATATTATACGTGGTTTATATGATGCCATCTCCAGGTTTAATCTTTCCCTTTTATTATTTTATGATTATTTTAATGGAGATGGGGTCTTGCTATGTTGACCACACTGGCCTCAAAGTCCTGGCCTCCTAAAGTACTGGGATTACAAGGTATAAGCCACCACGAGCAGCCTAATCTCTCAATTTTAGTTTCCTTACCATAAAACAGACACAATGCTTACTATACAATTAAAATATGCTATAAAATAGTAAGTGAAATAACTATACTAAAAGGCATTCCTGGCATTCAGAAAAGTTGATGGTAGCATCCTTTCCCCCTCAAAGATAGGTACAGGAGGCCCTAATCCAATAGTTCTCAGCCAGGGATTTTTTTTTTTTTTTTTTTTTTGAGATGGAGTCTTGCTCTATTGCCCAGGCTGTAGTGTTGCCATCTCGGCTCACAGCAACCTCCACCTCCCGGGTTCAAGCGATTCTCCTGCCTCAACTTCCCAAGTAGCTGGGACTACAGGCGTGTGCGACCATGCCCAGCTAATTTTTCTATTTTTAGTAGAGACAGGATTTCACCATGTTGGCCAGGCTGGTCTCGAACTCCCGGCCTCAAATGATTCGCCCACCTCGGCCTCCCAAAGTGCTGAGATTACAGGTGTGAACCGCTGCTCCCAGCCTTGGGGATTATTTTGACCTTACCCCAACCCCCAAAAGGGCACATATAATAAAGTCTGGAAAAATTTTGTTGTCTCAACTAGGGTGAGGGAAGGTCCTACTGGCATTTAGGGGGTAGAGGCCAGAGACGCCATCAGACATTCTTACAGTGCACAGAATAGCTTCCCACGACAAATAATTATTAGTCCCAAAAGGTTAATGGTGCCTCTGTTAAGAAAACCTGCCTAAAAAACATTCATTTTTGGAAAAACCACATAAACACAGAAGAGGAGCATAACACTCTAGTTCCTACAGTCTATTAAAAAAAAAAACTATTTAAAAGATATTACAGGCTAAGTGCAGTGGCTCACACCTATAATACCAACACTTTGGGAGGCTGACACAGGAGGATTACTTAAGCCCAGGAGTCTTCGGCTGTAGTAAGCTATGATCACGCCACTGCACCCCAACCTGGGTGATAGAGTGAAACCCTATCTCTCAAAAGAAAACATACTCTAAGAACAATCCTTTCTTGTGATAGCTATTACTCAAATGACAAAAGCTGGGGGAAATACCTTGTAAATATCAGAAAAAAACTTCTCCTCCTAAGTAGTTTAAAAATATGCAGATAGCCGGGCACAGTGGCTCACACTTGTAATCCCAACACTTTTGGGAGGCCAAGGTGGGCGGATCACCTGAGGTCAAAAGTTCAAGACCAGCCTGACCAACATGGTGAAACCCCATCTCTACTAGAAATACAAAATTAGCCGGGCATGGTAGTTCATGCCCGTAATCCCAGCCACTTGGAAGGCTGAGGCAAGAGAATCCCTTGAACCCAGGAGGCAGAGGTTGCAGTGAGCCGAGATGGCACCACTGTACTCCAGCCTGGGCGACAGACTGAGATTCTGTCTCAAAAAAACATTAACAAAGAATACTCCAGATCATCCAGAAAGTCAGTATCTGATAGTGTTTATACGGAGAACTCCTGCACTGGAATGTAAACTCCTAACTCTAGATCCATCTCTTCTCAGGTCTTCCTATCACCTCAGCCTACAGCAGTCAATCCTTCCCTCTAACCACTCCCTCCTCCTAAGATTTCAGCATTTAATGCCTGTACCATGTATCTAATACTTAGTACACAATGCCTAATTCTTGTTTTTTAATTTTTATTTAAAATACTAAAACGAAACAGAGACGGGGTCTCGCTATGATGCCTATTCTGGTCTAGAACTCCCGGGCTCAAGGGATCCTCCCAAGGAGCTCGGCCCACAATGTCTAATTCTAATGCTTCCTCTTTTACTTGAAAGTGGAGGGGAAGGCTGGGAGCAGTGGCTCACACCTGAAATCCCAGCTACTCAGGAGGCTGAGGCAGGAGAATCGCTTGAACCAGGGAGGTGGAGGTTGCACTGAGCTGAGATCACACCACTGTACGCCAGCCTGGGTGACAGAGTGAGACTCTATCTCCAAAAAAAAAAAAAAAAAAAAAAAAAAATCAGTCACATAAATTACTCATTGAAGACAGGAACCAAGTTTTCAATTCTTCTTAAGTGTTTTCATCATTCCTGATCTAACCACCAGAGAAGTGTTTCCTTGCCCTTTGGTGGCAAGGTTAATCTTGGTGATAAATGATCCTGAAAGGCTAGTCTCCAAATAATTAGAACCTTGAAAATGTTTATATTTTTCTCTGCTCGGAAAATTCTGGAACCCCTTTTCTAGGACTGCCACAAGGACACTTTTGACTATCCTCAATGATGACACATTTTAGTTTCCATTCAGATTACCAATTATGGTAACTCCCCTGATCACTGTTTAAGTACTACTTATTAAAGGAACAAACATTAAGCTATTGCTCTTGGAAGGCCAGCCTGCTAGGAAACACCCAAGAGCAATTCTGTACCTTATCCTTCCCTAAATTAGTCAGCCAATCTTACCATTCAAGGATGAAATTAAAGGCATTTATCTCATCTAGTAATACCATCAGTAAACCATGGAAGCTTAAATAATCTAACATTGCTTTGGACATTATGGAAATGACAACCTCAGCACCTAATAAAATGTAAAACCAAATATATACATATCATGTCAATGTCTTGAATGTACAATTACCTTGAAAATTTCAAAGTCACCTCACATTTCTCAACTCTTGGACCTGAGACCTGCTTACTATCAAGTTATCATTGAGAACAAATTAAGAATTCTCAATTGAGAGGTCACCTGTTGCACTAAGCAAACCGCCTGCAAATACTAAATTAGCTTTTCTACTTACACTATCAAGTCAAATTACTTCTGGTAATGCTTGAGTGTATTTGCATGAGATCAATTTCATATACAGTTGGGCAGAAGCAAAATGAGTCTTAAGCAAGCTTCATTCTGTTTTCATCTTACAAAGAAAAGACTGGCCTGTCCTCCCAGCCTTTTGAATAAGGATCTTGAAAAATTCACTACGCACAGGGTGTGCCCAAAGAATACTTGCTGGAAAAATATGCTGGGAGAGTGCCAATTTAAAAAGAAAAACATTTTCGCCCAGTTGGAAATCTAGAGAAAGAATAGTTGTAGCAATTCAGCTAAAAACTCTCAAGACCTGAAGAAAATTTTAGAAAAACCCCAGATCTTTTTGTTATTGGAGTAAAATTCTATGAAAGGCAACTAAATGAATCAATGAAGTATTCAACTATGCTAATTTTATGCACCTAAAAAGCAGTAACTGAAATTCTGCCTTTGACATTTGACGGTGCAAAAAGCACTAAGTACCTTATTTGTTCTACATAAATGAACTTTATAATCTGCAATAGTTTTTAAATCAACTGTTTCTGGGAAATAATGAAAGCATTTTATTTTCCTTTTTAAAAAAGCAAGAATAACAAAACTTCTTTATTGTTTTGCTTTTTGGGAGGAGGGGTTGGGGGAATTGGGATAAATTTTTGTTTTCCATTAGAGACTTTTTTTTTTTTTTTTTGAGACAGTCTCGCTCAGTCACCCAGCTGGAGTGCGGTGGCACGATCGATCTCGGCTCACTGCAACATCTGCCTCCCAGGTTCAAGTGATTCTTGCACCTCAGCCTTCCAAGTAGCTGGGATTACGGGCATGTGTCACCATGCCCAGCTAATTTTTGTATTTTTTGTTTTGTTTGTTTTTGAGACTGAGTCTCGCTCTATCGCCCAGGCTGGAGTGCAGTGGAGCAATCTCAGCTCACTGTAACCTCCACCACCTGGGTTCAAGTGATTCTCCTGCCTCAGCGTCCCGAGTAGCTGGGATTACAGGTGCCCGCCACCACACCCGGTTCATTTTTGTATTTTTAGTAGAGACGAGGTTTCACCATGTTGGCAAGGCTGGTCTCAAACTCCTGACCTCAAGCGATCTGCCTGCCTTGGCCTCACAAAGTGCTGGGATTACAGGCATAAGCCACCACACCCGGCCAAAAGACTTATTTCTGAAGCATAACACTCCAGCAATAGCTTGATTAAGCTAAAAAGATACCCATCTGTTACAGGCCTTTGTCTTCAGTCTCTCACTACAACACCCACCCCTTTCGAGGTCCACTCAGAACCTTACGCTCAGATTTTTTTTTCACTGCAATAAGTGAACACAACAAAAAATTACAGTTACTACAGGGACACACTGGTCCCAGGTTGCCTCATGAGAAAAGCAGGTGAGTAGGCCTGCTGGAGCTTTGCACTAACTCTATGGACCCTGTGGAAACTGCATGCAATGCAGGCTACATGGAGGGTCACCGGGCTGCTCACTATACCTCAGCAAAGCAAAAGGCCTGCCTATGCCTATGACAACAGCCTTTCCCATCACAGCCTGGTCCCACCACAAAACAACAAGCAATATTCTTCCAAAAAGTACAGTCCTAATTTTAAAAGTGAGGAACTCGAGCCTAGGTAGACAAAATGTAACAATTCTTAACAGTTGTCCAGAATTCTTTCTACTCTATTACTCCCCTTTTAGTACTAATACCACAAATGCTAAGAAAAATAACCTCTAGTTCATCCTTCAAGTTTTCTGGTACTTGCCAAATCAATAAAAATAACATGTGAAATGTTAATCACAAACCACCTACTCAGACACTGAAATGACACAAATACAGACTAAGTAGATGAAAACCAATCAGGATAGTCCTCAACTATTCTTTCAATATCCTTTCAAGTTCTATGGTAACTAGATTTACCAGCAAGAGTTTTCTTGAGGAAAATACTAAACACAAAGCACATGCTTACAATTCACCTGTAAGCACAAGTTAAGAATAATGGAGAAAGAACATAAAATACCTTCATATCTCAAAAGAGCTCCTTTTCCAGCAACTGGGGAAATAGTTGTTTGGGGCTTTTCCACATAAGATATAAATCATCCCTTTCGAATGTCAAAAATGTTTAATTTAGCCATTTGATGGGGAAAAACCTTTAATAGTTCACTTCTCTAGAGTGTTTATTACAGTAAAGGAAAACTATTTAAACTTCCCACCATCCCTCCTGGTCAATGCTGGTGTCCACCCACGTACTGTGTGGTCAGAGAGCTGTCTAAAGGAGTTACAGCAAACAGCAAAGCTATGTGCCTTCAGGTTGCTCCATTTCTCAAAATACAATCTTTTTTCTGCCCTCTCTCTATCAGTTCCAGGAGTTATCTTCTATTCAGAAGATAGAACATGTATGACCACAAGCAAATTATTTAACATATCTATAGTCTTGGGTCTCAACTGTAAAACAGGGTATCATCATCATATGGAAGATTTAAAGACAACAAACCTAAACCACCTAACATACAGAAAGGTGTGATCAATAAATACTAATTCCTTTCTTTTCTTCCTTTTTTAAAAAAAATAACTTCAACCACTTCCTAGATGTTAGTCTGCCCTAGCAAAATGTCCCTCCTCTACCCATCCAACTTTTTTTAAGACAAGGTCTCACTCTGCTGCTCACGCTGGAGTGCGGTGGTGCAATCTCGACTCACTGCAACCTCTACCTCCCAGGCTCAAAGCAATCCTCCTACCTCAGCCTCCCATGTAAGCTGGGACTATAGGCGCATGCCACCACGCCTGGCTACTTTTTTTTGTAGAGAAGGGGTTTCGCCATGTTACCCAGGCTGCTCTAGAACTCCTGGGCTCAAGAGATCTGCCCGCCTTGGCCTCCCCAAGTGCTGGAATTACAGGAGAGAGGCATCACGCCCATATAACCCATCCAACTTCTACTCCACAAAAGAAAATGAGTAATTTTCTTTTACTCATATTGTAGGCTTAAGGATGTATCTGGTTAAGATACATATGGCCATTATACCTTTCCTCAAAAAATACGTATTACCAAATTAATGTATAATAGTCTTCTGAATATAAACATAAACGCCATATTTTACATGATGGTTGGTAGACCTCTTTTCATCAACCAAATCTAATGAACAATTTGATTCTGTTTACACTAAAAAAGCTAGTGCTTATGCCCAGGAGATAGGTAAAGAGCCTAGATTATTATCTTGATCTCTTATTAGCTGTTTGACATTAAGTTACTTAAACTTTCCATTCTGCAGTTTGAGTCTGTAAAATTAAAATTATCTATCTCATTGTACTGTTGGAGGATTACATAAATTAATTTGTAAAAAGCTCTTTATAACTAAAGAGCTAAAAACAATTCAACAAATGTAGGCTATTATTTCTCTACCAGAATGTCTCAACTCTGTTGTCTGCTTAGGCAAAGTTGGTTAAAAACGTTGTTCCCAGCAGGGCACAGTGGCTCACACCTGTAATCCCAGCACTTTGGGAGGCCGAGGTGGGCTGATCACGAGGTCAGGAGATCGAGACCATCCTGGCTAACATGATGAAACCCCACCTCTACTAAAAAAAAAAAAAAAAAAATACAAAAAATTAGCCGGGTGTGGTGGCAGACGCCTGCAGTCCCAGCTACTTGGGAGGCTGAGGCAGGAGAATGGCGTGAACCTGGAAGTTGGAGCTTGCAGTGAGCCCAGGTCATGCCACTGCACTCCAGCCTGGGCGACAGAGCGAGACTCTGTCTCAAAAAAAAAAAAAACCTTGTTTCCTAGCTCACCCAAATCAGTTCGGTCAAAATCCTCCTGGGTTCTCAGGTTTAAGACTAATTCAGTCCCAAAGGCCCTAAACTCTGCCACCCTGTTTCTTCCCAGGATACATCTCTCGTAAGTACCTGAGAAACAAACCGGAAACAGCAATTAAAGGGAGAGCAAGGAAATGGCACTACATATACAAGGGTATTCAATTCCCTGGCACATGCCCTCTATTCTTTTAGGCCTAAGTAAAACAACTTATAAGAACATGATTTTAAATGAACTATGACACCTCTCTCTAGTTGCCATTCCCCAATCTCCCCATTTCCCCCGCCCCCAAAACAATTTTCTCTACAATTCCTCTTACCTGAGTTCTGAATATAATCTACATGATTACTACAATGCTACTAAATAGGCTACTAGAGCAAACCACAACATTCACAATTTAATAGCAAATTTTCAGTATATTCTGCTTGCAGAGCAGACCCTACAACTTTCATCAGGCTTAAAATAATTTCAAAGCAATTTTGTCTACCATGGTACAAGAAACCTTTCTTCACACTTATAGAAATATAAAATCAAACAGGACACAGTTGCCACAAAGCCTTAACTAATGAGAATCAAAACTGGTAAGATTTATTCTTATGTTTACTATATACTAAACCCCCTTGGTTTCAAATCTATATAAACTCAATGTTTTCTTTACATTGGATATGTAAGCATAATTTTCCCAGATGCACAATAGAAAACTGGAGAAAGATAATTCACTGGTAAACATGAAAGGGCATGACCTTAGGCATGAATTTCTACCCAGCTTGCAAAATAATCTAGTACACTTTGGTCCATGTTTAGGGAGGTGGGGAAATGAATTAAAGTACCATCCATTTATAACAGAATGTGGACCCATGCTTTCCCTTTTCTAGTTAAAACTATTTGTTTTATCACACTGACAGAGCCTAATCGGGGGCTCTACAAAGGACACTCCAGGTATACCCAACAAAGGAAAATATTTAAATAAAAATTAATGAATGCCTACCTCATCTGCTCCTTCTCCATCTTGACATATCCATCCAATGTAGTTACCCCTGCCAAACAAAAATCTGGGAATCACCCATGGCACCTCTTCCCTTTTGCTCACCACATGCAATCAGTCACAAGCCCTCATCACCCCTACTTCCAATAACCAATTCTCTTAAATCTTTCCTGCCAAAGGCTGAGTCCACCATTCAGCTAACTGGTTAGCCTAAATTCACCTCTATTCCCCTTCTCCACACAAGCGGGGTCTGAAAAATACAAATCACGTAAGCCATGTCAATGGCTTCACAATAAAAATTTTAACTTTATATAATCAACAAGGCCATCTGTATGATCTGGCAACTAGCTACCTCTCTGGTCTCATTTCTCACTACTTGTAAAATACACTATACTTTGCTCTGTTCTTTGAGAGTCAAGCACCTTCCATTTCCAGGACCTTAGCATGTCTTGTTTCCTCAATGAGCAGCAAAGCCCCTTCTCACCCACCAATTCCTTCTTATCCTTCAGGTCTCAGCTTACATGTCACTTCCTTCAGAAGACTCACCATCACATCCCCATCACATGCTGCCTAGATATATCCAATATGCACCCTCAGATCACTCTGAACTTTGTTCCTGTAGCACCCACAACAATCATAAATATATCATCTATGTAACTACCTGCTTAAATATTAATCTCTCTCTAATCTATATTCCCCATGAGGGCAAGACAAGGATTGTATCTTTCTTAACCACTGGATCCCTAGCATCCCAGCATGTAGCAGGCATTCAATGTAGAGTTAATGAATGAATTAATCAAATCCAAACTCCTCCAATGAAGGTTTTCAGGTCTCTACAGAGCAACTCCTCCCCCATTTATAGAAGATTATTTGGAAGCTTATTTCCTCACTGTTTTTTATTTTTTCAGACACAGGGTCTCACTTTGTCGCCCATGCTGGAGTTTAGTGGCACAATCACAGCTTACCCAAGCCTTGAACTCCTAGGCTCAACCCATCTTCCTGTCTCAACTCCCTGAGAGCTGGGATTACAGGCTCAAGCTACTGCACCCAGCCATTTCCTCATTTTTAACACTTGCTGGAACTTGTAAGGAATACAGAAACCTTCATTTTTAAGACTCTAGTAAAGAACCTGGACTCTCATGAGCTATTAAGATTATTTTGCAAACTGAGTACTGAAATGCTTCTGGTAACCATCTATTGCTGTAGTCAGCCAGGCTTAAAACTTCAATCACCTATGATGATCCCTCCCGTCATTGCCCCCACACATCACAGTTATTAAGTCCCATTCAATTTACCTCTACATCATTTCTGGAATTATCTCTTTTTCTTCTCACATTACATTTACCATCTGTACCTATAATACTATGTCTTCAACATATCCCATTCCCATGGTGCCACCAAAGCCCTATACCTTTCAACTTGTCTTCTCTGTGTGCCCTGTGCTTTCTGCCTATACTGACCTCTGAGTAGGTCACAATCAAAAGAAAACTGTCTATCAAAATCTTTGCCAACCTTCAAGGTTCATTTCTAACATCACTAAGTGCCAGGCACTGTTCTAAACATTCATCTTTGTCTTACTAAGTTCTTCACTCCCTTCACTCTTTAAACTTCTTGAGGATACAAACTTAGCTTATTCATCTGTTATCTCTTGTGTCTTACACATTTACTTACTCCATAAGTACTTATTATATGACTTTAACACTACCATAAAAGAGTACGTTCACTTCAGAGAACAAAAACAACAATCACAAGGTGGCAGAAAACACTATAGCAACTATATCTACGGTAAATGGGTAACACCCAAATTCCTGATGCCTAAGTTCCCTTCTTCAGAATCCCACAACAAGCACTAAGAATGATTTTCACTACCTACGTTTCTTCTCAGGAAAAAAATGAGAAGAGAATAGAAGAAAAAAACACAAGTTCCTACTTCTGCCACTTGACGTCATGTGCAGATCAGGAGAAAAGCCAAGGGGCATTAAATCAAAGGTGTTCAACAAATGAAAGTTTACTCAGCTCTGAAGTAAATTCTGTAAGAATACAATGAAATTATTCCCACATTTCTATCCCATACATCAAGAAATAAGATAATCACTTTAATGGACTATGAAAAGTAAATCAACCAAAGAAATGAATGAAGGCATTAGAAGAACCAAAGCTTTAAGTCACAAGTCAAGAAACCTGTTTTGTTTCAACTTATACCAGTGCTTTGCTGGGTTCTTTGCCTCAGCTTCCCCCAATGCAAAAAAATGGTGATGAGAATAGTTTCATTCATGTTATTTAAAGATAAACAGTCACATTTCAAAGTAGTTTGAGACCTAAAGGTCACGTAGGGTCAGCTCCCTCACTTTAATTAGAAAAATGGTTACATTAGTCCTATAGCTAGTTTTTAGCAGAAGAAGGGTTTAGCTGAGAAGACTTGGGTATCCTGGCTGATGTTCCTCCCAACCCACCACTTTATGAAATGATAAAGAGTAGAAAAATGATAGCCGGGTGTTTGGTGCATGCCTGTAGTCCCAGTTACTCCTGAGGCTGAGGCAGGAAGATCACTTGAACCTGGGAAGCAGAGACTGCAATGAGCTGACATCACGCCACTGCACTCCAGCCTGAGTGACAGAACAAGACTCTCTCTCAAATATATACATACATACAAACATACATAAAAAGTAAAAAATGACAAAGCAATTTGATTGCCACTTTGGCAACATCATCTGTGTATTCTTAATAAATTCAAGTAAGAGTTACTTTTTTTTATTTTTATTTTTACTTATTTATTTATTTGAAATGGAGTCTCGCTCTGTCGCCCAGGCTGGAGTGCAGTGGTGCGATCTCGGCTCACTGCAAGCTCCACCTCCTGGGTTCTGGCCATTCTCCTGCCTCAGCCTCCCGAGTAGCTGGGACTACAGGGGACCGCCACCACGCCTGGCTAATTTTTTGAATTTTTAGTAGAGATGGCGTTTCACCGTGTTAGCCAGGATGGTCTCAATCTCCTGAACTCGTGATCCACCCACCTCAGCCTCCCAAAGTGCTGGGATTACAGGTATTTTTATTTTTTTTTTTTGAGACACAGTTTCACTCTGCCACCCAGGATGGAGTGCAGAGCTGAGATTTCAGCTCACTGCAACTCCTGCCTCCCGGGTTCAAGTGATTCTCGTGCTTCAACCTCCCAAGTAGCTGGGATTAAAGGCGTGCACCACCACGCCTGGCTAATTTTTGAATTTTTGGTAGAGACGGGGTTTCACCATGTTGGCCAGGCTGGTCTCCAACTCCTGACCTCAAGTGATCCACCCACCTTGGCCTCCCAAAGTGCTGGGATTACAGACATGAGCCACCAAGCCAGACCAAGAGCAACAATATAGAACATTCCAAAGTATCTAAAAAGCAAAACCTATAAACACACTAGTAATTCATTTTACCATGAGGTCTTCATAAACTCCAAGAGGATAAAATTCCCCAGGAGGGGCTAGGCACAGTGGCTCTCGCCTGTAATCCCAGCACTTCGGTAGGCCAAGGTGGGTCGGGAGTTACCTGAGGTCGGGAGTTCTGAGACCAGCCTGGGCCACATGGTGAAACCCCGTCTCTACTAAAAATACAAAAATTAGCCAGGCATGGTGGTGGGCGCCTGTAATCCCAGCTTACTCAGGAGGCTGAGGCAGAAGAATTGCTTGAGCCTGGGAGGTGGAGATTGCAGTGAGCCGAGATCATGCCACTGTACTCTAGCCTGGGCGACAGAGTGAGACTCTGTCTCCAAAAAAAAAAAAAAAAAAAAAAAAAGGGCTGGGCACAGTGACTTACACCTGTAATCCCAGCACTGTGGGAGGCCAAGGCGGGTAGATCACCTGAGGTCAGGAGTTCGAGACCAGCCTGAGCAACATGGCAAAACCCTGCCTCTACTAAAAGTACAAAAATTAGCCGGGCGTGGTGACAGGCACCTGTAATTCCAGCTACTCAGAAGGCTGAGGCAGCAGAATCACTTGAACCCGGGAGCCAGAGGTTGCAGTGAGCCAAGATCGCGCCACTGCACTCCAGCCTGGGCAACAAGTGCAATACTCGGTCTCCAAAAAAAAAAAAAAAATTCCTGAGGGTGAGAAAACTCACTGCAATCAAGACCATCCAAAATTCAAATAAGCGCTTTAGTGTCACTGAACTGCATCCATAGTTTATTTTTACCCAACCCTGATCTGAAACAGACTTCAGGAGACTATTAGACAAAACACAGGTTAGCATAAATTCAACCAGAAATAAAAACATGAAAATAGGGAAACAAAATGAAGCTATTAAAAAGGTACAAGCTTAGCTCTAAATTTCCAGATGTCAATAGGAAAAAAGAAACCTAGTGAACAATTACAGCACCCAGGTAATAAAAACAGACTAAAAGCTTAGACAAACATACAATTATTCTTGGCTGCACATCTTTCTCCCTGAGGTCTTTATAAAGAAGGCATTGCAGAATACAGAGAATATCCTCAACAATATTTCAGTAATCACAATGAAATGTTTTATGAGGTTATTTTTATACTGAACTTCAAGATAAGCCTAGAGTAACGGTTGGGAGAAAAAAAAGAAAAAAAAAATTTCAGGGACAGAGAGAAAAAAAGAAAGGAAAAAAAAAAAAACTTAGGAGAGAGAGACCTACATAATGTGGTCCAGGTACCCAGAACACTGCTGATTTAAGAGCACAATTAAGAGAATTTCTGGAAAAAAAATATTATTTTAACAAGTAGTTACTATATAGAAGTTTATAAGCACAGGACCCAGAAAACGAAAAGCAAATTTAGCAAAATGTGGAATGGGTCCAGGAATTAAACAAAATTGCAGGGGAAAAAAAACAACTCTAAGAGGGAAAAACAAAGAATATAAAAGAAAGAAGAGCAAGCACAACTCAGCAAGTACATTACATACATATGATAATTAAATGCTTTTATTTCTACATCTACAATTAAGAATTAAACATTAAGATATTTACGGAAGCATGCAGCTTCCTTCTTAATCCCATAATCAAGGAGATAAAATTTAAATTCCTGTACCTTCCACAGTGATGAAATATCATTGTTTAGTGACATCATATCAAACACAACGTACTGCAGAATTTTCAAAGCAGTTATATGTCCACTGTACCAAGAAAGGAAGATATGTGAAATATTTCATGAAAATTTTCCAAGAAGAGTTTAAAACAAAAAGGGTAAGAGTTTTTAAACCAGACATAAAATCAGTCAACCATAAAAATTAATTTAAAAAACTCTCTCTAAAGTCTCATTTAGCAATATAGTTTACTGTCAAGCATAATACAATGATAAACATACAATTTGCTAAACATTCAACAACATAGAAAAATTAATCATTCTATAGCTAGCATGTACCAACGACACAGAATGGATCACTGTTTCTCCTCTGGGAGGTGGGAAAGAAAAAAACAATTGAATTCTTAGTGAAGAAAGGGATTATAATTTCCACAGAACTATCCACTTGTAATTTAAGCAACATCATTTAAAAACAGCTCATTCCAACAGTCTCCTCTACTAAATATTTTCATCAGGGCTGCCTAGACGAAACCTAGCCCACCACTCTATCTTGGGCAAAAGAGTAAAATACAGACCAGCTACTGGAAGGGTGGGGGGAGCCAAAATTCACCAGCTGGGTCAAGTTCCTGAAGAATTAACTAACTACATTCTAGGATTCATTTCTCAGCATCAAAGAACAACTTTTTCTTCTTCTTTTTAAATTAAAGCAATGCCTCCATTCTCATTGTCTGGTCAACTGCTGAAAACCTTTAAAACACTCAGAAGATCAACAAACACTTGGCTAAATAAATACCAGCCTTAAGAGTCAACCCGGTGATCTTGCTCAACAAGAACTTTAAAGTATTTATGCTTTACTGGTGGTTTTAGTTTAAATACAATTTTTTTTTTTTTTGAGACGGAGTTTCGCTCGTTGCCTAGGCTGGAGAGCAATGGTGCGATCTCAGCTCACCGCAACCTCCGCCTCTCACGTTCAAGCGATTCTCCTGCCTCAGCCTCCAGAGCAGCTGGATGTAGAGGCGTGTGCCACCACGCCCAGCTAATTTTGTATTTTTAGTAGAGACGGGGTTTCTCCATGTTGGTCAAACTGGTCTCGAACTCTCAACCTCAAGTGATCCGCCCGCCTCAGCCTCCCAAAGTGCTGGGTGGGATTACAGGAGTGAGCCACCGTGCCCGGCCCTAAATACAATTACAATGTGCAAAAAGAGCATGTACTTCAGAGTACTTTCAGTACCCAAATATGATCTAACGCATGAAAATTCAACTTTTTAAAGTATCAGTTGATTTAATTGCAAGAGGATTCAAATGATCCCAAAATGTTTCCTAAAAGCCATCCTTTGGCTGTTCTTATACACTTCACACCCT
This sequence comes from Homo sapiens, assembly GCF_000001405.40. Lineage (NCBI taxonomy): Eukaryota > Metazoa > Chordata > Mammalia > Primates > Hominidae > Homo > Homo sapiens. Next base: position 1,400,578 of record NT_167251.2, on the reverse strand, counting down.
TCCAAACCGTAAACCATTATGTGAGAAGAATGCTCAGAACTAAGTAGTGAATGAATGGCCTTAAGGTTTTTCCAAGTCATTAAACTATCCTACAGAATAAGAAAAATTCTCAGGTACTTTTATTTCACTGGTTTGTAACGCTTACCTACAACAGTACCAAAACTCAGAAATGTTTTCAATGCAACGTATCCTGAAAACAATAAGCTTATAGTGTCTAGGTGCTTTTCTGTTACTCAAAATAAGTGCATGCAATTTAAAATCCTTTAACTACAGTGTTTATTATACCTCTAAGCACAAAATATTTAACGTTAACCAAGATATTTTTAAAGCGGTGATTTAAACAGCAAAGTTAGTGGGGATAATGCCATGAATATTAGCAAGCTGAATTAAGCTACTAATCCATTTAAAGAAAGATGGGTTAAGGAAGAAGCAAGCCTCTGAAGCATTTGCTTTAAATCTAAATACAGAAGTGGACTTGAGCACAGTGAACAAATGATAATAGAACTAGGTCTACAAGGAAGAAATTCAGCAAAAATTATCCATTTCTTCCTTCAAAATAGAAAAAAAAAGTTTCATTTCAGATACAATATCCATGCAGATAATATAAACAAAATTGGGAAACCAGAAAATTTACTTTTAAAAATCATAGCTGTCTCAACAACCAAACACTCCAGTGAAAATCTTCATCACCTTTTAATACAGTCAAGGAAACACCAATTCTTCCCACATATTCATCTTTTTCAGCCTTCTCTAGTAAGCCAGCCTCTAGCAAAGAGAAAATGAAAGATCTACTAGTCAATTATCCTGCCCCTCTTTTCCAACTCCTCATGCTCTCTCTCAAATCTGATATTCCTAAGGAGATAAATGCACTTATTTAACATGTATCTTTAAGTATGTTATAATATAGTACTGCTTTATTTAATTAAGTACATAGATGCTGAATTGGGAGTGACAGGAGTGAAACGTCTCTGTCTCCACCATGCCAATTTGGAGTGCCACCCATAAAAAGCTTATGTAAAATTTTCTCAAACCAACAGATTTAGAAAAACCAGTAAGATGAGGTGGGCGGATCACGAGGTCAGGAGTTTGAGGCCAGCCTGGTCGACATGGTGAAACTCAGTCTCTACTTAAGAAAAGAAAAAAGAAAAAAATTAGCCTGACTTGGTGGCGGGTGCCTGTAATCCCAGCTACTTAGGGAGGCTGAGGCCCGAGAATCACCTGAACCCAGGAGCCAGAGGCTTCAGTGAGCTGAGATCGCACTACTGCACTCCTGCACTCCAGCCTGGGCGACAGAGCGGAACTGTCTCAAAACAAAACAAAACAAAACAAAAAACAACAAAAAAAAACCACCCAGTAAGAATTTATTCCAAATACATCAATACATTTAACTCAGCTTAACAAATCTGCTTAAAATGGGCTTTTTTTTTTTTAATAGGAAGAGAGTCAGGTTGTGAAACTAGACTGTGCTTGAAGGCGATGTATTAAATATTCTGAAGCATTTTCTAATTGTCAGTCCTTAAAATGTAAGAAAATCTCAAGTGTTAAAATTGAAGACTGGGTGTGCTCTCTGCTGAAAGTTCAATCAAAAGCAACTGTAATTTCCTACAAAGGTAACTAGGTCAACTCAGCATTTGTCCCTGCTTACTGGAAACAACAAAATCTCAACAATCAGGCCATTAACTTATCATGTCCTATATATAGTTTCAAAAGAAATCTAAATTCACTCTTAAAGAGGTACTAGTACAATTTTACACATAAGATGTCTCCTAGTTATTTTTCTTAGACTTCAAAAGGAAATTACCACCATTTAGACTACAACAATACAACCCTACAGCAAAAATATCTTCCCCTTCTTCACTAGCATGTATATGCACTCATCTACCCAACATCAGGGAAAAAACAAACAGAACCTAGACACCTATGTACAAAGAATCACATTCTCTCCATAATGGCGATTCATTCATTCTTCCTTGTGCCAACATTTCTCAAGAATGCTATCATGCATGAGGTCTACTCACAGGGGTACATGACGCTGCTCGGGATCAGCTCTGGTCAGTTCTTCCTCTTCAATATCAGACTCCCCTCCTGAACTACTGTCAGTGACATCTGAATCAAATGCCTGTTCACTGCACCTCAAGTTGGCTATGCCACTAGCTGTAAATCTCTCCAATTCTTCTGAAATTGAATTGCTTTTCAGAAAGTTGCTAAGTCCCTCTGAAGTGGTGGTCTCACTGGCAGCTTTTCTCAAGGCAGCTTCAGCCTTTCGAGTCAGCATCAACTGGCTCCGTGGTCTCAAGGATTCCAAGTTTGGCAGTTTGCTCAAAGTCTTCTCCAAAAATCCACCCAGCTGATGTTGTATATGCCTCTCAACCTGCTTGGCTTGCACAACCTGTAAGCGCTTTTGTAATCTGCGGGCACGGCTCTCAATGTCAGCCTGTCGCCGCAGTAAAGCTGTTATCCTTGTGTCAGAATCTAAAGCACTGAAAAGAATGGAAGACAGGGGAGACTTTTTACCCTCCAATTTGACACCCCCCAAGTTAGAGCTGGAGTCTGTACCAGGTGATAACCTACTGCTTCCTTGAAGTGCCGGCTGTTCCATGGAATTGACAGAAGATTTGTTTGCAGTGCTATTATCGCTATACAAAGTTGTGTGTTCTACATCAAGGCTTCTATGTGGAAGAGTGCAATTGGTCATACCCCCCTTCAAGTCCCCAGATTCAGATCCTCCCATTTCACCCCCATGAAGAGCAGATGAAGTGAGAGCCCGTTTTCCCCCATTGAGGGAAGTGGAATTGTCATGATCAGAATGTGTTGAACTTTTAGTCAATTTCTTAGCCAACCCATTTACAGGTGCTTGTGGCAGAGCTGTCTGACCACTCGTATTCATGGTTCTCAGATTTTCTAAGGAAAACTCCAAAACTGGCTGTCTCCCCAACAGCTCAGCTCGGAGTTCATAGGACTGAGATAAGAGAGGATGAGATTTAAGGACTGTCTGCGTGCTGAAGACCCCTTGCAACTTCAAAGACTCCTTTGAGGGAACAGATGTTACATCAGAGCAGAGATAAGATGCCACCAGTGGTTGCAGCTTTCCCAAGTCTTCCTTGGTAGGATTATTTCGGAAATCTAGGCTGGGATCCTCTGCAGCAATGGCTTTTCTTTTGGTTCCGTTGGCAGCAATAAGGATGTTGGCGTTGCCGTTATTTTCGGCACTGCCAGGGGACAAGGTAGAGGATGGGGGAGCCAGTTTGAACCGGATATGGTGTGCTTCAGCTGCTGCGTCAGTGAGAGCGGGCGCCATCGCAGCCATTCAGCACAGAGAGACAGGAAGTCCAGCCTCTCCCGATGCCGAGGCCGAGGCCAGCTCCACGGCCCCTTACTGCCTCCCCAGAGAACAGACTAGAAGAGAAAGGAGAAAAGAGTATTAGAAATACAAGCACTTTTAAAAACATGTATATTTTTAACAAAAGCACTACTTGAGGCTGTTGTCTAAACTGCCTCCAGAAAGAAAACACTCTGGAGCTAACTGTACCACAGTTATTCTAGAGACCCAAATATCTTTCATCTGGGAGAAAGGGGGAGGCAAAATCCCTGCACAAGAGAAGGAAGAATTGCACCCTTCTTGTCATTTGTTACCACAGATTGAAAGGTGCCAAAACACAAGTTCGATTCAGAGAAAATCACAGATTGTTAAAATTAAATCATCTCCATTAAAAAAAAAATCTCTTTAAGCTTGTTGAAATAAATGGATTTAAAGCAAGACACATCAAACTAAGCAATAATTAAACAGAAAAAAATTAGTAAGGAATTCCCGTGTTCACTAAAAAAAGTATGCCAAATATCACAGGTCTGTGCATTTTTCTGGCCAGGGAATCCAGTTTTCATCAGCTTCTCACTTCTCTAGAAGTACAGATTATACTACAAAGCTAACTGTACCACATCTGTAATACCAACTTGTTTCATCAGTTTTCTTTTCTTTCAGATCAAAGTGGTCATCAATATCTTCTCTACTGGCTTCTTCCTCTCAGCCTAGGAATGTACTCAAGTATCTTCTGCCCTCAGTACAGCCTCTCTCTCATACTTAATTGCCCAAATATCTCTCTTTCCCTTTACCCCAAAACTTCTCTAAGAATAGTATAAATAACTGTCTCTGCACTCTTCACTCTTCCATAATCTGGATTTCACCCCCTACTGCTCTGGCAAAGGTGACCAGTAATCTTATTATCAAATCCAATGGTCAAACCTCAGTCCCCATTCTATCTGACTTCTCTGAAGCACTGGACAATACCGACCTTCTTCTAATTCTTTCCTGATGTCCTTGTACTATCATCCTCTTCTCTTCCTCCTGGACCCTTAAATGCTGGTGCTGCACAAGGTCCCTTCTGCCCTCTTCTCTCTCAACAACCACTAGTATGGTAAGGTTTCTTAACCATAAGAAAAACTTCTGAGCTGCACTAATCAAGATTCCTATACCTCTATGTTCCTCAAGCCCCCTGAAGCTCAGAATTCACTTTCTCCTTCCAGCACACTATTCCGCATCCTGTTTCATTACCTTAAGTAATGACACTGCTTTTATTTAGTAACCAAGCTAAAAATCTCAGTCATTTGCCTCTGTTTGATCCCCCTTGATCTATGTGGTCTGGGAGCCAAAGGAAACATACGTAAAGAACTAAGCCAGTTGTTCTTTAAAGTGTGGTCTCTGGACTTCTGGGGATCTCACAGGCTATTTTGGAGGTTCGTGAAATCAAAGGTATTTTCATAGCAATACTAGAATATTATCTGCCTTTTACACTGTGTTGACATTTGCAATCAGAGTACAAAAACAAAGGTGAACAAAACTGCTGGTACATTATTAGCACAAATCAAGGAAGAGGCACCAAACTATACTAATAGTCATTATACTCTCCACTCAGTTTTTCTTTTTTTAAGGGAGTTCCACTTAAGATGTCCTTGATGAACAGCAAAAATTATGAATTATCTTGAGCCTTTAGTGCATTTTTTAAAAATATTCTTTGTGATGAAAGGGAAAGCATGCATAAAGCATTCTGCTGCTTTATGAATTCTCAGGAAAAAGCACAGTACAACTGAGTTGCAAAATGAACTAGAGCTTTGTTCATGGAACACGATTTTTACTTGGCAGAACTACTGACAAACATTATTTGAAACCTGCTTCACTAGCAGACATTTCCTTGCAAATGAACAAAGTGAACCTGTCACTTCAAGGAAGACCACTGACGATATTTGCTGCCAATAATAAAATCTGAATTTTTTAGGCAAAGATTAGTGTTTTTGGTATCAACAATCATGAACTTAAACATTTTCCCAATATTTTATTTGGTGGATGTGGATGTGTGTGTGTGTTTAACAGAGTCTCGCTCTGTCGCCACGCTGGAGTGCAGTGGTATGATCTCAGCTCACTGTAACCTCTGCCTCCTGGGTTCAAGTGATTCTCCTGCCTCAGCCTCCCGTGTAGCTGGGACTACAGGCACATGCCACCACGCCTGGCTAATTTTTGTATTTTTAGTAGAGACAGGGTTTCACCATGTTGGCCAGGATGGTCGCAATCTCCTGACCTCATGATCCGCCCACCTCGGCCTTCCAAAGTGCTGGGATTACAGGCCTAAGCTGCCACATTCGGACTTTCTGAATATTTTAAAAGCCATTTCTGATTTAACAGACTTGTGACGATATTAATGAATGTGAATTTTTGATTGCATATAATGTAATGTGTAACATTTGGAAGATCTGCATAACCCAGTGAACAATAAAATGTCCAGTGAATGTCAGGAAATCATGCATGGGTAAAAAGTTTAAGTGCAAGACAAATCATTTATTTGTTGCTGTTATTTTGAAACAGGGTCTAGCTCTGTCACCCAAGCTAGAGTGCAGTGGCACAATCATGGCTCACTGAAGCCTCAACCTCCTGGGCTCAAGTGATCCTCCTGCATCAGCCTCCTAGTAGCTGGGACTATAGGTGTGTGCCACCATTCCCGGCTAATTTTTTGAATTTTTGTAGAGATGGAATTTCATTTTGTTGCCCAGGCTGCTATCAAACTCCCAGCTTCAGCCTTCCAAACTCCTGGGATTATAGGCATAAGCCGCCATGCCCAGCCTGAATTACTTATTAAATATTTTTTAAATTTCTCAAAGTTTATAAGAAAAACAATTTATTTGCTGTTCTCAACAAATTTTAAGAGTTAAAAAAGGCTCCTGAGACCAAAATGCTTGTGAAATCACTGGACTAAGCACCCCCCTCCCTGCCCCAAATGAGGGCAATCTCCAATTTAATCAAAAATGCTTACCTTTGGAGCAATACCAACACAGGATGGTAGGCCCTACAGGACCACAGTAAGCTTCTTTATAGTATGACAATTTGAATCATTAACATAAAAATACTCAAATAAATGACTGAGAAAACATTATTCATAAAAGCACCAATATACATATGGGTCGAATCTGTCTTATTGCTGTGTGTGTGTGTGTGTGTGTGTGTGTGTGTGTGTGTTTCTGAGATGTAGTCTCGCTCTGTCGCCCAGGCTGGAGTGCAGTGGCGTGATCTCGGCTCACTGCAACCTCCGCCTCCTGTGTTGGAGTGATTCTCCTGCTTCAGCCTCCCGAGTAGCTGGGACTTCAGGCATGTGTCACCATGCCCAGATAATTTTTGTATTTTTAATGGAGATGGAGTTTCACCACGTTGGCCAAGCTGGTCTCAAACTCCTGACCTCAGGTGATCCGCTTGCCTCAGCATCCCAAAGTGCTAGGATTACAGGTGTGATCCACTGTGCCTGGCCTCATATAATTATTAACACCAAAAGTTTCTTGTTCCAGGGTTGTATTTTAACCAACACTCTTTATGAACTAGATTTTCAGGGCTTATGTAGTTTTCTCCTGTGGGCTTTCTGGCATATGGCATTCTGTGTGGCACAAATTATTCTATGTTGTCTTTTCCCATTTCTAACTTTAAATATAATACTAATTCCTAATATATTATTAAACATTGTGTTACAGACCAGTTGACAGTACTAATTCCTGTTATTAAACATTGTGTTATAGACCAGTTGACAGCTGGACCAATATAGTTGTTAAAAATATTTTGAGTCACTTTTATAATATGCAAAGGGTTTTTCCCATGGACAAACAAAAATCACTACCAGATAATTCCCATCAATTCAATCTCCTCCCCTTTTGAATGTCAATATGTAGTTGATATGAGCAATGCAAGGAGGCATATTATCAGTGCCAGATGATTAATACAACATGTGAAGAGTAATTGTACCCTACTGCCTGACAGCACTACAGTAAGACTTAGCAAGGGCAGGAAACAGCTTCCCTCTGAGGACCCAAGCAAGGGCACAAATATGCTTTATGACTTACATAAAACTTAGGAAAACCCAGGCTCACTCCAGCACAAATGAAAAAGAGGGTCATAATTAACATCACATCACAGAAGGTGCTTAAGTAGTAAACTTCTCAAAGTTATTCTGAGATTATTCAATTCTTTAAAGCTTACAACTTTAAGAAAAAATGCCGGCTTAAATCCCATCTACTCCAGCTGGGCACAGTGGCTCACGCCTGTAATCCCAGCATTTTGGGAGGCCGAGGCAGGCGTATCACCTGAGGTCAGGAGTTCAAGACCAGCCTGGTCAACATGGTGAAACCCTGTCTCTACTAAAAATACAAAAATCAGCTGAGTGTGGCGGCGAGCGCCTGTAATCCCAGCTACCTGGGAGGCTGAGACATGAGAATCACCTGAACCCAGGCAGCAGAGGTTGCAATTAGCCAAGATTGCACCACTGCACTCCAGCCGGGGCAACAAGAGCAAGACTCCATCTTAAAAAAAAAAAAAAAAAAAATCCCATCTACTCCAAGACTTCTCTGAAATGATGTCTATGAACTTGACATTAACATATACACTTCAAAGACAATAGTTTATTTGATTTGCACTTTATCCTTGGTCTCAATATCCCCATAGGATACACAGCATAGTGTAGTTACTAAAACAATCATCTAAGTAAGGGGGTGGGGGAGGAGAGAGAGTGCAGAGAACAGGAAAAAGTGACCACTTTTTCCGAAAAAATTCCCATTCCTAATTCCTAAATCTTGAGATTTCTATACCAAAGAAATACCATTTATTGACTTGACATACCTTTATTGACTTGAAATACTATGCTAAGATTCAACATTACTCCCAGAGATATTCATAAGTAAGAGGAGCACTGACTCAAGTGAGCAAATCTCAGTTCCCGTCCTGGCTCCACCTCCTGTAGGTTACCTAACTATTCTGTTCTTTAAGTCTCCTCATCTACAAGTAACAGAGCCTTCCCGACAAGGATGCTATGATGATGAAATAAGATACTTTCAATTACTTGGCCACGTACCTGGAGCAACCACCCAGTATTATTTGCACTTTTATTACACTGGAAACAAAAAGGAAACATAGAAGGAATGAATTTCCATGGCTTTTTAATGCACAGGAAAAAATGCACCTAGTTTGCAATTAGCTACAATTGCCATAAACCACCACCTAAGTTTAGTACTTTAATCTTTTCCCTGTTATGTCTAGACTTACTTTTAATATTTCATGATGTTGTTTATAATAAAAAGAAAACTGAATGCCAAAAACTCGGTTAAATTATTAAATATCCATACAATGGAATACTGTGCAACCCTAAGTGTGGCAGAGCTATATTTACTAACATAGAAAAGTGCTTGCTTCATTATTAAATGAAAAAAAGTTACAAAACAAAACACAGTATCATCTCAATTTTGCTTTAAAAAGTCATTGGTAAGATTATTTTGTCTTTTGTTCCTTGGCTTATGTAAAGTCTCCACCATAAACATGTATTACTTCTATAATAAAATGGAGAGAAACAAAAAGAAAACAATGGAAATTCTTAAAGAGCCAATAACTAAGTAAAACAAAATCACAGTAACGTTCTTTTTTTTTTTTTTAAGAGATGGAGTCTCGCTCTGTCACCCAGGCTGGAGAGCAGTGGCGTGATCTAAGCTCACTGCAAGCTCCACCTCCCGGGTTCACGCCATTCTCCTGCCTCAGCCTCCCCAGTAGCTGGAACTACAGGCGTCCGCCACCACGCCCAGCTAGTTTTTTGTATTTTTAGTAGAGACAGGGTTTCACCATGTTAGCCAGGATGGTCTCCATCTCCTGACCTCGTGATCTGCCCACCTTGGCCTCCCAAAGTGCTGGGATTACAGGCATGAGCCACCACGCCCGGCCCATAGTAACATTCTTAAATTTAATATACAGAGCAAAACAATGATTCCTATCCCACTTGACCCCTACAAAATTCAAAAAGCTTCAATCTTCGACAATGTAAAGCAGGGGAAGACTGTCAAATTTAAGCAGTTCTTAGAGAAGCTCAGGGCTAAAGGAAAAAAAAACGAAAAACAAAAAAAGGAAGCAGTTCTACACAAACAGCACAACAGCCTATCTGATAAATCATCTTTCTCCAAAGAATACAAAGCCTTAAAAGCTATAATTAACTGATTAATCCTCATAACAACCTGGGCAGTAGAATTAGGGCTGAGATTATAATTTCTAATTTACCGGTAGGGATAGAGTCAGACTGTACATTCAGAATAAAAATTCAAGCCCCAAATATCCCAATTTTTAGTTCATTCAGTTAGTAAACTATAATCTGACAAATACAGATGGAGCTGCTACACCTGCTGTCACTCACACAAATTGAGATTCTGCAGTAAGCTTGTACAGATAAAAGAAAAGGCTACCTATTCAAGGTCATTTAGCTATAAAAGGTTGGGCTAGATAATCAATAGTTTCTCTCTCAGTTTCAAAGAAGTATTTTAGGGTCTGGAAGATGTTAAATGCACTCAGCAAGCAAATACATTTCGGAAAAACTTCCCAGATGGAGACTCACAACGTATTGCATCATACTGAATATGCAAATGTTTACCTTTACCAAACTTTTTTAACAAGCACCTTTTTCCATTACATCTATTAATATCAAGCAGAAACATCATTGTGAGAAATACAAGTTGGGATAAAGTTCAAATATGTGACCTCTAGGGTCCCTTCCTATGTTAATTCTATTATTCTAAATTGCACCATCGGTCCAAGGACAAACTTCTACCTAACACAAGTGGCACTTGGGAAGCAAAAATATACTTCTAGGATAGAGTTTCTCAACCTAACCACTAACTGACATCTCACGATGAGTAATCTATCACAGGGGGCTATCCTGGCAGTAGCATGTTTAGCAACATCTCTGTTTTCCACCCACTAGATGCTAGTAGTGCCCTTCTGAAAATTATGACAATCAAAAATGTCTCCAGACATGTCAAATATGGGAGCTGGGGGGTTCAACATCACACCTCCCAACAGAGAACCATATCCTAAAGATTATACACACACATATATATACTCTTTCAAAAGCAAAACGTATCCAGCTGCTTCAAATACTGTAAGTCAGAACTAACTCCACACCCACAAATGAAAACCTCATTTATTCCCAGTCAATTTCCAACACAAGACTCCAGATACACAAGAATAACCTGGAAGCATCCACCTTGCAAAAATATTTAGCTGCAGAGAACAAAGGGGAAGGAATAGGTCATCCAGGTGGCCAACAAGACAAGTATTACAACCACACTTGCACTGAAAGCAAAAGCAAAAATCAGATGGGGAAGAAAAGTTTGCCCATAATGTGGCTTCTACTAACCTCTTCCTTCACCATTACCTCATTTCTCTACACAAAGGACGGAAAGAAACAGCAGGAAGGATGATTAGGGAAGTGTCCATGAAGTTGCCGCAATTTTAGCTGAGACTTGAAAATTAGCTAAAATGTCATTATGCAAAAGGCTAGGACAAGAGAATGGTAATGTGGCATTCTAGTGAGAGGAAATGGCATAAGAAAAGGCAACGCTGTGTGGGAAAAGGCGACATTCTGAAGGTTAAAAGAAATGAACAATTTGGGCCGGGCGCAGTGACTCATGCCTATAATCCCAGGACTTTGGGAGGCTGAGGCGGGTAGATCACCTGAGATCAGGAGACCAGCCTGGCCAACATGGCGAAACCCCATCTCTACTAAAATTACCAAAAATTAGCCGGGTGTGGAGGCGCGCACCTGTACTCCCAGCTACTTGGAAGACTGAGACAGGATAATTGCTTGAACCCAGGAGGCAGAGGTTGCAGTGAGCTGAGATCGGGCCACTGCACTCCAGCTTGGGTAACAAGAGCGAGACTCCATCTTAAAAAAAAAAAAATTAACAATTTGCTTAAAACACAAAGCACATTTTAATAGAGGAAATAGTAGAATGAAGGTGGAAAGGCAGTTTGAAGCCAGATCCTTAACGGACAGCCTTTAATAGCCTTAATTCAGACTTAAAGACAGTAGAGGGGCCAGGCACAGTGGCTCACGCCTGCAATCCCCGCACTTTGGGAGGCTGAGGCGGGTGGATCACCTGAGGTCAGGAGTTTGAAACCAGCCTGGCCAACGTGGTGAAAACCCGCCTCTAATAAAAATACAAAAAAATCAGCTGGGTGTGGTGGCGGGCACCTGTAATCCCAGCTGCTCGGGAAGCTGTGGTAGGAGAATCGCTGGAACCCGAGCGGCAGAGGTTGCAGTGAGCCGAGATCGCACCATTGCACTCCAGCCTGGGTGACAAAAGTGAGACTCCATCTCAAAAAAAGAAATAAATAATAAAAATAAAAATAAAAAATTTAGCCGGGCATGATGGCAGGTGCCTGTAGTCCCAGCTACTAGGGAGGCTGAGGCATGAGAATCACTTGAACCCAGGAGGCAGAGGCTGCAATGAGCTAAGATTGAGCCACTGCATTTCAGCCAGGGCGACAAAGAGAGGCTCTGTCTCAAAAACAAAAACAAACAAACAAAGACAGCAGAGGCCAGGTGCAGCGGCTCAGACATGTAATCCCAGCACTCTGGGAGGCCAAGGCAAAAGGATTGCTTGAGGCCAGGAGTTTGAGACCAGCCTGGTCAACATAGCGAGATCGAGTCTCTGAAAAATAAAAAGTATATACATATATATATGCACACACATATATATGTATATGTATATATAAAATAATGACAGCAGAGTATCATTAAACACTTTTTAAATGGGAGTGAAACATCAGACTGTGCTTTAGAGAGATCAGTTGGGTAGGATGGATTCAAAGTAAGTAAAAAGGCATCTATAGATGGCAAAGACCAATAAAAAAGCTACCACAATAATCCAGATATGATGCAATGAGAACTTCAACCAGGAAATAATAGTCAAAGTCTCTACCAAAGCTTAAATCCAGAAATGTGAAGGGGCCAGTCTAACAAAAAGGCCAAATATATGACAAACAAAAACATGATGGCTTATAAAGAATGGAAAGAAAGCTCTCTTTTCCTTCATAATTTCATCTCCTTTGTGACGAAATCCTTCTTTTCTCACGAAGCTTTTCAGGTTTGGTATGTCCTCTCTATACTTCTAACACTATCAGTCTAGCCCAGGTCCTCATCAGCTCCTGTCTAGATTATCACAACAGCTTCCTGACTAGTGCCTCAGTGCCCCAAACTATCCTTTACCTTTTTATCATCTCACTTTCCTACTCTGAACAAGTTCCTCACACTTTTTTTTTTTTTGAGACAAAGTCTCGCTCTTGTCCCCCAGGCTGGAGTGCGATGGCGCGATCTCCGCTCACTGCAACCTCCGCCTCCCAGGTTCAAACGATTCTCCTACCACAGCCTCCCGAGCAGCTGGGATTACCAGTGCCTGCCACCACACCCAGCTAATTTTTTTGTAATTTTAGTAGAGATGGGGTTTCACCACGTTGGCCAGGCTGGTTTCGAACTCCTGACCTCAGGTGATCCACCCGCCTCGGCCTCCCAAAGTGCTGGAATTACAGGCATGAGCCACCACACCCAGCCCCTCACACCTTTTTAATGAGTTCAAATTCTTCAAGATGAAACTTAACGTCAGGGCAAGCACATCAATTGATACGGACCCAGAACTCCCCACAGATTCCCAACTCCGTATCTTTGCCTATGTTGCTACCTCTACCTGGAAGGTCCTTCTTCTACTTTTTTTTTTGGTCCCCAAACTTACTAATTTTTCAATACATAGCATCTCCACAAAAACTTCTTAAGACTCTTCCAATTCATATCACTTTCTTCCTGCTTGAATTGTATAATGCACTTAAAGTCACTGTCATTCAGTTCAAATTATCTGAATTTTCCCTAATTGTTAACTAATTCTATTTCCAAGACAAGCAAAATTCCTTAACAGCACCCTTCTTTAGCGTGCTAACTTTATCGAGAGCTTGGTACATAGTAAGTGCTGTAAGCCCTAAATGACTGGACTAGAGAAGTCAAAAAGGCCTCGTGGGGGTTGCCCTCAAGTGTAAGATTTTACTAAGAAGAGAAAAAGGAGGAAACACGAATCAAAAAATTGACACAATCAAAATAATGGGAAAGACGTGGGGCATGATCCACAAAACAACTTGCATGAATCAGGTGGTATATGTACAGCTTCTCAAGAGAAAGAGAGGAAAAGAACAGTGATTTGTGATGAAGTACTGCAAGCTACATTATGGAATGCACTGCAAAGTATTTATTTTACATATAAACAAAAGTAGATTTGTTGTGGAATACAATGGGGAAGGAGAGACAAAATTTTTACTATAAAACAAAGAGATAATGTGTGTCACCCACAAGACCATTATCAATTTCCTTGGCCAACAGGGCTTCTTAACTGAAAAAGCTTTATATTACTAAAGGAATCATTCCTGAGTGCAGGATAGGTTATTACAAATGTTGTTCACTAACATTAATTAGCGTTTTACTATGTCAATCACTATGCTAAGTATCTTACATATATTCTCTTAATCTTCACAATAACAATGTAAGGTAAGTACTACTGTCCTCATTTTATAGATGCTCAAAGAAGTTAAGTAATTTGCCCATGATCACACAACTATGAAGTTGCAGGGGCAGGATCCATAATGCTAAAGCCGATGCTTTTAACTACTACACTAGATAGTTTAAGGCTTAAACTGAAACGGTCTTAACTGCCTGACAGTAAATTCTGAATTTTAGTCTTTAGAGGAAAGTCAGTCAAAGAACACCAACTACCTACTGAGTATCTCCAATAAATATTAAAATGCCTAGAGTATTCAAAGCACCACAGTAAGTACATACAAGGATGACAAGCAGCAGTAAAGAGAGACACTACTGTGTGATTTGGGGGACGGAGGCAATCCTCATACAGGCTGAGAAGTAGGCGGAGTCAGAAAATGCTTTTCAGAAAAAAGAACATCCAGGCTGAAACCTAAAGAATGAGTAGGAGCTGGGTGCAGTGGCAGGCGCCTGTATTTCCAGTTACTCAGGAGGCAGGAGGATGGCTTCAGGCAAGGAGTTCAAGGCCAGCCTAGGCAACATAGCCCCCATCTAAAAAAGCCACCCAAACAAAAACACTAATTTTTTTTTTTAAATGATGGCCTACCATGGTAGCTCACACTTATAAGCCCAGCACCTTGGGAGGCCAAGGCAGGAGGATCGCCTGAGCCCAGGAGGAGTTTGAGACTAGCCTAGACAACACACTGAGACCCAGTCTCTAAAAAAATAATAATTAGCTGGGCATAGTGGGAGGGTCACTTGAGCCTGGCGGGTGGAGGTCACAGTGAGCTGTTATCACGCCACTGCACTCCAGCCTGGGTTACAGAGCAAGATTCTGTCTCAAAAGAAGGAAAAGAGGAGAGGGGAGGGGAGAGGAGAGAGGAGACAGGGGAGAGAGGAGAGGAGGTGAGAGAAGAAAAGGAGGGAAAGAAGGAAGGAGGGAGGGAAGGAAGGGAAGGAGTAGGGCCGGGAGAGGTGGCTCACGCCTGTAATTCCAGCACTTTGGGAGGCCAAGGCAGGAAGATCACTTGAGGTCAGGAGTTTGAGACCAGCCTGGCCAACACAGTGAAACCCCGTCTTTGCCTGTAATCCCAGCTATTCAGAAGGCTGAGGTACAAGAATCACCTGAATCTGGGAGGCAGCGGCTGCAGTGAGCTGAGATGGCACCACTGCACTCCAGCGTAGGCGACAGAATGAGACTGTCTCCAAAAAAACAAAAAGAAAGAAATGAGTAGAATTCAGCATTGCCTATACAACTACTTCAAGCATCCCATATTCAAAACCCATTCCCTGCCCCAACACCAAATCCAAAACTTCCTCCTGCTCCTCAACATTGTCTATTTGAGTTAATCATGACCTCAAATCACCAACTTACTTTTTACCATAAATATTTAATTTAAACATCTACTAAATGCCAGATACAAGATAGTAAAATATAAATTAGGTGTGAAGGTAGCCTAGCTTGATAAAGTACTGTATTTCACCTGAAGGGGTCAAGGAAGGCTTCTAGAAAAGATGACATACTGACTGAATTTTGAAAGGTCCGAGGTGGTGCACAGAGGGTGAGGGTTGGCAACACACAGAATGACAGGCACATTCATTCCATCCTTGGTGCCAATGCCCTAGTGCAGAACCTCATTATGTACTATAGTAATTCAGGCAGTAATAATCTCCCAACTATTCTCCCTTCTTCCTGTCTCAGCAAGCCTCTAATCTAGCGTCCACTACCAAAATGATTATTAGAAAGGGAAGAAAAAAGGAAAGGAGGGGGTAAACCTAAATCTAACCATTTAAAATCTTTCACTGACTCTAGAGTAAGGATGAGTCCAAATTCCCCACACACCATTATCTGTCCCCTTTTTACATTAGACCTCATCTCCAGCCTGTCCTCACTGCAGCCACCTGAAACATATGTTTCCTGGCTCTTCTATGCCCCTGCACCTTTACTCATGCTACTCTTTCACGGTTCAGCTCAAGGTTACATGCTCTTTCAAGTATTCCCCATTACTCCCAGGTTGAGGTGGGGTCCCTCCCTCTAGGCTCTTACCTGCACCCCCATGACACCCTGGCTATTGCTCATGGTACAATATAAACTCACAATTTTGTCTTGTCTCTTTCTTCCCCAGAGTATGTACTTTTTTTTTTTTTTTTTTTTTTTTGAAACAGAGCCTCTCATTGTCACCCGGGCTGGAGTGCAGCGGCACAATATTGGCTCACTGCAACCTCCACCTCCTGAGTTCAAGCGTTTCTCCTGCCTCAGCCTCCTGAGTAGCTGGGATTACAGGCACCCGCCACCACATCTAGCTAATTTTTTGTCTTTTTTAGTAGAGACAGGGTTTCACCATGTTGGCCTAGCCTGACCTCGTGATTCGCCAGCCTCGGCCTCCCAAAGTGCTGAGATTACAGGCATGAGCCGCCACGCCTGGCCAACTATGTACTTCTTAAAAAAGGAGGGTTATAGCTTGTTTTATCTCTGTCCCCTACAAGCAGCACAATGCCTGGCAGACAGCAGACCAACACACGTTAAGCAACCTGAGCATTCTATGCTAAACCCATCAGATGAAGATCCATTAGGACGTTAATGGGGATGTCTGAAGTGATCAACCACCTAACAAGAAGAGGCATCAACTGAACCTAGGATAGGCTTCACCCACTACAAGTTCCAGTTATTTACTTGACCAAGCACCTGTACCTAGACTAGGAAACTTTTTAACTACACTTTTTAAGCTATTATTAAATGTGGTTACACAGCATTATAAAGGTAATAGCCATCAAAATCACAAATGTAATTGCTCAAACTTTTACCCAGCAACTGCACTTCTAGAAATCTATTCAACAGAAATATTCTCATAGGTACTCAAAGATGTATACACAATGCTTTCACTAAAGAACTGGAATACAAAAAAAAAACCCTAATTAAAAAGATCAAGCCATATAACAAGTATGATCCCATTAAACATATATATATATATACACATATATATACACACACATATATATATACACACATACACATACACACACACACACACACACACACACACACACGGATAGGCTAGGCCCCATGGCTCATGCCTGTAATACCAGCTACTCTAGAAGTCAAGGTGGGAGGACTGCTTGAGCCCAGGAATTCAAGACCAGCCTAGACAACATAGCAAGATACCATCTCAAGAAAACTTTTTTTTCTGAAGGATGTCTATATATCAAACTATTAATGGTGTTAATCCTACTTCTATGCTAGCACTGAATTCAAATTTCCTACCACTCTTTAGCTGACAAAAGACAGAGGAAAAAAAATCATACTTTTTATCATATCTCTTTCCAACAAGCCCTAATGGTTGGTGTAAGTGCTCCTGAACAATCCTAAAATCAGCGACTTCTGGAAGATTTTAAGAATTCTAAAGGAGGCCGGGCGCGGTGGCTCACGCCTGTAATACCAGCACTTTGGGAGGCCGAGACGGGTGGATCACAAGGTCAGGAGATCGAGACCATCCTGGCTAACACAGTGAAACCCCGTCTCTACTAAAATGCAAAAAAAAAAAAAAAATTAGCTGAGCATGATGGCGGGCACCTGTAGTTCCAGCTACTCGGGAGGCTGAGGCAGGAGAATGGCATGAACCCAGGAGGCAGAGCTTGCAGTGAGCTGAGATCCCGCCACTGCACCTCCAGCCTGGGGGACAGAGCGAGACTGTGTCTCAAAAAAAAAAAAAAAAAGAATTCTAAAGGAAACAGGTTATTCTGGGAGGGTCCATGGCCAAATTCCTGAGTTCCCACTGAAACCTACCTTATACCTTTAGAGAAAAGTCAATTAATGACTTTTAAAAGTACATTTTTCCAATGCCAATAAAATGTTAAGTCAATACTAATATCCATTTTTCATTCTCTTGGGAGGCAAGGGGTAAGGAGTAAATCACCAAGTGCAAAAAAATACAGTCCAATTTTTTGGAGACATGCTTAAGGTCTTCAAAGAGCTTCAGTTCTCCATGGTAACATACGGAGAGTTTAATGAAACTTTCCTGACAGTTCAACTTATCAGACTGGTATTTCTTTTTTCTTTTTTTTGAGACGAAGTCTCTCTCTGTCGCCCAGGCTGGAGTGCAGTGGTGCGATCTCGGCTCACTACAACCTCCGCCTCCAGGTTCAAGCAATTCTCCTGCCTCAGCCTCTTGAGTAGCTGGGACTACAGGCATGCGCCACCATGTCCAGCTAATTTTTGCTGTTTTTTTTTTAGTAGAGACAGGGTTTCACCATGTTAAGCCAGGCTGGTCTCAAACTCCTGACCTCAGGTGATCCGCCTCGGCCTCCCAAGGTGCTGGGATTACAGGCATGAGCCACCACACCCAGCCCAGGCTGGTATTTCTATGAAGTGTCTCTCCTATACTAGAAACCAGAAACTAGCTACAGTACTTAGCTTTGAGCCTCTTTCCCTTCACACCCTCTGGTGGAGGTGCTAACAAACAGTCACAAAGGCCAAATAACAAGCAGCAAGAGGAAAGTCTAGATATGAGTTCTTAGCAATTTTTGGTTTAACATCCTAACAACAAAATTGTTATTCCTCTTTTTTATTCCCTAATACTTACCTTCCAACTGAATTTAACCAAGTCTAACCTTAAGCTCTCCCCTTTTTAAAAAGGAATTAAAAGGTGAGGGACTCCATTAAGTTTGCTGTCACTCAAGCAACTTTTTCCAAATAAGAGCAGAATCTGCTGTAATTAAAATTCAGAGTAAGATCTCATTTTGGATTCCTGGTTCAGGTTACAAGAACCAGAGTTTTTAAAATAACATTTAGATAAAACTGCACTCAATCTACCTCCACTTTGCATTTCCTGACCCTCAAAATCTTGGAAAGAAACTTTAATTCTAAAAAAATTACAGCCAGGAAAAAAAAGGGCAAGTTCACAGTCAGCAACAATAAAATACACAGCTAAATAATTTCCTGGTAGAGGGCTTTCAAATGTTAACACTGTGGAAGCAGCTTAAAATCTTGGAAAAGCAAGGCTTGCAGAAAGTAACATTTATTAAACAACTATTTTGCCGCATTGTGCTACTAAATGGGGAAGGTCTACTCTATTTAAAAGGTCTCTTCCACCTTAAAGGGACTCTTTGCATAAAGGTTTAAAATCTTCATATAAAATGTTTGATTTTTTCTTTCAGACTGCCCAAACTCATTTGTTTTTGATTCATAAACATGAGCTGTGTTTTCTACTTTGGTCAAGTCAGTTTCCGCACTCTATTTTAGCTTTACCTTTATTCTACCAAAGACAAGAAAATGCTTGATAAAGAAAAATATATATTGCAGCTCTTTTTGGAGTCCAAGTATTTTGGTAAATCACACCTTTTGGCTTATTTTCTCCTATGTATTTTGTTCTACATCCTAAAAGGCACATGGCTTAAAAAAGAAACAAATAATAATAGTTACCCCCTGCCATACTAGTCATCTCCTATGACCCACAATCCTCCCCTCAATCTGCAAGTGACACCCAAGGATATCACTTACCTCCTATATCTTCTGATAGCCTTCAAACGCTGGTGAACTCTAGTACAGTGGATATTTGTCTTTTCTAATTCATACTGTCTTCTACAGCCATAGTGTGGTTCAACTGAGTTTTGATCTCACATTTCAGGGAATGGGAAGTACTGATGAGGGAATCTTATCTTGTCATATAAACTATTGTTCTGCACAACTTTTAGTATGCCCAGAGGTATATACGCAACTTATCAGCATAGAAACTGTAATTTAAACATACATCTTCAGAAGCAACATGAGAACTAAAAAAGTCTTAAAATAGACTTCCAAGAAACAGTTATGAAGTCCAATTTTAGGAAAAAGACATGATCCAAGTGTTCTTTGCACTGACACAGTAGGCAAGCCAGGTGTCTGGGGCCATTTTACTTAAGAACCTGCCCTGTACTCCTTTCTTAAGGTAAGTAAGTAAAGAGGCACTAAGGTAAAATACGCTTCCCAAGACGTAGACTAATCAAATCACTCAAGGCAGGAACATTTAAAATGAAGAAAGAGTACAACGAAAGCTGCTTTAAAACTCTAAATAAGACAAGCAAGGGGCCAGGCCCGGTGGCTCACGCTTATAATCCTAGCACTTTGGGAGGCTGAGGTGGGTGGATCACCTGAGGTCCGGAGTTCAACACCAGCCTGGCCAACATGGCAAAACCCCACCTATACTAAAAATAGAAAAAAATTAGCCAGGCGTGGTGGTGGGCACCTGTAATGCCAGCTACCCAGGAGGCTGAGGTAGGAGAATCGCTAGAACCCTAGGGGTGGAGGTTGCAGCGAGCCAAGATCGCGCCACTGCGCTCCAGCCTGGGCAACAGAGCAAAGATTGTCTCAAAAAAAAAAAAAAAGACAAGCAAGGTTATATGCTCCCGTTGCTCAACCTACTCAGGAGGCTAAGGCAGGAAGATCACTTGAGCCCCGGAGTTCAGGCACTCTAAACTGTAGCACACAATGATTACATCTGTGCACGCCAACCTGGGAATCACAGCGAGACCCCGAGACCTCGTCTCTAAAATGAAAAAGAAACAAAATCTCTAAACCACTCAATAAGATTTACTCTGGGGCAATCAACAGACAACCACTTATTCAGTTTACCCTAGTCCCTCCACTCTAAACTCAAGGAATGGAACGGAGAGGTCCTTTGTTGGGGGGTGGAGAGGGACAATAAAACTATATACATCTATCTAGCAAGAAAGTCGCTTATTTCTGTGTCTTAATGGACTCACCAAGAAGAAAAAAATAGCCCCTACCCATCTCCCCACAAGCTGAAAAAACATAAAAGGAATACGCATTACTCTTTAAACATGGCGTTTACTATGTTTAGAAAATCCAGTGTGGATTAGTTTGGTGTTTTATAGCACATTTTAAAAATTGCTTGTCTAGGCTAGGCGTAGTGGCTCATGCCTGTAATTCCGGCACTTCTGGGAGGCCGAGGCAGGTGGATCACTTGAGGTCAGGAGTTCGAGACCAGCCTGGCCAACATGGTGAAACCCCCGTCTCTACTAAAAATACAAAACTTAGCTGGGCATGGTGGCACACGCCTGTAGTCCCAATGGCACATGCCTGTAGTCCCTGCTACTCAGGCTGCTGAGGCACGAGAATCGCTTGAACCTGGGAGGCGGAGACTGCAATGAGCTGAGATGGCACCACTGCACTCCAGCATGGGCGACAGAACGAGACCCTGCCTCAAAAAAAAAAAAAAAAAAAAAAAAAAAAATTGCTTGCCTGATATAACAAGGTAACTAAGCTTTACTCGCAAAGGGGCCTAATCAGAACCTCTCAATACTAAAATACCTTCTCAAACAACCACAACACCCCTATGTTTACAGAGTACACAAATCAGGTCATAACGAACAGAACAAACCTAAAACTTCTTATTCACTTTAAAATGCAATTAAAACCTGTGGTCAACTCAATCCTCTACAGAAGACGCAGAGACACTGGTTACAATGTAGCATTACTAGAGATGGAAGAGTAGCCTTAGTGACAGTGAAGAAAAAAGTTTAGTATAGTTACTTCACTTTCTTCTCACCTTGATATGGGTTCACAAGTGAACTAAGGCCTACTCATTTTCTAACTTCCAGAATTTTCCTCAACAGGAAACACTCACGTAACAAAGAGTGCTCTGCAGGTTTAACCAGAGAAATAACATGTGTAGGCAGGAAGAAAGAAAATCAGACAAAAATTTAACATCTCACGTTGGTAAAGCACCAAAGTCAAATACGATATGTTCTGAACGTGGCTTTCAGAAAAGATGCAAGAAAACTTCTAAAATACTTCACTTCAGTAGACTCATATAGATGGAAAGACCGAAAATCCCACCCTACCACAAAGGCTCTAATAATTCTTAACTGATCATTCTTTTAACTGGTCACAATCACAGACACTGGTATATACTCAAATGAGGTGGCCATCAGTGACAACCATCTTCACCATAATATAGACATTAAGAACCTTTGTAACATTTAATGTTTCCCTCCAAGTAGTTCAAAAAATAAAAAGTCAATCACCTCAAATTATGAGGTACTAACAAATACACCAAATATGCTAAAGGTCGAAGGAACGGCACACTTTGTTGCATAAACCTAGTGGAAATCCAATTCAGAATTTCATGACTGAAGGTAGTTATTCCACATTTATAATACATTTTTTAAATTCCCAAGGGATGAGCATTTTTACCTTGCCTTATTTTTAGAACTACACATCACACTGCACATATCACATGACATGATGTAACTGTTAGCAAAGAAAATGGTCCAAACCATTGACAATGTACATGGTAAATCAGGATCAATGCATACTCAAGAACCACATTTCGTATTTACTTTAAAAAAAAAGTTTCTTAATTCAAAATGTTTTTTCAAATTGAAAAAATGTCTAGTAACCTATGTAGAAAAAACCAGAAATGTACTTTGTATTTTATAAAATAGGAGTTTACCCAATTATGGGAAAAACTGATATAAAGAAACAGATAAAGGAATAACATACTTCTAAAACTACAGGATTAAAAGTAAAAATTTTCTAGATCAACACCGAAATGCTAATAAATACACTTAGCATTAGGCACAAAACAATTACTACTCAAAAGTATTCACTGTTGATAGGTTAAAAAAATAGTTTTACCTGACAACGCCTGTAGACAATTGAAATTTTCTAAATTGGTCAGACAGCATGCTAGAAAAGGAACCAAGTAGAGCCTATAGGAAAGGGGAAAGGGAAAACACACCCACTTAAGCCTTTGTAAATAGTGGTCCTTTAACTGACCCAAAAAGCAGAGAAAACAGAAATTACAGACCATCCTGACAAATGGAAAACATATTCTAACGTACTAGTTTCCATACTTGAAAGGACTTTCAAAATGAAGTTCAGTAGCAATCTATAACTATATCATGATTATGCAAGGCAAAGATTATGTAATTTTATCGTTTATTTTAAAATGTTCTCCGACTCTAAAACTAAAACAAGTAAAACGTTTTGATCTCTCCAAAGCGAAAAGGAAAGGTTCCTCTGAGCTGCAATTTAAAAATATAAACACACACCCCAAAACAAACAAAAAAACACAATGATTGCTAGCCACGTGACAAAGGAGATGGCAACACCAGGATTGTGAATGGAGGGGAGGGAGGCGAGGCTGGAGGAAGACAGATTTCTCGGAACTTTGGGGACCGCGGCAGTCGGTCTGCCGACCCTAGGAGCACTAAACTCCAGCCCCTACGAGTTGTGCTTCTAACACCCTCAAGTACAGTTTTATTAATAAGTCACAGAAAATGCTCCAGTGACCTCCAGGATAAAGGGGGGTGGGGGGGACCGAGGAAAAGGAAAGAGAGCAATTTAAAGTGGCGCCATTATGTCACCCCTTCTCCCCTAAAGCAATCAGTAAGCAATAGTTAAGTAGCACGTTTCTCTATAAATCCACATTGGGATTCCAACATTGGGAAACGAGGATTTTTAAGTAAGACACGGGAGTAGCGTTGTTTATCGTATGGAAAACAAACTATTTGCTAAGAATCAAAAGACCGTCAGCCGGAAAACAGGCCCCCAAAAAGGCAGTTAAGATTCCAACTCACTTAAAAGCAAATAAATCCCTCTTCCTCTTTAGTTTAAAAAAAAAAAAAAAGTCCGCCTGAGGGAGACTACATCTGAAAACGTAAGTGACCTGAATTTACAGGCAACAAAAATAATAAATGAAACAATCAGAGTTGTGATACAAACCGTGCAACGCGCCAAGATGTGTGTTTCGAGCAGAGAAAGGCCTTTTGCAGTCAAGTTCAAGGCGAGAGCCAGAGTTTGTTTGGGGGGTTCTTTTACGGGAATAAATCATGTTCTTCAGGCCGCCTTTTTAAACAGAACGCCAAAGGAAAAGCTGGCGAACGAGGCGGCAGCTCCAGGGGAAGGGCCCCCGCACACCCCCGCCCTTGGGGCGACTCCCAGCCCGGACCCGCAGCAGGGAAGCCCGGAGAGGCCATTTAAAGTTCCGGGGGTTTTTTCTACCCTGCCCTGCCTTTCTAGTTACAACTAACAAAGAGAGAGAGAAATGGGAGCCACAGGGAGAGCGAGGAGAAGGAGAAAGGGCAGCAGGAGGAGGAGAGGAGCAGCAGCAGCACCTACCACGTGATGGAGGAGCGTAGCCCGGGCGGATTCAGCCCCACAAAATGGGCGCAGTTTGCAAACAGCCCCCCGGCCTGGGCGCCGAGGGCCAGCGGCGGGCGGGGTCGCGCGACGGCGGCTCCGGCCCGGGCCCGCCGCTCTCCTCCCCCCGACGCCCGGAGCCGCCCTGACTTTCCGGGCGGGGGGGCGAGGCAGAGGGGGAGGGGAAGGCGGCGGCGGGGAGCGGCTGCTTTTTCTTCTCTTTCGGGCCCTTTCCCGGCCTTGCTCCGCACCGACGGGGCCCGAGCACGGCTGGAGACCGCAGCCCGGCCGGGAGGGCGGGCGGGCGGGGGCAGAGAGTGAAACCGCCCCCCCGCCCCGCACAAACAAGCACCGCCGTCTGCAGCCCGAACCCGCACCCAGGCCGCCACCCCCGGCCGCCTCTTTCCAGCCGGGGAGCGCGCTTCAGCCGCCCCCCGCGCCGCCGCGGCGAGACGACTCGGCTTCGCTACGGTGCTCGGTTCTCCCGCCGGCTCGGCGAGCGGTGGCGGCGGCACTGGGAAAATGGCGGCCGAGCTCCTTTTCCCTCCCCCCCTTTAATCTGAAGCGGAGGGAGAATGGAGCGAGCGAGCGAGCGGGCGAGCGCCGGGGACAAGGGGAGGAGGGACAGCAGCGCCTCCGCCGGCTGCGGCTGCGGCGGCGAAGGGCCGCTCCACCCCGGCGCGCCGCCAGGGGGCGCCCGCCGCGCCGCCCCCGCGGGCCGCCAGGAGGCGCGGCCGCCGCCGCCTCAGTCATGGCTCCTCGCCGTAGCCGATGTTTTTGTACCTCCATCTGCGGAGGCCGCGGCGCCCGGCCCCAGCTGCCCCGGACGTGCGGCGACGGCACGCAGCACTGCGGCAGGGGGAAGCCAGCCCTCGCTGCGGCCGAGGTGAGTCTAACCTGAGGCACTGACGCCGTCACATGCCCTCCGTGCTGAGGCCGGCGGTGCGGCTCGCCAGTTGAGGGGCAGGGCGGGCCGGCGCCGCGGAGCGAGAGGACGTGAGCGAGGAACTGTTTGCACTGTGTAGTAAAGAGGGTAAGGCCGTCGGCACCACACTATTCCAAGGCTAACCCTGCAGAAAGCTCCCTGACCAGTGAAGCGGCTTCCGCCGCCCGCCCTTTGTCCCTAGCAGCCAGCCTCCGTATACTGCAGCACGGCTGGGCACTAGCCCCAGCACCTCGCTCCGCAGCCACCAGAGTTGGGCGGTGTGGGGGGGGGGGTGCACGTAGTCACTGCGCAGGCCCCAGCCAGGGCCCGCGCCGGGCCAGCCCGGGAAGGGACAGCCGGGAGCCAGAGGGCAAGTGATGGCCCCGCCGGCGCCGGGCCCGCTGGGAACTGTAGTTTTCGTGAAGAAACACGCGTCTTGTTTTGGGTGTCATGGCTTGGCAGATCCGCCAAAACAGGCAAATGGCATTACACAATGAGTATTTATGCTTCCTGCCGCCACCAAAAGGAAGTTCACTGCCATGCTAAAAGTTTAACAAAGAACTCCATAAAGAAACACAAGTCTCACAACAAAAAGCCAACTTCCCACCTCGTTACCAGAGTTGGTTTAAAGTGGTGGCACCTTATCATTTCTCATGACCAGTTTATCAGTACAGAACTTTATATTGTCCCCAAAATAGGACCTTTAAAATAATGGAACCTTTCCTAGACTTAAAGAATTCATAAACATAATGTAATACAAAGTGTCACACAAAGTGTAATTCTACCACCCTTTAAAGTTGCCAAAAGATGAGTGGAGTATCTTGAGATTTAAAAGACTAATCTAGGATTCATCAAAACTAGCTTAAATGACTGAAGAAAAAATCGTTCAAATCATTAAATCATCAAATTCGGCAGATAAGAAGGGTATGTATGCTCTACTACCAAAAAGGAAGACGCAAAATGCTTCACACTTTTTTGTGGCTTACCAGAACCAATATCCGGCATTATACGTCACTTCTGCTTATCAAAAAACACCCTCACAGTCGTTACAGAACGGTTTTAGTCTTCCCACAAAGTTACACTAACTCACCTGCCCCTGCAACATCTGCACCTAGGTTTCTGCGAGTTTCCATTTGTACTCCTAAAATCACACTCTCAAGCATAGTCATAGTTCTCAAATACCAAAGGCAGGCAGTTTGGAGTCATAGGGTCAAATTACACAAAGAATAAACTAATATTTGTATACACATCCAAAAGAGGTCTTTAGTCTTGGATTTTTAATTTACAACCCTGGGGAAAAACTTTGACTTTTTTATTGTACACACATACACACATAAATAGTAATTCCACAAAATACAGTAGAAGGGTATTGGACCAACAGATGGCGAACTAGAGCCCCAATCTGAGGCTCTTGAAATCTAAATTAGCAGAATGAAAAATACCAAATAAGGCAAAGCCCTTTGCAGCGTATACTTAAATATTAAATTCAGACACACCATAACAAAATAATCTTACTGCTGCTCCAAATTTTTAAGACTCAACTGTCAGATTTAATTAGGCAACCAAATAAGCAAGATTATATGAAATATATTTTTCTAATGGATTAGGAGAAAACTGGAAAATGCTCATTTTTAAAACCATGTATTTGGGGGAACTATAAATTCCAGTTTCCCCTTTCTCTCATTGCTTAGTGCAAGAGTCAAGAGTTCACAGGGTTTATGGCACTTAAATCAGTCAACCTGTTGTATATTCTTATCTAAAATCAGACATCTTTCTTATTAGGCATCAACTTGTACTTTTATTTTTTTGACAGGGTCCTGCTCGGTTGCCCAGGCTAGAGTGCAGTGGTGCAATCAAACTCACTGCAGCCTCCCAGGCTCAGGCGATCCTACCTCAGCCTCTTGAGTAGCTGGCACTACAGGCATATGCCACCATGCCCAGCTGTTATTTTTTTCACTCCTTTTTGTTTTGGTAGATACAGAGTCTCCCTATGTTGCCCAGGCTGGTCTCGAACTCCTGGACTCGAGTGCTGGCATTACAGGCATGAGCCACCACACAAAAATCTTATGAAGAGAAATAAATTTTCTTAAATTTCCCCCCAAAAAATAGTGGATGTCCAAAAGACTGATTGAAAACACCTACATACAAAATAAAACAAACAAACAAAAAAAGATTTAAAGAAAAAGGCCTGGTGCAGCAGCTCACTCCTGTAATCCCAGCACTTTGGGAGGGTGAGGTGGGAGGATCACTTGAGCTCTGGAGTTAGAGACCAGCCTGGGCAACAGAGTGAGACCCTATCTCTACAAAAAAAAATTTTAAATTAGCCAAGTGTGGTAGCATGTGCTTACAGTCCCAGCTACTCCAGAAGCTGAGGGGATTGCTTGAGCCTGGGAGGTCAAGGCTGCAGTGAGTCATGATCATGCCATTGTAGTCCAACCTGGGCAACAGAGCGAGACCATCTCAAAATGAAAAGTGATAAAAAAATAAAAACACCAACATATTTCAAATCACTCGTGGAATAGTCGTGTTGACTCTCCAATATCCACTCTATTCTGATTAGTTTTAACCCATTCTCTTTGCCAATGATTGGTTAGGAATGGCCATGAGATGTGAGTAGAAGCCCCCTGGACAGCCTCCAAAAGAGAACTGTGAGAAAAGGTTCTTCAATCCTAAAAATGATGGAGGAAAAAACAGTCCCTCTTCCTCAGACAGTGACACCTCAAACTGCTACAGTCACCTTTGCAGCAAGTCTGAAGATGCCACCAACATCAAAGGGAATGGAGAGTTGGTCCTTGGTGATAGCATTAAGCCACTGTATCAACCAATCCTGACAATTTGTATGACTTCTGGATTTCCAGCCACATTACAACAATGTAACAATAAACATTTATTAATTGCTTAAGCCAATTTGAGTTAGGTTCCTTATATAATAAATGAAGTCAAAAAACAATGATTGAGTTCTAATGTTTTTTAGTATTTGTATCTTACTTTATGATTACAGTATTTTATATAACTAATCTTATTATTTCTTCCTCAGAAAAGACATTCCATGGCCAGGCATGGTGGCTCACACCTATAATCCCAGCACTTTGAGAGGCCAATGTGAGAGTATTGCTTGAGCCCAGGAGTTTGAGAACAGCCCAGGGAAAACAGCAAAACTTCATCTCTTCAAAAAATAAATAATAAAAAAATTTAGCCGGGGGTGGTGGCATACACCTGTAGTCCAAGCTACTCAGAGGCTCAGGCAGGAGGATCACTTGAGCCCAGGAGGTCAAGGCTGCAGTGAACCATGATCACGCCACTGCAAACCAGCCTGGGCAACAGAGCAACACCCTGTCTCCAAAAAAAGAAAAAGAAAGGAAGGGAGGAAGGAAAGAAAGAAAAAAGGAAAAGGTGTTCCCTCTTACACACAGCTCTGTACCCAATCCATCTTTGTCTGTGTTCTCTCTACCTAGAAAAAGAGGACCATCCCTCATTACCACCATTCCTTGTTAATTCCTCTCTCCAATCCACCTACAACTCATGTTATCCTCTTATATTCCACCACACCACTGTTATCGTCTACTCACTTCACTTGACAATAATGTAGGCTGGGCGTGGTGGCTCATGCCTGTAATCCCAGCACTCCGGAAGGCCAAGGCAGGCAGATCACCTGAGGCCAGGAATTCGAGACCAGCCTGGCCAACATGGTGAAACCCCGCCTCTACTAAAAATACAAAAAGTAGCCAAGCATGGTGGTGCACGCCTGTAGTTCCAGCTACTCGGGAGGCTGAGGCATGAGAATCACTTGAGCCGGGAAGGCAGAGGTTGCAGTGAGCCAAGATCACACCACTGCACTCCAGCCTAAGCGACAGAAGGAGACTGTGTCTCAAAAAAAGAACCAATAATGTACAGAGGTGGCACTACATTACCCTTGGTTAAATGCTGTCTGTAATTCCTCTGAGTTTGTTTTCATATACCAGTCTTGCCACCTCAAGCCAGCCTGAAAGCCCTTGCAGGCAGGAACTGTGGTTGTTCTAATTTAAGATCTGTAACTCTCATCTATAGATAATAAACGTATTCCAAAAAGGCACTCTCTACCTTCCCTGCCACAGACCTTCTAAACAAGCCAGAAATTCCTAAACAGAATAATCTCACAAATTCAGTACCTCGTATGTCCAAACTAATCTCAAAAGGACAATGAATAACTTTTTTTGCACTTAAGAAAAAGCAATTATTATATATTAACTCAGGACAAGTTCTAAAGCCTAGGCCATTTAGTTTCAAAAGCACAGGGGCCCATTTTTTTGGTTACTTACCTAGGACCTAGCCCAGGGCCTGGCACAAAAGAGACACATCATAAGAACTGACTGAATAAATGAAAAAGGTAGAGTGTAGTACTTAAGCACACAGGACCTAGGTAGCCCGATTCTAATCCTGCCTCCCTCACTTATTCTTTGTGTTACTTTGGGCAAAGTACGTATTCTGCTCTGTAAAATGGAGGTAGTAATACCACCTACCTCTTAAGTTTAACTATTATTAGTGAATGAAGCTATTTTCCACAGTTCTAAACTTTAAAGGTTAAAATCTGAGTGAAGCAAAAATCAGCACCTCTTTCCTAATTCAAACTTCAAACACCTATCTACTTAGGACTTGGACCTACTTTAATTAAAAAAAAAAAAAAAAAAAAAAAAGCCTGGATGTGGTGACTCACACCTGTAATTCTAGCACTTTGGGAGACCGAAGCAAGTGGATCACCTGAGGCCTGGAGTCTGAGACCAGCCTGGGCAACATGGTGAAACCCTGTCTCAACTAAAAATACAAAAATTAGCCTGGCATTGTGGCACATGCCTATAGTCCTAGCTACTTGGGAGGCTGAGGCAGGAGAATCACTTGAACCCACAAGGTGGAGGATGCAGTGAGCCAAGATCGCACCACTGCACTCCAACCTGAGTGACAGAGCGGGACTCTGTTTCAAAAACAAAATCCCTGTCTAGACTCTAGCAAACAATGTTTTCATTCATGAACTTAGATAACACTATATATAAAAATACTTTTAGCTCCCTAAAAACATATTCTGAGAATGATTATTTACAATCATAAATCTAATGCCACATTAAATACTTCAAATACATTTAATTCAACAAAAATCTAGTGAGTACCTATTAAGCTCAAGAATTTATTCTAGATATCACAGAAATGAACACACAAACCTATGTAAAAACCCATATTAAAATTATAAAAGAAACATCTTTAAGCTGAAACTGAGGCATGTTCTCACATTAATATTTAACCAGCTAAATATTAAATAGAAAGCCAGAGTCAACTAAACCAAAGTTAAGAAATTTAAGTCAAAAAATTGAGGATGTAGAAGGAATATGTTCAGCCGCCACATTTTATTAGTGTGAAAATGAGGCCAACAGAAAGAAGCCAGTTAAGAGATTGCCAAAGCGTCAAAGCCGGAATCAGGGTCTCTCAGTCTTCAATTCTCACTTTTCCCGCTTCTAATTCACCAGTGCTACTCAATTGGTGAACTGGATGTGCAAACATGCTAAAGGCATTAAACCTAAACCATACTACCTATTTCACAGTGTCACAAGTATAAAGATTTAGCCAAATGCAAGTAGAAGAAAATCCTCATACTGATTACAATGACTACAAAGCTCAGAAATCAAGATTTTTTTTCATTAAATGGAGGCCTTAACTGATTCAAAATATCATACAGTATTTTTATGTACTGACTGAATCCAGTAGAAACAAACTTTCAGTAAGATTAAACAAAAGCATTTCATAAATGGCAAAGTATTACAAGAATGCATAGCATTCCTTCATTTCAATCCAACCTAACAAGATATTTTCCTCCTCATACTACTGATACAAACTGCAGGATTTACATAAAGATATTATTTTGCCATCTCACCACAGAACTGACCCAATAATTCATACAAAAGAAAAACTAATTATTAGGCAGCCTCCTAATTTAACTGTGTTAGTAATGAGAACAATACTGTTGTAGGTTAAACCTAAATGTACTAGTAAGTCTAGAAATAATTTAGGATAATTCAGAAGACAACATTAAAGCTCAGCTGAATACAATTATATCACTGAAAGAAACAAGTCAGGTTCTCTCAGGCCATCAGCTCTTGTTAAAATCTAACACCCAAGATTGTTGGTCTTCTCCACAGTGGTGGATTTAATAGCAGCTACCAGCACTCATTTCTAGTGCAAGCAGTTTAAGCAGGATTTTATACGAACATTTTAATAAAGTTCCTCAATGAGTTTACACACACACACACACACACACACACACACACACACCCTGATTATTTTGGTGAATTTTAGTTAATTCTAATGTTTTTAACTTTAGTTTAGAATATTTTAAAATTCTCAAATAACTAGAATGTGTGAACGTTCAATGACCAAACATAGAAGGAGTATTCTAATATACTGATTTTGCAGATTAAGCAATCTACGCAGGACCCAAACTTTTTATCAGATAATAAAGCTGAGTGTCAGAATTTGGCCAAAATGTACCAAGAAACTACCTGAGTTCTTTTCCAAAGGAAACATAAAGGTAAATACGCAGAACTTCAAGGCGGCTGTGAGCAGCCAAGTTGTGGAGGGCCTGACAAAAGTGAGTCAGAAGGGAAAATGTTCAAAGAGAAAAGGAGGCAGCAGGTGTACAAGGCAAAACACACCTTAAAAAATGTCTTTACAGGCTGGGTGCGGTAGCTCATGCCTGTAATCCCAGCACTTTAGGAGGCCAAGGTGGGCAGATCACGAGATCCGGAGATCGAGACCATCCTGGCCAACATGGTGAAACTCCGTCTCTACTAAAAATACAAAAAATTAGCTGGGCATGGTGGGGGGCACCCGTAGTCCCAGCTACTCGGGAGGCTGAGGCAGCAGAATGGCATGAACCTGGGAGGCGGAGCTTGCAGCGAGCGGAGATCACGCCAGTGCACTCCAGCCTGGGCGACAGAGCGAAACTCTGTCTCAAAATATATATATATATATTTTTCTTTTTACGTCAGTTGCTGATTCTAAGTTATGATGCAACTTGTAAAATCTTGTTCTGATGGCATGGCAAACCTAGGGACTTTGGAAGATGGCAGACCTGTTTCCTCCAATGAAGCAGCATACCATTCTTGGAAAGGGAATTACTTTTTTTTTTTTTGAGACACAGTCTCACTCTGCTGCCCAGGCTGCCAGGCTGGAGTGCATGGCAAAATCTGGGCTCACCGCAACCTCCACCTCCTGGGTTCAAGCGATTCTCCTACCTCAGCTGCCCAAGTAGGTGGGACTACAGGCGCGTACCACCATGCCCGGCTAATCTTTGTATTTTTAGTAGAGACGGAGTTTCGCCATGTTGGTCAGGCTGGTCTCAAAATCCTGACCTCAGGTGATCCGCCCATCTCAGCCTCCCAAAGTACTGGGATTACAGGCGTGAGCCACCACGCCCAGCCTAGAACATTATTTTTAACCCACTAATTCTTGGATTCTTGAACTTGTTTCTATGTACACTCAGGAACATACAGCTACAAACGGGGAGTAACCAAAGCCACTGAATATATGCAGGAGCAACTTTTTTGGAGTATCAATTTAATCAAGGATTATAGTAAAATCAGATGTACTTTTGTTAAAATAAACACAAATATATTACAGGTTGACCATCCCTAATCTGAAAATTCAAAACCCTCCAAAATCTGAAACTTTTTGAGTGCCAACATGACACCTCAAATGGAAAATTCCACACGTGACACCTTTGCTTCTGATGGTTCTCTGAACCATCAGAAACACTGTTTATTTCAAGAACAAAATTATTTTAAATTTTGTATAAAACTGGTCGGTTGTGGTAGCTCATGCCTGTAATCCTAACACTTTGGGAGACCAAGATGGGAGCCCTGGAGTTCAAAACCAGCCTGGGCAACATAGTGAGACCCTATCTCTGAAAAAAAAAAAAAAAATAAAGTCCAGGTGCAGTGGCTCAGGCCTGTAATCCCAACACTGGAAAGCCATGGCAGGTGAATCACTTGAGCTCTGGAGTTCAAGACCGGCCTGGGCAATGTAGCAAAACCTATCTCTACCAAAAACACAAAAAATTAGCCAGGCATGGTGGCATGCACCTGTGGTCCCAGCTACACAGGAAGCCAAGGTGGGAGAATCACTTGAGCCTGGAAGGTGGAGGCTACAGTGAGCAGAGATGGCGCTACTGCACTCCAACCCGAGTAACAGAATCAGACCCCATCTCAAACAAAAAAATTAGCTGGGCTTGGCACTGTGCATCTGTACCAGTTAGTACCAGCTACCTGGGAGGCTGAGGCAGGAGAATGACTTGAGCCCAGGAGTTCTAGGCTGCTGTGAGCTAGGATCACATTACTGCACTCCAGCCTGGGCAACAGTATGAGACATCATCTCTTAAAGAAAAAGGTAAAAAAAGAAATTATCTTCAGGCTATGTGCATAATGTGTACATGAAACATAGAATTTCATGTTTAGATTTGGATCCCATCTCCAAGATAGTACATTATGTACATGCAAACATCCCAAAATCTGAAAAATCTGAAATCCAAAAAACTTCTGGTCCCAAGCATTTCGGATAAGGGATATTCAATGTATACAGAGCAAAAGGCAAAATTCTCACTGTTTCAAGATAGAAAAGGAGTCCTCAGAGAGATATGTCCTGCTTGTAACAAACAGCTCCAAACAGCCCTAGACCCTGAAAAGTACTTTAAGGAAAGATAAAGAGGTACTGGTTTAGACCATTTATAGATAAATATGCATGGCTAAAACCCCTGAATGTAATCCTTCCAGGCAGAAGATAAAACCTGAAATCTAACGTATAAATTGTCATGGGTACAATATTATAAAAGAGACCATAAGTTACCGAGAACATGACTGGAATTCAGGAAATGCTAAAGGTCCTGTCTTATCTCTGTAACTCATTTACAAAGAAATCATGTATGATTTTCTCAACTGCAATCTTTTTTGTTTCTGAATTAGACTGACAAAAATTATAGAATATAATATTCAATATTTTCCACCATATTCCAAATTCTCACAATCACATTTAAACACAATTTTATCTAATGAAATGTGTCCCAAATGAACCAACTTTAACCAGCATCAGAAAAAATAAAATAAAATAGTTAAATGAAACTGTATCTTCTTTGGTATAAGAAGTCCTTCAGGCCAGACGTGGTGGCTCACATCTCTAATACTAGCACTTTGGGAGGCCGAGGCCAGTGGTTTGCTAGAACTCAGGAGTTCGAGACCAGCCTGGGCAACATGGTGAAAACCCGTCTCTACTAAAATACAAAAAATTAGCCAGGCGTGGTGGCATGCGCCTGTAGTCCCAGCTACTCGGGAGGCTGAAGCAGGAGAATTGCTTGAACCCGGCGGGAGGTAGAGGTTGCAGTGTCAGTGAGCTGAGATCGCGCCACTGCACTCCAGCCTGAACGACAGAGCAGACTCGTCTCAAAAAAAAAGAAAGAAATCCTTCAGCACAGAGGGTAGGAAAAAACAACTACTCACACTTCCCAGAATACCTACCGTGGCAATACCAAAATATGACCATGCTTGTTAATATTTGGGCTACGGCATTAAATGTTTATAACATAACACAAACACTTGTAATCCAAATGTGAATGATTATCTTCAATTTTCAGTAAAATAAGACCCTATAAAAGCCCTACCATTAATACATATTCATTCATAAACATACTGAGTACCAGTGGATGTTAAACACTGTAGAATCTCTAAGGAAAGAATACTCCGTCACTTTATAAGCTATGTGGTAGTCAAGAAAAATCCTTTCTACTCATTGATACGTTAAATGATCAAAAAATCCAAAGCTAAAAAATGATCAGAGAACAATGAAAAAATTTTAGTGGCTTTATGCTTCCAATTCCATTTTCTTCTGGACTCTTTTCTGAAGCTTGCCTAAATCATCCCAGGAATGCTAAAATTGGGTGTTATTTATGGCATAACCAAAATGAAATAACAAAGTAAGTACCCCAAATAAAACTAGGAGAAAAAAATCCAGGGAACCAAGCAGGCAGTAAGGATCTAAAGTTCTATACTTGGAACCTCTACCCTGAATGTTAAATAATAGATGTTTTTTAAATAGTTGACTACCAAGTGTGGTGGCATGTGCCTGTAATCCTAGCTACTTGGGAGGCTGAGGTGGAGAGACTACTTGAGCCTAGGAGTTCTAGACTAGTCTGGACAAATAGCAAGACCCTGTCTCACGGGTGGGGGAGCAGGGGAAGGCAACCAAGCTGGGTGTGCCATGTGCCTCTAGTCCCAGCTACTTGGGAGGCTGAGGCAGGAGGAGTGCTTGAAACCATAGGCCACTGTACTCCAGCCTAGGCAACATAGGAAGACCCTATCTCTAAAACAAACATAAACAAAAAGGCCGGGTGTGGTGGCTCACACCTGTAATCCCAGCACTTGAGGAGGCCGAGTTGGGAGGATCACTTGAGGTCAGGAGTTCGAGACCAGCCTGGCCAACATGATAAAATTTTTGTATCTTTAGTCTCTACTAAAAACAAAAATTAGCTGAGTGTGGTGGCAGGGGCCTGTAATCCTAGCTACCTGGGAGGCTGAGGCATAAGAATCATTTGAACCTGGGAAGTGGAGGTTGCAGTGAGCGGAGATCACACCACTGCACTCCAGCCTGGGTAACAGAGCAAGCCTCTATCTCAAAAAAACAAACAGTTATATCTTTAATTATTATCTTCATTCAGTAATTAGGCAATTAGAATTTACAATTGCTAAATGAATGTTCAAAGTTCAACCAAAATTAGTCCAAGATGAAGCCAAGAACACATCTCAACCCATTCAATAAAGCCATTATTACTCTGATGCCAAAACCAGACACAGATATCACAAGACAACTACAGACCAATATATCTTATGAATACAGATGTAAAAGTCCTCAACAAAGCAAAATGAATCCAGCAACATATTAAAAGGCTTATACACCATTGCTAAGTATGACTTAATCCCAGGGATTCAAGGTTGGCTTAACTTCTGAAAATCAATTAATGTAATACACCATATTAATAAAGGATACAAACCACATGATCATTTGAATAGATGCAGAAAAAGCACTTAACAAAATCCAACATGCTTTCATGATAAAAACACTCAACAAAGTAGAAATTGAAGAAAACATCTTCAATCTAATAAAAAATACCTATGGGGGAAAAAAAGAATACCTACAAAAACCCCATAGCTAAAATCATACTTAATGGAGAAAGCCTGAATGCTTTCTCCCTCAGGTCAAGAACAAAACAAGGATATCCACTCTTACCACTCTGTTTAACACTGCACTGAAGGTTATGGCCAGGGCAAATAGGCAAGAAAAAGAAATAAAAATCACTCAGGCTTAAAAAAAAAGAAGGAAAACTACCTTTATTTGCAGATGATATAATCTTGTATATAGAAAATCCTAAGAAAATCCCACAAATAAACTATTAGAGCCAATAAACACATCCAACACAGTTACAGGATACAAGCTCAATATACAAGTAGTAATCGTATTTCTATACACAAGCAATAAGCAATCTGAACATGAAAAGTTTTTAAAAATTCCACTTACAATAGCATCCCCCCCCCCCAAAAAAAAGACTTAGAAAGCCAAGCACGATGGCTCACACCTGTAATCCCAGCACTTTGGGAGGCCGAGGCAGGCGGATCACTTGAGGTCAGGAGTTCAAGACTAGCCTAGCCAACGTGGTGAAACCCCGTCTCTACTAAAATACAAAAATTAGTTGGGTGTGGTGGCAGGTGCCTGTAATCCCAGCTACTCAGGAGGCTGAGGCAGTGGAATCACTTGAACCCAGGAGGCAGAGGTTGCAATGAGCCGAGATCACACCACTGTACTTTAGCCTGGGTGACAGAATGAGACACTGTCTCAAAAAAAAAAAAAAAAAAAAAAAAAGACTTAGAAATAAATTTAACAAAAGCAGTGACAATCTTATACTCTGAGATATATAAAAATTACAAAAGAAGTTAAAGAAATCCTAACTAAATGGAAAGGCCAGGTGTGATGGCTCACACCTGTAATCCCAGCACTTTGGTAGACTGAAGTGGGTGGGCTGCTTGAGCGCAGAAGTTCAGGATCAGACTAGGCAACATGGCAAGAACTCATCTCTACAAAAATACAAAAATGAGCTAGATGTGGTGGCATGCACCTGTAATCCTAGCTGCTTGGGGGGCTGAGGAGGGAAGATCACTTGAGCCTAGTAGGTTACAGCTGCAGTGAGCCATGATTGCATTACTGTACTTCACTGCAGCCTGGATGACAGAACAAGACTGTGTCCCCCAAAAAAAAAAAAAAAAAAAAAGGAAAGACATCCCATGTTCATGGATGAGAATGGATCAGAAGATACAACTCTGTTAAAATGGCAATATTCCCTAAATTGATCTACAGAATCAATGTGATCCCAGCATACCCAAAAGAAATTTGAATAGGAAAAACAAAGTTGGGGGACTCACACTTCCTGATTTGAAAACATAATTCAAAGCTATGGAAATCAAGACAGTGTGGTAGTGGCATAAGGATAAACATACAGATCAATGGAATATAAGTGTGGGTTCAGAAATAAACCTTTACACTGACAGTCAATTGATTTTTTGACAAAAATGCCAAGACAATTCAGTGGAGGAAAGAATGGTCTTTTTAAGCCAAGTGCTGTAGCTGACACCTATAATCCCAGCATTTGGGGAGGCTGAGACAGGAGGATTGCTTGAGGCCAGGAGTTTGAGACTAGCCAGGGCAACAAAGCAAGACCCCCATCTCTACAAGAAACAAACAATGGTCTTTTCAACAAACCATGCTGGGACAACTGAATATTCACATGCAGTAGAATGAAGCTGGACCACTATATCTCACACCATACACAAAAATTAATTCTAATTAAATTTAAACATGGATTATAGACCTAAATGTAACAGCTAAAACAATAAAATTCCTAGAAGAAAACAAAGCTAATCTTCATTTCATTTGGTGGCCTGACATCAAAACCACATGCAACAAAGGAAAAAACAAGTAAATTTGGCTTCATCAGAATTATAACATTTTGTACATTAAAGGACACCATCAAGAAATTGAAAACACAACCCATAGATGGGAGAAAATATTTGCAAATCATGTATCTCACAAGGGATTTGTATCTAGTATATTTAAAGAACTCTTACAACTCAACAATAAAAAGAGAATCCAATTTTAAAATGGGCAAAGGCTGAGCATGG
Source organism: Homo sapiens (assembly GCF_000001405.40). NCBI lineage: Eukaryota > Metazoa > Chordata > Mammalia > Primates > Hominidae > Homo > Homo sapiens. Next base: position 1,362,418 of record NT_167251.2, on the reverse strand, counting down.
TGGCTCACACCAGAAGGAGAGGATCCCTTGAGGCAAGGATTTTGAGACCTGCCAGAGCAATATAGCAAGACCCTGTCTCTACAAAATAAATTAATAATAATAAAAAAAAACAATTAGCCAGGCATGGTGGCACACACCTGTAGTCCTAGCTACTCAGGAGCTTAAGGCAGAAGGAACCCTTGAGTCCAGGAGTTTGAAGTTCCAGAAACTATGATTGGGCCGGGTGCGGTGGCTCACGCCTGTAATCCTAGCACTTTGGGAGGCCAAGGCGGGTGGATCATGAGGTCAGGAGTTCAAGACCAACCTGGCCAAGATGGTGAAACCCCATCTCTACTAAAAATACAAAAATTAGCTGCGCGTGGTGGTGGGTGCCTCTAATCCCAGCTACTTGGGAGGCTGAGGCAGAGAATCACTTGAACCCAGGAGGCAGAGATTGCAGTGAGCCAAGATAGTGCCACTGAACTCCAGCCTGGGTGACAGAGCAAGACTCCATCTCCAAAAAAGAAAACTGCGATTGGCCACTGCACTCTAGCCAGAGTGACAGAGCAAGACCTAGCCTAAAAAACAATAGGTGTATAAAAATAAAATTAAAATGTGCAGAGAATTTAAATAGACATTTCTCCAAAGAAGATATATGAATGGCCAATAAGCACATGAAAAGATCTCATCAGGTTGAGCACAGGGGATCAGGCCTGTAATCCCAACACTTTGGGAGGCCAAGGTGCGGGGACTGCTTGAGCTCAGGAGTTTCAGACCAGCCTGGGCAACATGGTAAAACCCCATCTCTACAAAAAATACAAAAAGGCCAGGTACAGTGGCTCATGCCTTTAATCCCAGCACTTTGGGAGGCTGAGGCGGGTGGATCACCTGATGTCAAGAGTTTGAGACCAGCCTGGCCAACATGGTGAAACCCCGTCTCTACTAAAAAGACAAAAATTAGCCAGGTGTGATGGTAGGCGCCTGTAATACCAGCTACTGGGGAAGCTGAGGCAGGAGAATCACTTGAACCTAGGAGGCGGAGGTTACAGTGAGCCAAGATCACACTACTGCACTCCAACCTGGGTGAAAGAGCAAAAGTCCGTCTCAAAAAAAAAAAAAAGTTTCAAAGATAAAACAAAAATCTTGTTAAAGATAAATACACAAGATGCTAAAGAAATAATCTACTTCTTCAAGTCATGCTATCAATTTGCACCAAAATTTTCATTTCCTATGTGTAGGTGTTGAGGGTCTTGTACCCATGATAAATGACATACACCTGTTCTGGGCTGACTTTTGTTCCCCAAAAGAGATATACAGTACTCCAAGGGGCTGGGCACAGTGGCACATGCCTGTAATCCCAGCACTTTGGAAGGTCAAGGCCACAGCATCGCTTGAGCTCAGGAATTCAATATCAGCCTGGGCAACATGGCAAGACCCCGGCTCTACTAAAAATATAAAAAAATAGCCAGGTGTGGTAGTGCACACCTGTAGTCCCAGCTACCCGGGAAGCTGAGATGGGAGGATTGCTTGAGCCTGGGGTTTAGGGGGCTGGAGGTTGCAGTGATCCAAGTGCCACTGCACTCCAGCCTGGATGACAGAGGGAGACCCTGTCTCAAAAAAAAAAAAAAAAAAAGATATGTAGTACTCCTAACATTCAGCACCTCAGAACCTGATCTTAGAGACAGGATCTTCAGGCCAGGTGGCTTCCCTTCCTCTCCACGTCAGTCTGTCCCACCTCAGCTCAGCCCACCGGAGACGGAGGGTGCAGGAACCTGGAGGCGGAGGTTGCAGGAAGCCGAGATCCTGCAACTGCACTCCAGCCTGGGCAACACAGCAAGACTCCGTCTCAAAAAAAAAAAAAAACCTTACAACAAAATGATGCAGCCCGGGCGCAGTGGCTCACGCCTGTAATCCCAGCACTTTGGGAGGCCGAGTGGGGCGGATCATTTGAGGTCAGGAGTTCAAGACTAGCCTAGCCAACGTGGTGAAACCCCGTCTCTACTAAAATACAAAAATTAGTTGGGTGTGGTGGCAGGTGCCTGTAATCCCAGCTACTCAGGAGGCTGAGGCAGTGGAATCACTTGAACCCAGGAGGCAGAGGTTGCAATGAGCCGAGATCACACCACTGTACTTTAGCCTGGGTGACAGAATGAGACACTGTCTCAAAAAAAAAAAAAAAAAAAAAAAAAGACTTAGAAATAAATTTAACAAAAGCAGTGACAATCTTATACTCTGAGATATATAAAAATTACAAAAGAAGTTAAAGAAATCCTAACTAAATGGAAAGGCCAGGTGTGATGGCTCACACCTGTAATCCCAGCACTTTGGTAGACTGAAGTGGGTGGGCTGCTTGAGCGCAGAAGTTCAGGATCAGACTAGGCAACATGGCAAGAACTCATCTCTACAAAAATACAAAAATGAGCTAGATGTGGTGGCATGCACCTGTAATCCTAGCTGCTTGGGGGGCTGAGGAGGGAAGATCACTTGAGCCTAGTAGGTTACAGCTGCAGTGAGCCATGATTGCATTACTGTACTTCACTGCAGCCTGGATGACAGAACAAGACTGTGTCCCCCAAAAAAAAAAAAAAAAAAAAAGGAAAGACATCCCATGTTCATGGATGAGAATGGATCAGAAGATACAACTCTGTTAAAATGGCAATATTCCCTAAATTGATCTACAGAATCAATGTGATCCCAGCATACCCAAAAGAAATTTGAATAGGAAAAACAAAGTTGGGGGACTCACACTTCCTGATTTGAAAACATAATTCAAAGCTATGGAAATCAAGACAGTGTGGTAGTGGCATAAGGATAAACATACAGATCAATGGAATATAAGTGTGGGTTCAGAAATAAACCTTTACACTGACAGTCAATTGATTTTTTGACAAAAATGCCAAGACAATTCAGTGGAGGAAAGAATGGTCTTTTTAAGCCAAGTGCTGTAGCTGACACCTATAATCCCAGCATTTGGGGAGGCTGAGACAGGAGGATTGCTTGAGGCCAGGAGTTTGAGACTAGCCAGGGCAACAAAGCAAGACCCCCATCTCTACAAGAAACAAACAATGGTCTTTTCAACAAACCATGCTGGGACAACTGAATATTCACATGCAGTAGAATGAAGCTGGACCACTATATCTCACACCATACACAAAAATTAATTCTAATTAAATTTAAACATGGATTATAGACCTAAATGTAACAGCTAAAACAATAAAATTCCTAGAAGAAAACAAAGCTAATCTTCATTTCATTTGGTGGCCTGACATCAAAACCACATGCAACAAAGGAAAAAACAAGTAAATTTGGCTTCATCAGAATTATAACATTTTGTACATTAAAGGACACCATCAAGAAATTGAAAACACAACCCATAGATGGGAGAAAATATTTGCAAATCATGTATCTCACAAGGGATTTGTATCTAGTATATTTAAAGAACTCTTACAACTCAACAATAAAAAGAGAATCCAATTTTAAAATGGGCAAAGGCTGAGCATGGTGGCTCACACCAGAAGGAGAGGATCCCTTGAGGCAAGGATTTTGAGACCTGCCAGAGCAATATAGCAAGACCCTGTCTCTACAAAATAAATTAATAATAATAAAAAAAAACAATTAGCCAGGCATGGTGGCACACACCTGTAGTCCTAGCTACTCAGGAGCTTAAGGCAGAAGGAACCCTTGAGTCCAGGAGTTTGAAGTTCCAGAAACTATGATTGGGCCGGGTGCGGTGGCTCACGCCTGTAATCCTACCACTTTGGAGGTAACGCGGGTGGATCTTGAGGTCATGGAGTTCAAGACCAACCTGGCCCAAGATGGTGAAACCCCATCTCTACTAAAAATACAAAAATTAGCTGCGCGTGGGGGGGAACCTCTTTCCAGCTACTTGGGAGGCTGAGGCAGAGACCTCATTGAACCCAGGAGGCAGAGATTGCAGTGAGCCAAGATAGTGCCACTGAACTCCAGCCTGGGTGACAGAGCAAGACTCCATCTCCAAAAAAGAAAACTGCGATTGGCCACTGCACTCTAGCCAGAGTGACAGAGCAAGACCTAGCCTAAAAAACAATAGGTGTATAAAAATAAAATTAAAATGTGCAGAGAATTTAAATAGACATTTCTCCAAAGAAGATATATGAATGGCCAATAAGCACATGAAAAGATCTCATCAGGTTGAGCACAGGGGATCAGGCCTGTAATCCCAACACTTTGGGAGGCCAAGGTGCGGGGACTGCTTGAGCTCAGGAGTTTCAGACCAGCCTGGGCAACATGGTAAAACCCCATCTCTACAAAAAATACAAAAAGGCCAGGTACAGTGGCTCATGCCTTTAATCCCAGCACTTTGGGAGGCTGAGGCGGGTGGATCACCTGATGTCAAGAGTTTGAGACCAGCCTGGCCAACATGGTGAAACCCCGTCTCTACTAAAAAGACAAAAATTAGCCAGGTGTGATGGTAGGCGCCTGTAATACCAGCTACTGGGGAAGCTGAGGCAGGAGAATCACTTGAACCTAGGAGGCGGAGGTTACAGTGAGCCAAGATCACACTACTGCACTCCAACCTGGGTGAAAGAGCAAAAGTCCGTCTCAAAAAAAAAAAAAAGTTTCAAAGATAAAACAAAAATCTTGTTAAAGATAAATACACAAGATGCTAAAGAAATAATCTACTTCTTCAAGTCATGCTATCAATTTGCACCAAAATTTTCATTTCCTATGTGTAGGTGTTGAGGGTCTTGTACCCATGATAAATGACATACACCTGTTCTGGGCTGACTTTTGTTCCCCAAAAGAGATATACAGTACTCCAAGGGGCTGGGCACAGTGGCACATGCCTGTAATCCCAGCACTTTGGAAGGTCAAGGCCACAGCATCGCTTGAGCTCAGGAATTCAATATCAGCCTGGGCAACATGGCAAGACCCCGGCTCTACTAAAAATATAAAAAAATAGCCAGGTGTGGTAGTGCACACCTGTAGTCCCAGCTACCCGGGAAGCTGAGATGGGAGGATTGCTTGAGCCTGGGGTTTAGGGGGCTGGAGGTTGCAGTGATCCAAGTGCCACTGCACTCCAGCCTGGATGACAGAGGGAGACCCTGTCTCAAAAAAAAAAAAAAAAAAAGATATGTAGTACTCCTAACATTCAGCACCTCAGAACCTGATCTTAGAGACAGGATCTTCAGGCCAGGTGGCTTCCCTTCCTCTCCACGTCAGTCTGTCCCACCTCAGCTCAGCCCACCGGAGACGGAGGGTGCAGGAACCTGGAGGCGGAGGTTGCAGGAAGCCGAGATCCTGCAACTGCACTCCAGCCTGGGCAACACAGCAAGACTCCGTCTCAAAAAAAAAAAAAAACCTTACAACAAAATGATGCAGCCCGGGCGCAGTGGCTCACGCCTGTAATCCCAGCACTTTGGGAGGCCGAGTGGGGCGGATCATTTGAGGTCAGGAGTTCGAGACCAGCCTGGCCAACATGGTGAAATCCTATCTCAACTAAAAAAAAACCAAAAACTACAGAAATTAGCCAGGCGTGATGGCGCATGCCTGCAGTCTCAGCTGCTTGGGAGGCTGAGGCAGGAGAATTGCTTGAACCCGGGAGTCGGAGGTTGCAGTGAGCCAAGATTGCGCCGATTGCACTCCAGCCTGAGTGACAAGAGCAAAACTCCATCTCAAAAAAAAAAGAAAATGCAAAGTCACCTAAGAGACAGTTTAAATACATAAAAAGCTCGATGCCAAATAAAACTGGATGGGTCACTTGATAAGTGGGATTGATAAAAAGCAAGACAGCTGATATTATATAATTCTTATTTGCTTCGATATTTACTGGGGAAGGTAGAGGGGAAAAGCTATCTAAATTACTCTTAATAAGCATACAAATCTCTAATAGTGAATCAAATGCATCATTAAATATACTAAATTCCTCAAACTGATATGTCAGATGTCAGGTAGTCATGAAGACCCAAAATAGTCTCCATGGGTTTTTTGTTGTTGTTTTTTTGAGACAGAGTCTCACTCTGTTGCCCAGGCTGGAGTGCAGTGGCACCATCTCGACTCACTGCAACCTCTGTCTCCCGGGTTCAAGCCATTCTCCCACCTCAGCCTCCCAAGTAGCTGGGATTACAGGCAGGTGCCACCACATTTGGCTGATTTTTGTATTTTTAGTAGAGACAGGGTTTCACTATGTTACCCAGGCTGTTCTCAAACTCCTGACCTCAAGTGATTCACCCAACTCGGCCTCCCAAAGTGCTGGGATTTCAGGTGTGAGCCACCACGACCAGCCCCTTCTCTGTGTTTTAAAGGCATTTAAGTATAAATTATTAAACTGCAGGACAGAACATATTAGCTGACGGTCATATGAGTGACCTTCTCTAAATGCCAGGAGGATAGAATCCACTTTTCCTTTATCAATATTTTCCTTGCTCAACTTCTGGCATATTAGGTACTCAATAAGTATGTGCTGAACCAAAACGAACAAAAAAATGCTGTCATCAAACTAACTTCCATCTACTCAAGTAGGCTGCAACTTCAAACTGCCCAAACTAGCAAATCTCTAATAAAGATGGGCTCAGAAGACATATCAGCATGAATAACCTTCTGAGGAAAAGACAACATGGATTCTAAAAGTGGACATCACACCACACCAGTTCACCCAAATTCTCTGAGAAAATAAATATGTGTGGCTGGGTGACGGTGGCTCATGCCTGTAATCCCAGCACTTTGGGAGGCTGAGGCGGGTGGATCATGAGGTCAGGAGATCGAGACCATCCTAGCCAACATGGTGAAACCCCAACTCTACTAAAAATACAAAAATTAGCTGGGTGTGGTGGTGAGGCACCTGTAGTCATAGCTACTCGGGAGGCTGAGGCAGGAGAAACGCTTGAACCCGGGAGGCGGAGGTTGTAGTGAGCCGAGATCGCACCACTGCACTCCAGCCTGGGCAACAGAGTGAGACTCTGTCTCAAAAAAAAAAAAAAAAAGAAAAGAAAATAAATACGTGAATATAATTTATGTGAGCTTTCACAAAACTCTTGATAAGATTCTAAATTAAAGTTTTTTTTTAAAGACCTGAGTGGCCACAGGATGAGAACATTTACTGTAGACTGGACATAACTGAGACACAGAAAATTATAGGTAGATGCTGAGGTACTTCCCCAAATGAAGAAGTAAAAACAGAAGATTGAAAATTTTTTTAGAAATGCTATATTTAACATTTTAATATATTGTACAAAAAATATACAGAGAATTCCCCATTTTGCAGATGGGATGATGAGATTCCTAATAATGAAATACCACACGAGTTGGAAAAATAGGGAACGGAGTGATGGAAAGGGTTTCTAAATATATTAAACGAGAAACATTTGCAAAAACTAAGATTTATATTCAGCTTAGAGAATGCTTTGGCAAGTATAAAAGCTGTCTAAATATGTGAAGGGTTATCTAGCAGAAGACAAACCAGACTTGCTCTAAGCAGTTTCCGTGTAGACAAAATTGGGCCCAAAGTGGCAATTCCAGAAGGGCACGCTTCAACTCAAGCTTTCTAACCATCAGACCTAACTAAAAAGGTGGTTCTTACCTTGGATTACCTCTAAGAGCCCACTGAGATATGAGTGTTAAAAAATTACATGCGAGGAAATGGCAGGTATGTTACAGCATGGACAAATGAAAAGTAAGGCATTTACAGGAAAAAAAATCTAAGCTATACTTAAAAGACTCATGCCTTCAAGTCAAAAAAGGAATTTTTGAATAATTATAGAATATTCCCTAAAGACAACGTGATGTTCTATGCAAAAAAAAAAAAAAAAAAAAAAGGGAGGGAGGGAGGACCAAATCCTATTGGGAAAAAACTGTAAATCAAGGGTACCCAATCATTTGGCTTCCCTGAGCCACACTGGAAGAAGAGCTGTCTTGGGCCACACATAAAATACACTAAAGTAACAATAGCTGATGAGCTAAAAAAGAAAATCTTAAAAAAAATCTCATAATGTTTTAAGAAAGTTTACAGATTTGTGTTGGGCCACATTCAAAGCTGTCCTGGGCCGCATGCAGCCTGTGGGCCATGGGTCGGACAAGCTTGCTGTAAATAGAACATATTTTCTTATCCTTCTACCAAATCACAGTGTAGTTATAACTAAAATGCAGTTCTGAGTAGTTATCATAAATCCAGAAAGGGAAAGCAATGCTGACAAAGATCCTGGAAGGAGGTTTCACTGGAGATTAAATTAAAAAGTCAAGCATCTTCAGTTGAGAAACATGAAAGCAAAGGGGCAATGTGATCAAAATCAGAAAACGTATCAATGTGGTAAATACTAATTTATTCACCTTTTATGCTTGAAAAGTATTTCTTTCTATAACAGATAAAAGAAACTTGTGGATTGTGTTACCACAATCTACAAGTTAAAAATAGATTCAAGTGCTTGGATAAATGTATGTATATTAGGTCCATTCAGGTCCTACAGGATAGAAGTGCTATCAGACGTGAGGCCCTACATTTCTGAGGTTAACATCTTAACAGATAACAATGTTTCACCTGAAAACATCACTTGGTGCCAATTTAGACAGAACAATTGGTTGGACAGACCCCGGACAGACAGACTCAAGGAGGCTGGTTGGTATAGACTTCCTTCCATTCTTTTACCTCAGTATGTATGTGTGTGTAATATATACATACATATTATACTAGAACATATATACATTCCTTATCTTTATACACTTAGAATGCTCCTTATATAGCTCTGCACCCTGAATTTTTCATTTATCATTTACTCAACATCCTAAGACATTAAAAATTCTTTTTTTTTTTTTAGACAGAGACTTGCTCTGTCACCAGGCTGGAGTGCAGTGGCACCATCTCAGCTCACTGCAACCTCCAACTCCCTGGTCCAAGCAATTCTCCTGCCTCAGCCTCCTGAGTAGCTGGGATTTCAGGCACGTGCCACCACGCCCAGCTAATTTTTGTATTTTTAGTAGAGATGGGGTTTCACCATGTTGGCCAGGATGGTCTCGATCTCCTGACCTCATAATCCGCCCGCCTCGGCCTCCTGAAGTGCTGGAATTACGGGCATGAGCCACCGCACCCGGCCAGAAAAATTCTTTCAAATACTATTCCATGGTTGTAAATGTCCATCCTTAAATATACCATGATTTATTTTCCTATAAATCTTGCTGCTCATTTAGGTTTATTCTCAATTCTCACTAATATGAATAATGTTACAATGAACATCTTTGTTCACAAATCTTTCTATATATCTTAATTTTTCCCCTTTAGGATAAATTCCTAGATGTGCAATTACTGAATTAAAGAACGTTTTTAATTTTGCCAATATATGTTGCCAAAATATCTTTCAAAAAAACTAGGCCCAATGCACACTCCACTAGCAGTTTCAGAGATTGTCCCCTCACCACCTTCGACAGCACAGTCAACTGTAAATCTGATAGGTTAAAAAAAGAGTATGTCATTTAATCTGCATTCCTTTGATTACTTATCAGGATAAAAATGTTTCTCATATGCTTCTTGGTCATTTGTATTTCTTCCTTATGAACTCTGATCATGTTCTTTGCCAGCAAAACTTTTCTTTCTCTTGGCCGACAAACTTTCTGTGGAAAACCAGCTGAGATGGAATCATTTAAATATCAGCAACTGCAGCTCCCCCTGCTGACAGATAAATTACCACCACCATCAAGTGCCCAGTAAAAAAAAGTGAGCTAGAACCATACGCTTGCCTGTCTTCTGGGCTGCTGCTACAAATACAAATTATACACGGTAATAAAAAAGAAAATACTGTGTATCTAAACTCATACTTAACAGAGCTGTGATGGAGAAGGCAAGGGGGACAAGCGTTTTATTTGTTTTTTGTTGTTGTTGTTGTTGTTGTTTTTTGAGACGGAGTCTCGCTCTGTGGCCCAGGCTGGAGAGTAGTGGCGTGATCTCAGCTCACTGCAAGCTCCGCCTGCCGGGTTCACACCATTCTCCTGCCACAGCCTCCCGAGTAGCTGGGACTACAGGCACCCAACACCACGCCCGGCTAATTTTTTTTTTTTTTTAATTTTTAGTAGAGACGGGGTTTCACCATGTTAGCCAGGATGGTCTTGATCTCCTGACCTCGTGATGGGCCCGCCTCGGCCTCCCAAAGTGCTGGGATTACAGGCGTGAGCCACCGTGCCCGGCCCAAACGTTTTCTAATGTGCAGGAACTAGGCGGGGTGCAGTGGCTCACACCTGTAATCCCAGTACTTTGTGGAGGCCGAGGTGGGTGGATCACCTGAGGTCAGGAGTTCAAGACCAGCCTGGCCAACATGGTGAAACCCTGTCTCTACTAAAAATATAACAATCAGCCGGGTGTGGTGGCACGTGCCTGTAGTCCGAGATACTCAGGAGGCTGAGGAACGAGGATTGCTTGAACCCAGGAGGTGGAGGTTGCAGTGAGCCGAGACTGCGCCACTGCACTCCAGCCTGGGCAACAGAGTGAGACTCCATTTAAAAAAAAAAAAAAACTAATATGCAAGAACTAATGTCACAAACAATTCTAAAAATCAATTCCCTGCCAAATATACTACCTGGCATATATAAACATCACAGGCCTAAATATTCATTTCCCTATACTTTAACTATGTGAAAACACTCTAAATTACCAAATGACACTGGGTGGTCAGCAAACTAGTTCTCTTTTTCCAAAAACAAAAACAACAAAAACACTTTTGCCCTTTAGCATTCAAAGAAAGAGTATTAAAAATCTTAATTCTTGGCAATCCTTATTCCAAAGTTGCTTGCACTTATCAGACTGGGACCAATAGATCCAAAGAGTAAGGCCAAGACTGGCAAATGCATGTGACTCTCAGCTTTTCCACTGATACCCTCCTAAAGATGCATGTCCCAAGTCCAGCAATACAGTCTTTAACACTCATTTACTAAGTGCCATCAAGAGCAAGCAGAGATGGCCGGGTATGGTGGCTCACGCCTGTAATGCCAGCACTTTGGGAGGCTGAGGGGGGTGGATCACCTGAGGTCAGGAGTTCGCGACCAGCCTGACCAACATGGTGACACCCTGTCTCTACTAAAAATACAAAAATTAGCTGGGCGTGGTGGCAGGCACCTGTAATCCCAGCTATTTGGGAGGCTGAGGCAGGAGAATCACTTCAACCTGGGAGGCAGAGGTTGCAGTGAGCCGAGATCGCGCCATTGCGCTCCAGCCTGGGCAACAAAGAGCGAAATTCCGTCTCAAAAAAAAAAAAAGAAACAAAAACAGCAAGCAGTGAGGATAAAAGACAAGAGCAAGTCCTCACTCTCAAAGAACCTAGACACTAGCTGGGTTCAAAGTGGAGCAAACCAGCAATCAGTACAATAGAAGTGCTAGGTCTGCATATGCACACTCACATGCACACACACTAACAGTTTCAGAGATTGTCCCCTTACCACCTTTGACAGCACAGTCAACTGCAAATCTGATAGGTAAAAAATAGTATGTCATTTAATCTGCATTCCTTTGATTATTTATCAGAATAAAAATGTTTCTCATATGCCTCTTGGTCATTTGTATTTCTTTATGAACTCTGATCATAAAGTGATAATACCTGGGTCCAGAGGAAGCACTCAGTGTCAGCTACTGTTATTACTATTATCACTACTGTTATTTTGTTTTAAGGCTAATCAAGTGAAGCAGTGGGAGTGGAGAAGGAACAAAGAAATCTGTAACTGGCTGTGATCAATTAATAGTAAACACCAATATACTTGGACCAGCCACTACTGTTATTAAAGACTAGGGGGAGTAAGTTTCCAGAACAGGGTAGAGTCCATCTTAAGCAGAGGTAACTGCTTGTGTGAAGACCCAGAGGCAAAGAACAACAGGGTTCACAGAAGGAACTGGGCACAAGCTATCTGTACTACTGCGTACAGGATGCTCAGGAAGAAGTGGAGAGATGATCTGGCAAAACATTTCAACTCTACCTTCAAAGCTAGTTGAGCCATGGTGGAAGAGGGAGGGATATGATCATACGCTTGAACATGCATTTTACAAGGATCATGTTGGCAGCGACTTGGAAGAGAGAAAGCAGTCAAGGAGAATGATTACAAGACAACAGAAGGTCATGCAGCCAAAAGGGCGATGAAGGTCTGGACTCAAAAAGGAGAAGTAGGATGACTAGGAAAATATTATGAGCTAGGATCTCAAGAATGTGGTGACTAGAATGGCACAAGAAGGAACCCAGAGGCCTCTCAAATCCCTAATTTGAGTGACTGGCTGGGTGACACTACCGCTCACTAAGATACGAAGATAGGAAGAGGTTGGACTGGGGAAGTGGATAAGATCATTTTAAAATGCCCATAAGATGGCCAGATGCAGTGGCTCACGCCTGTAATCCCAGCACTTTGGGAGGCTGAGGCAGGTGGATCACCTGAGGTCAGGAGTTCGAGCCCAGCCTGGCCAACATGGTGAAACCCCATCTCTACTAAAAATACAAAAACTGGCCGGACGTGGTGGCGCACACCTGTAATCCCAGCTACCCGGAGGCTGAGGCAAGAGAGTCGCTGGAACCTGGGAGGCAGAGGCTGCCGTGAGCCGAGACCGTGCCACTGCACTCCAGCCTGGGGGATAGAGCGAGACTCCGTCTCAATAGTAATAATAATAATAAAAAAATAAAATAAAATGCCCATAGGACATCCAAGTAGAGATGTCCAGGAAGCAACTGTGTATATGGGATTGGAGATCAGAAAACTAGTCAGAGCTGGAAAAACACACATTTGCAAATCATTGGCATATAGACGGCAAGTGAGGCACAAGTTTATCTAAGGCATTCCTCATAAACTGCACAGGGTGAGAGGAAGAAGGGTCAAGGGAAGGCAAATACTAATGTTTTTAGGAGCAAAAGAGGAAAAAAGTCTGCAAAGAAAACCAAGAGTATGGGCCAGACTTGGTGACTCACACACTTTGGGAGGCCGAGGCAGGTGGATCACCTGAGATCAGGAGTTCGAGACCAGCCTGGCCAACATGGTGAAACCCATCTCTACTAAAACTACAAAAATTAGCCAGATGTGGTGGCGGGCACCTGTAATCCCAGCTACTGGGGAAACTGAGGCAGGAGAATTGCTTGAACCCAGGAGACGGAGGTTGCAGTGAGCCGAGATCACGCCACTGCACTCCAGCCGGGGCAAAAGAGCAAGACTCCGTCACAAAAAAAAAAAAAAAAAAAAAATGTTTCAAAGATAAAACAAAAATCTTGTTAAAGATAAATACATGAGAAGCTAAATAAATAATCTACTTCTTTAAGTCATGCTATCAATTTGCACCAAAATTTTCATTTCCTATGTGTAGGTGTCGAGGGTCTAGTACCCATGATAAATGATATACACCTGTTCTGGGCTGAATTGTGTTCCCCAAAAGAGATATGTAGTACTCCAGGGGCCTGGGCACAGTGGCGCATTCCTGTAATCCTAGCACTTTGGGAGGCCAAGGCCACAGGATCGCTTGAGCTCAGGAGTTCAATATCAGCCTGGGCAACATGGCAAGACCCCATCTCTACTAAAAATATTTAAAAATAGCCAGATGTGGTAGTGTGCACCTGTAGTCCCAGCTACTCAGGAAGCTGAGGTGGGAGGATTACTTGAGTCCAGGGGTTAGGGGGCTGGAGGTTGCAGTGATCCAAGTGCCACTGCACTCCAGCCTGAATGACAAAGGGAGACCCTGTCTCAAAAAAAAAAAAAAAAAAGAGATATGTAGTACTCCTAACATTCAGTACCTCAGAATGTGATCTTAGAGACGGGATCTTCAGACCAGGTGCAGTGGCTCACGCCTGCAATCTCAGCACTTTAAGAGGCCGAGGTGGGTGGACCACTTGAGGTCAGGAGTTCGAGACCAGCCTGGCCAATGTGGTGAAACCCCATCTCTACCAAAAATGTAAAAATTAGCTAGGCACGGTGGCGAGCACCTGTAACTCCAGCTACTTGGAAGGCTAAGGCAGAAGAATCACTTGAACCTAGGAGGAGGAGGTTGCAGTGAGCTGAGATCACCCCACTGTACTCCAGCCTGGGCAACAAAGAGAGACTCTAAAAAAAAAAAAGAGATAGGATCTTCAAAGAGGTCATAAAGTTAAAATGAGGTCATCAGAGAGGACTCTAATCCCAATATGACTTGTCCTTATAAAAAAGGGGAAATTGTGGACACAAAGAAATACACACAGGGAGGCTGGGCGCAGTGGCTCACGCCTGTAATCCCAGCACTTTGGGAGGCTGAGATGGGCAGATCACTTAAGGTCAGGAGTTCGAGACCAGCCTGGGCAACAAGGTGCAGCCCTGTCTCTACAAAAAATACAAAATTTAGGCTGGGTGCTGTGGCTCATGCCTGTAATCCCAGCACTTTGGGAGGCCGAGGCAGGCAGATCACCTGAGGTCAGGAGTTCAAGACCGGCCTGGGCAACATGGTGAAACCCTGTTTCTACAAAAAATACAAAAAATTACCTGGGCATGGTGACACGTGCCTGTAATCCCAGCTACTTAGGAGGCTAAGGAAGGAGAATCACCTGAACCTGAGAGGCAGAGGTTGCAGTGAACCGATATTATGCCACTGCACTCCAGCCTGGGCAACAGAGCAAGACTCTGTCTAAAAAAACAAAAGAAATACACACAGGGAGAACTCTACATAAGGACTGGAGTTATGCTGCCACCAGAAGCTAGAAGAGAGGCTTGAAACAGATCCTGTCCCAGTTGCTTCAGAGAAAGCATGCCTCTGCCCTTAGATTTCTAGCCTCCAGAACAGGGAGACAATAAATTTCTGTTATTTAAGCCACTCAGCATATGTCACTCTGTGGCAGCAGCCTTAGCAAACAGATGTCATAAGAAAATTCGCAGCTCAGGTTTACTAAGTACCTACCAGGTGCTGTTCTAAACACTCTGCGTGAATAAACTCATTTAATCCTTATAAAGTCCACTCTAGGATCTAGGTACTATCATTATACCCTTTTTACAGTGTGGACACCAAGGTTCTAAGAGGTTAATGAGCTTACCCAGTATCACATAGCCAGAGCCCTCTCTCTCACCACTAGTGTATGAGGAGCTATTATTAACAGTAATTACAATAAGAGCTGGCGTGGTGGCTCACGCCTGTAATCCCAGCACTTTGGGAGGCCAAGGCGGGTGGATCACTTGAGGCCAGGAGTTTGAGACCAGCCTGGCCAACATAGTGAAACCCCGTCTCTACTAAAAATAGAAAAATAAGCCGGGCATGCTGGCATGCGCCTGTAATCCCAGCTACTTGAGAGGCTGAGGCAGGAGAATTGCTTGAACTCAGGAGACACAGGTTGCAGTGAGCCGAGATCGTGCCACTGAACTCCAGCCTGGGCGACACAGCAAGACTCCATCTCAAAAAAAAAAAAAATTAGTAATTACAATAAGAATAGTAGTAGTCCACTGAACCAAACACTGCCCTATGTCCTTTATAGATAAAATACAAAAGTCCTCTGAAGCAAGTGTTATTATTTCCAGTATGAAGGAGGAACCTGAATCTCAGAGAGATTAAGAAAATCGCCCAAAGTCACACGGTTAAGAGTGCTGAGATTAGGCCGGGCACGGTGGCTCATGCTTGTAATCCCAGCACTTTGGGAGGCCGAGGCGGGTGGATCACCTGAGGTCAGGAGTTTAAGACCAGCCTGGCCAAGCTGGTGAAACCCCATCTCTACTAAAAATAAAAAAAAAATTAGCTGGCCATGGTGACAGGTGCCTGTAATCCCAGCTACTCAGGAGGCTGAGGCAGGAGAATCACTTGAACCCAGGAAGTGGAGGTTGCAGTGAGCCAAGATCACCTGGACAACAAAGCGAGACTCTTGTCTCATAAAAAAAAAGAAAAAAAAAAGAAGAATGCTGAGATTATATCTAATTGCTAACTTAAGGGGATATACAATGAAAACCTGTTTTTACTAAAACTTTAAGAACAAGTTAATTTTTTTTTTTCTTTAATGAGACAAGAGACAAGGTCTGGCTCTATCACCCAGGTTGGACTGCAGGGGTGCAATCACAGTTCACTGCAACCTCCACCTCCCAGGCTCGAGCCATCCTCCCACCTCAGCCTCTCAAGTAGCTGCAACTACAGGTGCACACCACCATGCCTGGCTAATTTTCTTTTGTATTTTTAGTAGAGATGGGGTTTTGCCATGTTGCCCAGGCTGTTCTCAAACTCGTGTGCTCCAGCGATCTGCCTGTTCAGCCTCCTAAAGTGCTAGGATTACAGGCGTGAGCCATCGCGTCTGGCCAAGTTAAATTTTTTAATACCTGACTTTGCAGTTCAATACTAGAAATATACATCTATAAATTCAAAATTCTTGAAGATCCCAAGAGAACACATGTCCTAGATTATGGGCCCTTTTGCATGTGTATCCCCTCAACCACTGTTCAAGAACTATTCTCTCGGCTGGGCACGGTGGCCCACGCCTGTAATCCCAGCACTTTGGGAGGCCAAGTTGGGCGGATCATGAGGTCAGGAGATCGAGACCATCCTGGCTAACACGGTGAAACTCCGTCTCTACTAAAAATACAAAAAATTAGCCGGGCGTGGTGGCGGGCGCCTGTGGTCCCAGCTACTCGGGAGGCTGAGGCAGGAGAATGACATGAACCCAGGAGGCACAGTTTGCAGTGAGCCGAGATTGCGCCACTGTACTCTAGCCTAGGTGACAGAGTGAGGCTCCGTCTCAAAAAAACAAAAACAAAAACAAAAAAACTATTCTCTCAGTTAGAACCCTTGCCATTTCTCTGACTTCCAGACACAGAAAGAGAAGAAAAGGAAGGATTGAGATGCTGTTCTTTAAAATTTTTTTTTTTTTTTTTGAGACGGAGTCTCCCTCTGTCGCCCAGACTGGAGTGCAGTGGCACGATCTCGGCTCACTGTAAACTCCGCCTCCCGGGTTCACGCCATTCTCCTGCCTCAGCCTCCCAAGTAGCTGCGACTACAGGCGCCTGCCACCACGCCCAGCTATTTTTTTGTATTTTTAGTAGAGACGGGGTTTCACCGTGTTAGCCAGGATGGTCTCGATCTCCTGACCTCATGATCCGCCCGCCTCGGCCTCCCAAAGTGCTGGGATTACAGGCGTGAGCCACTGCGCCCAGCTAAAATTTTCAATTTTCTATTTAATTTTTAAAATCTGATACAAACATCAGAAAGTGTAAAAAGATATAATGCAATGAGAAGTCTCCTTCCTACTCTGTCCTCTACCTGAACAATTCCTAGACCTAACAGGTAACCAGTGCCACCATTTTCTTATTTATTCTTCTAAAGGTTTGTGTTGTTGCTGTTGTTTGAGACAGAGTCTCGCTTGGTCAGCCAGGCTGAAGGACAGCGGCGTGATCTCAGCTCACTGCAAGCTCCGTCTCCCGGGCTCAAGCAATTCTCCTGCCTCAGCCTCCCGAGTAGCTGGGATTACAGGTGTGTGCCACCACGCCCCAGCTAGTTTTTATATTTTCAGTAGAGACGGGGTTTCACCATATTGGCCAGGCTGGTCTCAGACTTCTGACCTCAGGTAATCCACCCACCTTGGACTCCCAAAGTGCTGGGATTACACGTGTGAGCCACCATGCCCAGCCCTAAAGATCTTTTTTTTTTTTTTTTGCATACATACACCAATGCAAATTATCTTTTTCTCCTGTTTTTTTTTTTCCAAAAAACACAAAGGGTATCAAATCATACATACTGTTCTGCATCTTGCTTTCATCACTTAACTGTCTGCCTTGCAGATCTTTCTATATCATATTAAATTATGTTTTAATTCTCTCGTTTTGCTTGTCAAGAACAGTTTTTACTTCATTTCACCATAGTTCAGTCTAGCACACAAGGCATCCAGCAGCCCTAAGAACTACCTGAGACAACTGATGATGGCTCCATGCTACACACTAAAGACCCTGTATCTTTTCTCTCCTCCTCATCTTCATTTCACTCTTTTCTCCGACTCACTCAATTCTCCTTCCTTTCCCTATTCCTCTCCCATCTCACCCACTCCTTAGTCCTAACCCTGACAACTAGACCCTAGTAACATCACTGACATTGCTTAGTCGTGGCTAGAAATATTCAGGCTTTAAAAAGGTACAGACCCCTAACACAGAGAAAAAGGGATAAATAATAATTTCCATGAGAACTTCTAATTAACGAGAGTGCCTTAAATTGAGGAGTTTTGGTTTGGAGTTATTCTTCCTTGTTACTTGCCTCCTCTGGCATTTTCATTTGTGAAGACTGAGTGAGTGTGACGCTATTTTCTATACGCATGGAAACAAGCACATACTCAGTCTAACATTTACGCAATGCCTGACAGAACGACAGAGTTCATTCTACAATAAGATAATTGGAAACAAAATATAAGATCTATATAAAATAAACATTTGGGCTCCAAAATATGCACTTTAATTAACCTATCATTTCTTTTTACTTAAATTAGGTAGCTCCAATCTGAAACTACATCTTAGAAATGTTTTAAGGATATTCACCAATGAAAAAGAGAATAAAGTTCCCTCTCCCCACTTTTATTTTCCAGCCCACAAACTCAATGCTATCCTCCCCGCAAAAAGGACCTTTTTTTCTGACCAGACGAACACTGTAATTTTTAAGGTTTCTAAGTAATAAAAATAGGAAGAAAACATTACCCCCAAAAATTGGTTTACGCTTAGAAGATGTTTCCCACTGAGCAAAGGATTGGTAAGGAACATAATATTAAGGCAACCACCTAACTGCATTCTTAAGTAGTAACAGGTGGTAACTCACGATATGGAGCTGATTTCCTTTCTCTATTCCTGCCATGCCAGAGACCTCTAGTAGAACTTCTGAGGTTACTGTATTACAACCCAGGTTCAGAGAGATTTAGAGGTAAAACCTTAAACACTGGAAATAGCTTTAAAAGTAGGGCTTTGTGTACCAAATACATTCGTTAAAACCTAGGAAACTATAAAATGAAATCCAATGTATTGATCTCAATCCCCTTGCCTGCTTCCTAAAGAGGACAGAGGCCACCAACACTGGTGCTCAACACTTGCTAAGTCGAAACACTCTTACACAGGTCCTCTGATTCTTAACGGGTTCAGAACTTCTGGTTGCATTCCCCATGCAACCCCTCCAACTCTTTCAGGGAGAATGCTGGAAAAACTGTGTCACTTTGGCTTCCTGTATATTAATATAAGCACTCTTATCCAGCAATAGCAGCTGAAACATAAATGAAGATGAGAACTCAGCCTACATGACCTACGATTTCCCACAAGTCCAGATATTTAGGTTACACACACTGCACTATTGTCTGATTTCTCCTCTGCATCAGTCTGGAAGTCCACAGAGCAGATTAGCACCCAACAATCTTAACTAAGCTAGTATCCTACTCTGAAGAAAGGCGAAGCTGGTGGAGGGTTTCCAAGACTCCTTATCCTTCTCTGTCCTTCCTCCCATCCCCTCCTTACGTCTTTTCTGTTTGTTTTTATTTAATTTTTTTTTAATGTATTTTTAGTCACAAGAAAATCAAAGAAGCCACCTACTTAAGTCTTAAGCTCTGCCCTTTGCTTAGTCCTAATGGAGAGTTCTTTGGCCATCTATGTACAAGAGATTAGAGGAGCCAAAGAGACTGGAGAACCACATCAATGGGAGCTTTTTCATCTAAAGGTCATCTGTCCACACTGTCCAAATGAGGTTTACCCTGTGAAATAAAACTTGGTGTAAGTGCTACCTGCTGAGAAAAATAGTATGAAATGTCACACAAAGGACTGGGGTGCAGCAGGAGGACTCTGAAAGAGTCATACGTGTAAACCAGCAGGTCTTAGAATGCCCTAATATACTATATGAAGTTTCAGAGTAAACAAATGGTTAATGACACATCTTTTGTAACACATGAATCAGCTACTGATTTGCAAGAGTGGGACACACCCTAGTACCTATGACTCTAAAGTACCTGTTTGAAAAGTGGACCTAGATGTTTGAATTGCCAACCCATCCTAAGACCGGAACATAATTTTACAACTATGTAAGTTGCCATAATTTAAAGTTAAAAAGATCACTGCCTTTCATTATAATGGAAGTTAATTTGAGAACTTCATTAAAACATTCACACCGATAATCAAAGAACAGTAGAGATACAAAGTAAGATATAGCCAATCAATCCTAGGAAGCAAACACAAGAGGCAAGAGAAATGGCAGGTAAAGGAAGTGAAGAATAGCAAATTCAAAAACTACAATATTCCCAATTCTAAAGAAAAATGAATAAAATGAGGCTGGTAATGAAAAAATAACACATCTTACCTTAAGAGGCATCCAAGTAGCATTCATAGTGTCAGGATATAAAGACAATACTCAGAAATGAGCAAGAAGTCTTAGTAATTCCCTCGGTTACCAAGTATAAGCAGGTAGGAAAATCTTTTGTTTCGAGAAGGTATCTGAAAGAGAGGATTTTCATTTAGACTAAAAAATAATCAAGACAATGCAAATAGTTTAAGCTACCTGGGCAGGGATTTTGAAGTACTATTTGCCTCATCGCACTAAAAAAGTATAGAAAATACAGTCCCCTTTAGAAAAGGGCAAATGTGTGTCTCCATACATATGTGTGTAGAAACATACTTTACATAAAAAGAGAAATAAATATGTAACACGTATTTTAGATAATGTAAAATTGCTTATCAAACAATTAGCCAAAATCCCAGAGAGAATAAAGTAATTTTCCAGGGTACTTCATAAACACTAAACGTGATTTGTTAACTAACCGTCTAAAGAAAGACCCTTGCCACATTTAATTATATTTAGTAAAGTAAAACCTCTCTAATCATCCCGACTGTCCCAAGATTATGCTTAAGTTTCAGAGTCAATTCCACATGAAAAGTAAAACCTATTCTTGACTGAAGTACTAGAAACAAATAAAGGACCCTTCTTCCCCAGAGATCGTTAAAAGCAGACCGAGCAACTTAATTTTGAGGGTGGGAGGAAGGTAAATTTGCCTGGAGGCAGGAGGATGGACTAAATGACCTCTGGTAGGATCCTCGTTCAAGTCCTGGGCCTGTATACAATTCCAGCTTAACCAGTTACTGCTTCGCTTAAAATGGAGGCTTGCCCGCGTAGGGACAAAAATAACAGCACCCACTTCTTAAAAATAAATGTCGAAAAGTACCCCTTTTTAAATAAAAATAAAAAATAAACACCTCTGGAGTGGATGTGTTCTTGCTATGCGTTTGTCACTGAGGCTTCGAAGACTTGGCATCACTTTCCTTACCGCTCACCGGATTTTGGGGGAGGAGCGGGGGGCGACAGTTTGACTCTTGACCCAAGTCTCAGGCGGACTTCAGAGCCCCACAGGGGCCCCCAACTCCAGAGCCAGAGGGAGCGGAGAGGCGAGAGCCCGAGATCGCACCTCCCCCCACCGCGGACCCCAGTCCCAAACCCACCCCTCACCTCCCCGCAGTGGGGCGCCTCCTTCTGCCCCATTCCCATTGTTAGGGAGGGCAGAGCGCGGGGTGGGCTCAGGGCAGGGGCGCCCGCGGCCGCTGCCCGGCTCGCTTCAGGAGGGGCGCCCCGCGGGATGCGGCTTCCCTTCCTCTCCGCGTCGGTCCGTCCCACCTCGGCTCGGCCTGGCGCCCCGAGCTCCGCTCCGCGCCCCCGGCCGCGGCCCCGGCCCGCCCCCCGGGCAGCCAGGCCCTCAGGCCAGTCGGCCGGCAGCCGGCGTCCCAGGCCTACGAGTGGGCGCTGGGCGGGGGTCCCCGTGCCCCACACACGCGTCCCCTCTCCCCCAGCCCCGCCGCTTCCAGGGCCCTCGGCGGCGCCCGCTCCCCGGGCCCCGCGGCCCCCCGCCTCCCAGCCGGGCCGCTCCCTCGAGCTCGTCGGGTCAGGGACACCTCCTCTACCTCACCATCACCCTGGCCCACTCGTGCCCCCACCCCCAGGGGCACCAGTGCCAAAGGCAGCTCCCCCAGCCCCGGACCTACCTGCACGGTTCAACCAAGCCTAGAAGTGGGGGCGGGGAATCTTCCACCCTCCTCTGGCGCCCATTGGCCCTTCAGGGGCACATCGTGAGCGCCATTGGCTGAGCAATGGTGTCCGTCAGAGCGATGGGGCGGGACAGAAGGGGGAGAGGGATGCTGGTGCCTTGGCGTCTCTGTTTCTGTGTATCTCGTTGTCTCTGCCTCTGTCTCGGCCCTTGGAAACGAGAGGCTTTTGGCTGAGAGGACTAGAAGGGGGCCTGAGGTGGGAGGAATAGGAATAGGAATCCTGACAGAGCGTCACGCCAGTTGGCCACTCTGAACGCCCTACCTAAGTCCCCTTTAGGTTCTCTTCTCCATCACCCCCAACCCCTGCCCCTCACCCCTCGAGGTTCTTTCATCCAGGAAGCGACGTGATGAAAACTCCAGGCCGGAAGGCCATAGGGAGAGATGTTATATATGTATATAAAATATACACATAAAAATGTTTATATATAAACTCAACCAGATATCAGTTCACTAGGGCCTGGAAAGGAAAGGGCACACATCTCACAGACAGGGAAGGACTTGAGATAGAGCCGGTAGAAGAAGGAATCAAAAATCACTCTAAGAGCTGGCAACAGTGGTTACCTCCTGGGAGAGGAACTGAGTGCCTAGGGAACCAGTGGGCGGAAGACTTACATATCTCGGCATATCATTTGTATCCATTGATTTTTGCACCATTCATCAAGATTCCAATTTAAAGAAAAGGATTTAAATGTTTAAATAAGGTCGCAAAACCAGGGGACAGACAAGATAATTGGGCAGGAAAATTGGCGCAACATACAGATTTGGGGAGGAATCTTAGCTTTTAATATGTTCAGTTCCCGGTAACAGGGTTTTGTAAAACCCAGTGAAGGTGTCCCAAGGCAACTGAAGTTATGGAACTTGAGAGAGGGTAGACAATCAGGACTAGAGAAGATGCAGTGTCCTCTGCCTAAAGATAGTGATCTATGACATGCTAAAGGATAAACTCCCAAAGAAGGGTAATAAGACACCCACAGTAAAAGGTAGGAGGACGAAAAAGAAGGTCAGTGAGGTAAAAGAAACAATATTAAAGAGGCATGAAAATTAAGGGAGGAAGGGTCTGTGGAAAATAGAATAATAAAACTATGAGAGAGGCCGGGCACGGTGGCTCACACCTGTAATCCCAGCACTTTGGGAGGCCAAGGCGGGTGGATCACCTGAGGTCAGGAGTTCGAGACCAGCCTGCGCAGCATGGTGAAACCCGATCTCTAATAGAAATGCAAAAAAAAAATTAGCCAAGCGTGGTGGCGCGCCTCTGTAATCCCAGCTACTGGAAAGGCTGAGGTGGGAGAATTGCTTGAACCGGGAGGCGGAGGCTGCAGTGAGCCAAGATCGCGCCACTGCACTCCAGCCTGGGCGACAGAGTGAGACCCTGTTTCAAAAAAAAAAAAAAAAAAAAAACAAAAAAAAAAACAAACTGTGAGAGCCTCATAGGTCCTACCTCTTTACCTCTTTAGGCTCTGGTAACCATGGGACAATAAGAATGAAAGCCAAGGCCGGGCACGGTGGCTCACGCCTGTAATCCCAGCATTATGGGAGGCCAAGGTGGGCGGATCACAAGGTCAGGAGATCAAGACCATCCTGGCCAACATGGTGAAACCACGGGCATGGTGGCGCATGCCTGTAATCCCAGCTACTCGGGAGGCTGAGGCAGGAGAATTGCTTGAACCAGGGAGTCAGAGGTTCCAGTGAGCCGATATCACGCCACTGCACTCCAGCCTGGACGACAGAGTGAGACTCCGACTCAAAAAAAAAAAAAAAAACAAAAACAAAAAAAAAACACCTTTATCGATTAAGAATCTTTTTTCTGAGTTTATTAATTCTATTTAAATCAACCCCAGAAAACACCTTCAACACAGCCTCTCATTTCATATCTGTAAAATGGGGCAAAAAAAAAAAAAATAGTTCCTACCCTTTAGAGTTGTTGTGAAGATTAAATTAGTGAATACATATGATGGATTTTTTTTTCTTTTTTCTTTTTTTTGAGACACAGTCTCGCTCTGTCTCCCAGGCTGGAGTGCAGTGGCACTATCTCAGCTCACTGCAAGCTCCGCCTTCCGGGTTCACGCCATTCTCCTGCCTCAGCCTCCTGAGTAGCTGGGACTACAGGCGTCCGCCAGCATGCCTGACTAATTTTTTGTTATTTTTAGTACATACGGGGTTTCACCGTGTTAGCCAGGATGGTCTCAATCTCCTGACCTCGTGATCCGCCCGACTTGGCCTCCCAAGTGCTGGGATTACAGGCATGAGCCATGGCGCCCGGCCTGTATGATGGATTTTTTAAGAGCCTGACTGGCGGGGTGAGGTGGCTCATGACTGTAATCGCAGCACTTTGAGAGGCTGAGGCAGGTGAATCACTTGAAGCCAGGAGTTCGAGACCAGCCTGGGCAACATGGCGAGACCTCGTCTCTACAAAAACACACACACACAAATTAGCTGGGCATGATGGTGCATGCCTGTAGTCCCAGCTACTCAGGAGACTGAGGTGAGGGTCACTTGAGCCTGGGAGGCAGAGGTTGCAGTCAGCCGAGATCTCACCACTGCATTTCAGCCTGGGTGACAGTGTAAGAACCTGTCAAAACAACAACAACAAAAAAAACAAAACAACAACAACAAAAAAACGCACGAAAAAAACCACATAAGCTCCTTGAGGGCAGAAACTGTCCCCTAGTCTTCTATATTTTATTTCACACAATGTACAGAAGACTAAATGAATAATTGTTAGCTGGTTTTTTTTTTTAAAGGGGATAAGATCAGTTACAATGTCTTTTTCCTCAGTCAATCACATAAGTATCTAAAATGACATTCCAAAGTAAGGACAGGAGTTTAAATCCTGAACTATGGTATCTAAAGTAAACTTGAACTTTCCTTATTTTTAAAAAATTTTGGCCGGGCGCGGTGGCTCACGCCTGTAATCCCAGCACTTTGGGAGGCTGAGGCGGGCAGATCACAAGGTCAAGAGATCTAGACCATCCTTGCCAACATGGTGAAACCCCATCTCCACTAAAAATACAAAAATTAGCTGGGCGTGGTGGCACGGACCTGTAGTCCTAGCTACTCGGGAGGCTGAGGCAGGAGAACCGCTTGAACCCGGGAGGAGGAGACTGCAGTGAGCCGAGATCACGCCACTGCACTCCAGACTGGCGACAGACTGTCTCAAAAAAAAAAAAAAAGAAAAAGAAAAAGAAAAAAGAAAAGAAAAAAATTCCATACATAGAATTCTGTGTGGCATTTTAGAGAAAATCATGGTGACTAGAGACACCAGGTGAAATTTTTTTTTTTTTTTTTTTGGGTGACACAACCCCAGGAGATCCTGTGAACATGTGTCCCTTGACCAGGTGAATTTCAGGAGCTTGCACTAGTCCCAGGTTAGCTGGCACCAGGTTGGCCCTAGTTTGAGTGCCTTCCACATACCAGGTACTGTGCTGGAGAAGTAACATCAAAAAGGAAAATCAAATTTCATCCTCAATAAGTAATCACAATACACTGTGATGAGAGTTAGGGTGAAGGAGGTTCAGGTTACCATGGGCTTATATTAGGAGGGCAAATTCTGTCTTCAAGTCTTTTTGCTTCAACAGTAGCGTTTAGATCTTGTGGGCTGGGCATGGTGGCTCTAGCCTGAAATCCCAGCACTTTGGGAGGGTGAAGTGGGCAGACTGCTTGAGCCCAGGAGTTGCAGATTAGCCTGGCAACATGGCGAAACCCCGTCTCTACAAAAAATACAAAAGTCAGCCAGGCATAGTGGTGCCTGCCTGTAGTTTCGGCTACTTGGGAGGCTGAGGTAGGAGGATCGCTTGACCCCAGGAGTTCAAGGCTGCAGTGAGCTACCATCGAGCCACTTCACTTCAGCCTGGGCCGCAGAATAAGACCCTGTCTGAAAAAAAAAATCTTGTGATATAATAACAGCTTGTGCACTCTTCGATAGCTCAGCTGGTAGAGCAGAGGGCTGTAGACTGCATAGATAATAATAACAGTTTGCGTTTTTGAGTCAAAGATGATACCCCAGAATCATTATCGAAAATAATGGTTGTTCCATTCACCTGTGCCTATGACTGTGAGCCACATTGTGACCAATCTGTGAGCAACATGGGTGGGAATGCAGTTTGGGGCCATGGAACTCACTTAACAGGAAGTTCCAATAGCAGTGGATTTACCATGTTGAAGCTGTAGGATCTTGGACAAATATTTAATGACCTCTGTCTCTCAGTTCTCTCAATAATAAAACATCCATCCGAGAATTGCTGTAAAGGTTAACATAGGGGGAGTCTTGCAAATAGTAGGTGCTAAGATCCTGTCTTGAAAAAAAAAAGAAAAAAAAAATATATATATATATGAAGAGATGAGATCTTCAATTGTACAGACTGTCCCTGTACCCATTCATTTGCATTTCTTTTCCTTTACAATAATACATATCTATGATTTCCTTTTATTCCCACTGTCATCAATTTAGTTAGATTACTGGGCAGAGATCACCAGTGGGGCTAGAGTAAAATGAAAATAAATGTACATTGACTCTAGGTATTCCTAAGTAATAGCACAGTTTACTGTGTTCTCCCTCATAAATCCTGGTAGCTGAATGTTGCCTGCTTTTAGCAGTTACGTTTCTGCTCATCTCACCCTCAATGTTCATTAAGAAAATAGTTATTGAATGGCCAGGCTCACTGGCTCACGCCTGTAATAGATTACAGGCGTGAGCCACCGCACCCAGCCTTGGTTATCATATTTCTAATTTATAATAGTTTTCCTTGTTTTCTTATTGTTCACTTTTTATAGCATCCTGTTCTTATATTATGCATATATATCTTCAGGTCTCGCTGAAGAAATAAAGAGGTGTATGTGTATATGTGTGTGTGTATTATCTTTATTTTTATTTTTTGAGATGGAATCTTACTCTGTCGCCCAGGCTGTAGTGCAGTGGCGCTTTTGGGAGGCTGAGGTGGAAGGATCACTTAAGGCCAATATTTGGAGACCAGCCAGGGCAACATAACAAGACCCCCATCTCTACAAAAAAATTAAAAATTAGCTGGCCATGGTGGTGAGTGCCTGTAGTCTCAGCTACTTGGGAGGCTGAGGCAGGAGGATTGCTTGAGCCCAGGAGGTTGAGGGGGAGGTGAGCCATGATTGAGCCACTGCACTCCAGCCTAGGTGACAGAGTGAGACCCCTTCTCTAAAAAAAAAAGAGAGAGAGAGAGAAATAAAATAGTTATTGAGCACCTACTGTATGTCAGGTCCAAGACCCTAAAGATGTAAAGATGAATAAGGTGGTGACCCTGCCTTCCAGTTTCCACAGAGGTGGGGAATATGGATAAAAGCAGACAAAGCCATTGCCATGGGATAAGGGCAGAGAATAGCATGTGCAAGTTATAGAAGGTGAGGGATAATATACCATTTTCCAGAAACTGATGGTTCAATGAGGCTAAAGCATGGAGTTCAAGAAAGGAAACCAGATGAGATTAACTGCAATGTGGTTCTCAAACTTAAATGTGCATAAAAACTGGCCTTGTTGGCTGGGCACAGTGACTCACACCGGTAATCCAAGCACTTTGGGAGGTCAAGGCGGGTGGATCGCTTGAGGTCAGGAGTTCGAAACTAGCCTGGCCAATGTGGTGAAACCCCATTTCTTTTTTTTTTCTTTTTCTTTCTTTTTTTTTTTTTTTTTTTTTTTTTTGAGACAGAGTCTCGCTGTCGTCCAGGCTGGAGTGCAGTGGCGTGATCTCGGCTCACTGCAAGCTCCGCCTCCTGGGTTCACGCCATTCTCCTACCTCAGCCTCCCGAGTAGCTGGGACTACAGGCACCCGCTACCATGCCCGGCTAAATTTTTTGTATTTTTAGTAGAGACGGGGTTTCACCATGTTAGCCAGGATGGTCTCGATCTCCTGACCTCGTGATCCGTCCGCCTTGGCCTCCCAAAGTGCTAGGATTACAGGCGTGAGCCACCGCGCCCGGCCTGAAACCCCATTTCTACTAAAAATGCAAAAATTAGCTGGGTGTGGTGGTGCACACCTATAGTCCCAGCTGCTCAGGAGGTTGAGGCGGGAGAATCACTTCAACCTGGGAGGTGGAGATGGAGTAAGCCAAGATCAAGCCACTGCACTCCAGCCTGGGTGACACAGCGAGACTCTGTCTCCAAAAAACAAACAAACGAACAAAAAACTGGCCTTGTTTACATAGTCTCGCAAGCTCCAAGCCTAGAGATCTTGATGGAGCGGGTCAGAGTGCTGCTGCTCTTAGGGCTACACTCTGAGAACCACCGATGGAGAAGAAGGGCGGGGTCAACTTGCAGAGCTGTGCTGGGAGGTGTGTGCTGCAGCCTTGAGGGGGTGAAGAACCTTTGAGAGGTTTTAAGCCTGCAAGAGATGTGGTCACATTTATATTTTAGAAAAATCACCCTGTGTGCAATATGAAAAATGAAACAGAGAGGGCAAGACTGGAGTCAGGGAGAGCAGTTAGGAGGCTGCTGCAGAAACCCAGGCAAGAAATCATAAAGACCTGAAATAAAAAAAATGCCAGTGGGGAACGGGGAAGAGAGGCCAAATCCAAGGGGAATTTAGGAGCCAGAATTGAGAGGGTGTGATGAGTGTTGATGGGATACAGGACAGGATCCTGAGATGGCTTGCAGGTCTTCAGCTTTGAGTGACCCATGGAAGCGAAGGAAGATGGGAAGGAGGGTGCCTATCACACAGAGAGAATGAAGGTTTGAGAGGCAAGTGTAGCTTTTGACATTTTGCTTTTGAAATGTCTATGGGACATCAGAAATAATCTCAAAAGACCACAAGTCAGGCAGGGCGCGGTGGCTCACGCTTGTAATTCCAGCACTTTGGGAGGCCGAGGTGGGCAGATCACGAAGTCAGGAGCTCGAGACCAGCCTGGCCAACATGGTGAAACCCCGTCTCTACTAAAAATTCAAAAATTAGCTGGGCATGGTGGCGGGCACCTGTAATCCCAGCTACTTGGGAGGCTGAGGCAGGAGAATCACTTGAACCTGGGAGGCGGAGGTTGCAATGAGCTGGGATCGAGCCATCGCACTCCAGCCTGGGCAACAAGAGTAAAACTCTGCCTGAAAAAAAAAAAACCATGAGTCACTGGTTAACAGCCTGAGCAGCAGAAATCTCACAGTTCTGAGTCTGAATCCTATCTAGCCTGGCTCTGAAACTCACAATCTGGAGCTGGGGCTTGGTGCAGTGGCTCAGGCCTGTAATCCCAGCACTGTGGGAGGCTGAGGCAGGTGAATTGCTTGAAGCCAGGAGTTTGAGAGCAGCCTGGCCAACATGGTGAAACCCCATCTCTACTAAAAATACAGTTAGCCAGGCATGATGGTGTGCACCTGTAATCCCAGCTACTTGGGGGGCTGAGGCACGACAATCGCTGGAGCCCAGGAGGCAGACGTTGCAGTGAGCCGAGATTGTGCCACTGCACTCCAGCCTGGGCAACACAGCAACACTGTCTAAAAAAAAAAAAAAAAATGCTGGGCGCAGTGGCTTATGTCTGTAATCCCACTTTTAGAGGCTGAGGTGGGAGGATCACCTGAAGCCAGGAGCTCAAGACCAGCCTGGCCAACATGGTAAAACCCGCCATCCCCTCCCTGCCATGCCCCATCTCCCCCAACACTCCCCCACCCTGTCTCTACTAAAAATACAAAAATTAGCCGGGTGTGGTGGCACACACCTATAATCTCAGCTACATGGGAGGCTGAGGCATAAGAATTGCTTGAGCCCGGAAGGTGGAGGTTGCAGTGAGCCAAGATCGCACCACTGCACTCCAGCCTGGGTGACAGAGCAAGACTCTCTCTTAAAAAAAAAAAAAAAAAAAAAAAAAAAGAATTTTTTTTTTTAATATAGAGATGGGCTTTCTGTGTTTCCCAGGCTATACTCAAGCTCCTGGGCTCAAGCTATTCTCCTGCCTCTGCCTTCAACCAGCCTCAATCCTCCAATTTTCTTATTTTTTATATTTTTCAACACCTTTTAAATTCTACATTCTGGCCAGCTGCAGTGGCTCATGCCTATAATCCAGCACTTTCAGAGGTTGAGATATGAGACTTGCTTGAGGCCAGGAGTTTGAGGCTTGCAGTAAGCTAGAATGGCGCCACGGCACAGCAGCTTGGGAGACAGAGCAAGACCTTGTCTCAAAAGAAAAAGAATTTAAATACTACACTCTAGGAGATTTCTTCAACCTTCAAATTTTGTATTGAATTTTTAATTTTGGCTTTTATTTATTTATTTTTTTTTGAGACAGGTTCTCACTCTGTCACCCAGGTTGGAATGCGGTGGCTTGATCTCAGCTCACTGCAACCTCCGCCTCCTGGGTTCAAGTGATTCTCCTGCCTCAGCCTCCTGAGTAGCTGGGATTGCAGGCGTGGGCCACCATGCCCAGCTTATTTTTGTATTTTCAGTAGAGACGGGGTTTCACCATATTGGCCAGGTTGGTCTCAAACTCCTGGCCTCAAGTGATCCACACGCCTCAGCCTCCCAAGGTGCTGAGATTACAGGTGTGAGCCACTGCACCCAGCCTTGGCTATCATATTTCTAATTTATGATAGTTTTTCTTGCTTTCTTATTGTTCATTTTTTATAGCATCCTGTTCTTATGTTATGGATATATATCTTCAGGTCTCGCTGAAGAAATAAAGAGGTGTATGTGTATATGTGTGTGTGTATTATTTTTATTTTTATTTTTTGAGACGGAGTCTCACTCTGTTGCCCAGGCTGGAGTGCAGTGGCACAATCCTGGCTGGCTGCAACCTCTGCTTCCCAGGTTCAGCTGATCCTCCCACCTCAATCTCCCAAGTAGCTGGGATTACAGGCACCTGTCACCATGCCCGGCTAATTTTTCTTTCTTTTTTTTTTTTTTTTTTGAGATAGAGTCTCTGTTGCCCAGGATGGAGTGCAGTGGTGTGATCTCGGCTCACTGCAAGCTCCACCTCCTGGGTTCAAGAGATTCTCCTGCCTCAGCCTCCCAAGTAGCTGGGATTACAAGCGTGTGCCACCACACCCAGCTAATTTTTGTATTTTTTAGTAGAGATGGGGTTTCACCATGTTGTCCAGGCTGATCTCAAACTCCTGACCTCAAATGATCCACCTTCTTCAGCCTGCCAAAGTGCTGGGATTACATGCATGAGCCACCACACCAGCAAAATTTTTGTATTTTTAGTAGAGATAGGGTTTCGCCATATGTGTGTGTGTTTTAAGTTTTTCTGTTTCGTTTCTCTTGCATATATACCTAGGAATGGAATTACTGGGTCATATGGGAGCTCTGTGTTAAACACTTGTGTCATATCTAAGAAAACTTGCTAATCCAAAGGTCATAAAGATGTACGTCTATGTTTTCCTCTAAGGCCAACATGGTGAAACACCGTCTCTATTAAAAAAATACAAAAAACTGGGCCGGGCACGGTGGCTCATGCCTGTAATCCCAGCACTTTGGGAGGCCAAGGTGGGTGGATCACCTGTGGTGGGGAGTTCGAGGCCAGCCTGATCAACATGCAGAAACCCCGTCTCTACTAAAAATACAAAAAAATTAGCGGGGCATGGTGGCGCATGCCTGTAATCTCAGCTACTTGGGAGCTGAGGCAGGAGAATCGCTTGAACCCAGGAGGCAGAGGTTGCGGTGAGCCAAGATCGTGCCATTGCACTCCAGCCTGGGCAACAAGAGCAAAACTCCGTCTCAAAAAAAAAAAAAATTAGTTGGGCGTGGTGGCACGCACCTGTAGTCCCAGCTACTCCAGAGGCTGAGGCAGGAGAATGGCTTGAACCCAGGAGGTGGAGGTTGCAGTGAGCTGAGATCATGCCACTGCACTCCAGCCTGGCAACAGAGCAACAGAGCAAGACTCCATCTAAAAACAAAAAAAAGAGTTTTCTACTTTTCAGTCTAACAAATGTTTTATAAACAAAGGCTTTGTTATATTTTGAGTTAATTTTTATAGATAATATGAGGTGAGGGTTCAACTTCATTCTATTGTGTGTGGGTATCCAGTTGTCCCAGGACCATTGTTTGAAAAGACTTTTTTTCCTACACTTTCTCTCATTGAATTGTCTTGGCATATTTGTTAAAAATCAGTTGACCTTGGCTGGGCACCATGGTTCACACCTGTAATCCCAGTATTTTGGGAGGCCAAGGCAAGAAGACCATTTGAGCCCCAGAAGTTCAAAACCCGCCTGGGCAATATAGGCACACTCCATTTCTAAAAATAATAATTAAAAAGATTAGCTGGGCAAGCCAGACATGGTGGCTCACGCCTGTAATCCCAGCACTTTGGGAGGCCAATGCAGGTGGATCACCTGAGGTCAGAAGTTCGAGACCAACCTGACCAACATGGAGAAACCCCATTTCTGCTAAAAATACAAAATTAGTCTGGTGTGGTGACTCATGCCTGTAATCCCAGCTACTAGGGAGGCTGAGGCAGAAGAATCGCTTGAACCCAGAAGGTGGAGGTTGTGGTGAGCCGAGATTGCGCCATTGCACTCCAGCCTGGGCAACAAGAACGAAACTCTGTCTCAAAAAAAAAAAAAAAAGATTAGCTGGGCGTGGTGGCACATACCTGTGGTCCCAGTGACTTAGGAGGCTGAGGCAGGGGGATCGGGAGACGGAGGCTGCAGTGAGCCTTGATCACTGCACTCCAGCTTGGGTGACAGAGTGAGACCCTGTCTCAAAAAAGAAAAAAAATCAGTTGATCGTAATGTGGGCACTCATTTCTGGACTTTCAATTCTATTCCATTGATCTATATGTCAGTCCTTATGCCAGTGCCCAGGGGCTCAACTACTGGTACTTTGAATTAGATTTTGAATCAAGAAGCGTGAGTCTTCCAATTTTGTTCTTATTTTTCAAGATTGTTTTGTCTATTTGAAGTTCCTTACAATTTAATGTGAATTTTAGAATCAGCTTGTCCATTTTTGCAAAAAAGGTAGTTGGGATTTTGATAGAGATTGTGTTGAGTCTGTAGATCAATTTGGGAAGCATTGCTATGTGAAGAGTAGTAAGTCTTTCAATCCATGAACACACAATGTCTTTTCATGTATTTAAGTTTAATTTCTTTCAATAATGTTTTGTAGTTTGCACTTCCTTGGTTAAATTTATTCCTAAGTTTTTTTTTGGTGCCATTACAAATGGAATTGTTTTATTAATTTCATTTTTGGATTGTTCATTTCTGGTGTATAGAAATTCAACTGAGCCAGGTGTAGTGGTGCACCACCTGTAGTACCAGCTACTTGGGAGGCTGAGTCAGGAGGATTGCTTGCGGCCATGTTTGAGGCTATAGTGCATTATAATTGTGCCCGTAAATGATCACTGCATTCTAGCCTCGGCAACATAGTGCGGTCTTGTCTCTTTTTTTTTTTTTTTTTTAAGTACAATTTCCATTTTATTTTTCTCCAGAGAATAGCCTGTCTTCAGTCTTTAAGAACTCAGCTCCTTACATGGGCTTTGGTGGGGGACCTGGGGCAGCACCCGCAGGTCTAAATCGGGGTGGGGGTGTTCGGTCCTTGCGGGCTTCACGAGATCGATTCCTGACTACTTTGCTGTGAATTGCACAACTCACACAGTAATGTAGCTTCACATACAGTTTGGGAAGCACATAGGCATCGAAGACGCTCACTTCAGAAATGTCCCTGACTGCTGCGGCCTCCACTATGTTTCGAATGACGAATTTCTTAATGGCCTTGTCCTTGGGCACGCATCGGGCACAGTTAGTGCAGCGAATAGGCTGCACGTGGCCGCGGCCCTTTTTGGCACGACCATTGTTCCTTCTTTTCTTTGTCATCTTGGAGGCACGGACCGGAGAGAGGAGCGGTCTTGTCTCTTAAAAAATAAATAAACAACTGATTTTTGTACGTTGATCTTGTATCCTCCAACTTTGCAAAATTAATTTATCACTATTAAGATTTTGTGGCCGGGCACGGTGGCTCATGCCTGTAATCCCAGCACTTTGGGAGGCCCAGGCAGGCAGATCACCAGGTCAGGAGATCGAGACCATCCTGGCTAACACGGTGGAACCCCGTCTCTACTAAAAATACAAAAAATTAGCCAGGCGCGGTGGCAGGCTCCTGTAGTCCCAGCTACTCGGGAGGCTGAGGCAGGAGAATGGTGTGAACCCGGGTGGCGGAGCTTGCAGTGAGCCAAGATAGCGCCACTGCAGTCCAGCCTGGGCAAAAGAGTGAGACTCCGTCTCAAAAAAAAAAAAAAAAAAAAAAAAAGATTTTGCTTTATTTTGTGTTTGGTGTGGATACTTTAGGAACCAAAAGATAAATAAATAAGAAAAAGGTCTAGCACTTTGGTCAAATTTATTCCTAAGTGTGTGTTTGTAAACGATATTGTAAATGAATTTTCTTAGTTTCATTTTCAGCTTGCTAATTGTTACTGTATAGAAATACAATTTATTTATTTATTTACTTTTTTTTTTTTTTTTTGAGCCAGTCTCGCTCTGTTACCCAGGCTGGAGTGCAGTGGTGTGATCTCGGCTCACTGCAACCTCTGCCTCCTGGGTTCAAGCGATTCTCTTGCCTCAGTCTCCCGAATAGCTGTGATTACAGGTGCGTGCCACAACCCCCAGCTAATTTTTGTATTTTTAGTAGAGATGGGTTTTCACCATGTTGGTCAGGTTAGTCTCGAACTCCTGACCTCATGATCTGCCCACCTAGGCCTCCCAAAGTGCTGGGATTACAGGCATGAGCCACTGCACCAGGCCAATTTTTTTTATATCACTCTTACACCTGCAACTTTGCTGAATTTGTTTACTTGTTCTAACGGTTTTGTGGATTCCTTAGAATTTCCTACATACAAGATCATGTCATATGCAAATACATATGGTTTTATTTCTTCCTTTCTAATTTGTGTGGCTTTTATTTCTTTTTCTTGCTAATTTCCTGGCTAGAAATTTAAGTATAATGTTGAATAGAGGTGGCAAGAGTGAATATCCTTGTCTTCTTCCTGATCTTAGGAGAAAAACTTACAGTCTTTCATCATTAAGTATTAACTGTGGGGCTGGATGCGATGGCTCAAGCCTGTAATCACAGCACTTTGGGAGGCCAAGGCGGGTGGACCATTTGAGGTCAGGTGTTCAAGACCAGCCTGGCCAATATGGTGAAACCCCATCTCTACTAAAAACATCTCTACTAAAAATATAAAAACTTGGCGGGGTGCAGTGGCTCACACCTGTAATCTCACCACTTTGGGAGGCCGAGGCGGGCAGATCACGAGGTCAGGAGATCAAGACCATCCTGGCTAACACAGTGAAACCCCATCTCTACTAAAAATACAAAAAAAAAAAAAAAATTAGCCAGGTGTCGTGGCACACGCCTGTAGTCCCAGCTACTTGGGAGGCTGAGGCAGGAGAATCACTTGAACCCGGGAGACAGAGGTTGCAGTGAGCCGAGATCACACCACTGCACTCCAGCCTGGGCGACAGAGCAAGACTCCATCTCAAAAAAAAAATAAACGAAAATTAGCCAGGCATGGTGGTGCGCACCTCTCGTCCCAGCTACTCAGGAGGCTGAGGAAGGAGAATTGCTTGAACCTGGGAGGCAGAGGTTGCAGTGAGTCGAGAGCATGCCACTGCACTCCAGCCAGGGTGACAGAGTAAGACTCTGTCTCAAAAAAAAAAAAAGGGGGATTTATGGGAAGTAATTAAGGTCAAATGAGGTCATAAAGCTGGGCACTGATCTAATAGAATTAGTGTCTTTATGAGACGAGAACCCAGAGAGCTCCCTAGCTTTCTCTCTGCCACATGAAGCTACTTCAAGAAGGCAAGCCAGGTAATAAAGCCCACGCTGAGGTAGGAGGTGGAACTGGACTCCAGAGATGGGGCTTGGACACCAGACCAAATTGATGACTAGCTGAAACAGGGACAGGATGAAAGCAGCTTTCCATAAGACACGCTCACCAGTGCGCCATGTCAGTTTACCATTTCCATGGCAGAACCCAGAGTTACCACCCCACCGCCTTTTTTTTTTTTTTTTTTTTGAGACGGAGTCTCACTCTGTCGCCCAGGCTGGAGTGCAGTGGCACAGTCTTGGCTCCCTGCAAGCTCCACCCCCCAGGTTCAAGCAATTCTCCTGCCTCAGCCTCCCGAGTAGCTGGGATTAAAGGCGCCTGCCACCGCGCCAAACTGATTTTCGTATTTTTAGTAGAGACAGTGTTTCACCATCTTGGCCAGGCTGGTCTTGAACTTTTGACCTCATGATCCACCTGCCTTGGCCTCCCAAAGTGCTGGAATTACAGGCATGAGCCACTGTGCTCAGCCTACCACCCCTTTCAATGGCAACAACTTGACAACCCAGAAGTTATCAGCCTTTTTCTAGAAACGTCTGTATAGTCTGCCCCTTAATTTGCATATAATTAAAGGTCAATGTAAATATGACTGCAGAACTGCCCTGAGCTGCTACTCTGGTCACACTACCTACAGGGTAGCCCTGCTCTGCAAGGAGCAGTCCCTCTGCTGTTGCTATAGGCCACTGCTTCAATAAAAGTTGGCATCTAGGCCAGGTGCAGTGGGTAATGCCTGTAATCCCAGCACTCTAGGAGGCTGAGGCGGGTGGATCATTTGAGGCCAGGAGTTTGAGACCAGCCTGGTCAACATGGTGAAACCCCATCTCTACTAAAAATACAAAAAAATTAGTTGGGTGTTTTGGCGCACACCTGCACTCCCAGCTACTCAGGAGGTTGAGGCGGGAGAATCACTTGAACCCAGGAGGCAGAGTCTGCAGTGAGCCACTGCACTCCAGCCTGGGTGACAGAGTGAGACCCTGTCCCGAAAAAAAAAAAAGTTGGCCTCTAACACCTTCGGTTTGCCCTTGAATTATTTCCTGGGTGAAGCCAAGAACCCTCTCAGTCTAAGCCCCAGTTTTGTGGCTTACCTGCCCTGCATCAACACCAGAAACTTAACCCTTTGGGAATCTCGATCTTGGACTTTCTAGCCTCTAGAACCCTGAGAAAATGATCTGTATTATTAGGCTACCCAGTCTATGATATTCTGTTGTAGCCTGGGGTGACTAAGACATTGAACCTGTATGACTTGAATTTTGTTACCTGCTTGGCCCCTTGATGGCATTTCAGTTTGTGACTCTTGGTTTACGTGATCACGAAGCCAAAACTGTTTAGGAAGGAAGCAAAATCAAGACAGATTAAAAATAAAAAATAAAAAATAAAAGGCTGGGCACCGTGGCTCACACCCTCCCAGCATGTTGGGAGGCAAAGGTGGGCAGATCACCTGAGGTCAGCAGTTCAAGACCAGCCTGGTCAACATGATGAAACCACATCTCTACTAAAACTACAAAAATTCGCCAGGCGTGGTGGTGGGCACCCGTAATCCCAGGTATTCGAGAGGGAGGCAGGAGAATCACTTGAACCTGGGAGGTGGAGGTTGCAGTGAGCCGAGATCACACCACTGCACTCCAGCCTGGGTGACAGAGCAAGACTCTCTCTCAAAAAATAAAATAAAATAAAATAAAATAAAATAAAATAAAATAAAATAAAATAAAATAAAATAAAATAAAGAGCCGAGCATGCTGGCTCACACCTGTAATCCCACACTTCGGGAGAAAGAGGTGGCAGGATTGCTTGAGCCCAGGAGTTTGAGACCAGCCTAGGTAACATGGCAAAATCCCATCGCAATTTTAAAAAAATTTTGAAAAAGAATAATAGGGCTGGGCACGATGGCTCATGCCTGTAATCCCAGCACTTTGGGAGGCCAAGATGAACGGATCACCTGAGGTTGGGAGTTTGCGACCAGCCTGACCAACATGGAGAAACCCCATCTCCACTAAAAATACAATATTAGCAGGTCGTGGTGGCACATACCTGTAATCCCAGCTACTCGGAAGGCTGAGGCAGGAGAATCGCTTGAACCTGGGAGGTGGA